>NT_167248.2:1342182-1675466 GCF_000001405.40 Homo sapiens
TCATTTAATCATTCAACAACTATTTACTAAGCACCTACTATGTACCATGCGTTGTTCTAGGAGTTAGGAAGAGTGGAGAGCAAGCCAGCCATAGTCCCTTGTCCTCTGGTAATTTAGATTCCATTGAAAAAGGCCAACAATAAGCAAGTAAACAAATAAATTAACAAGATAATTATAGATTGTGATCAGTGCTTTGAAGAATACAAAGTGGGTAATATAAGAGGAATTAACTGGAGGAGGTGTGCACTACTTTTAATAGGATGTTAGAAAAAGCTCCTCTGAGAAGGTGAAGAGAGGGAGCCAGCAATGAGAAGAGTTGGGAGAGAGCAACAACAGCAGATGCAAAGACCCTGAAGTGGGAAAGATCTTGAACGTATGAAGTGGGATGACAATGGTTTGATGTGAGATTGGAGAGGTACTAAGAGCCAAGCTGTGTAGGACCTTAGGGACCAGGATAAGGAGTTGATCGTTGTTCTAAGAGCAGTGGAATGCCACTGAGTAGCTGTAAGTGTGATATTTACGTGGTCTAATGGATTGATTGATTGATTGATTGATTGTAGAGATGGGATCTGGCTGTGTTGCCCAGGCTGATCTCAAGCTCCTGGCTTCAATCCTCCCACTTTGGCCTCATCTCCCAAAGAGCTGAGATTATAGGCATAAGCTACCACACTCAGCATGATTTATGTATTTTGAAGCTCATTTTGTCCTAGTAGTCTTTTCTCTCAGTTTTCTTTTTCTAATTCCTATTCCCCTTCACATTATTTACATTCAAGACGATCATCTCATTTCCATGTCCACTTCCCCATCGGGGAGAATAGGTCTTCCAAACAAGTTATTTATTAACCTGTACAAGGATTGCTAGTAAGTGCACCAAATATAGCTAATTTGATTCTGGCTCCCACCTCTATTAAAGACTTCAAAGAATCATAGATTTGTAGAATGCTAGAGTTGTAGGGAACATTAACAATGTGTAGTCTAGCCCTTACAATATGGATAAGAAAATTGATTCCCAGAGAGATGATCTTGCTGGTGTGTAAGTAGGGAAAACTTTCGGATCCTCATCTGTCAAGAATGCAGGAGCAGGTTCCTTCCTGTCTTTTAGGCGCCTGTTTCAATTAAGAAGAAAAAATATTGGCTGGGCACGGTGGCTCATGCCTGTAATCCCAACACTTTGGGAGGCTGAGTTGGGCAGATCACAAGGTCAAGAGATCGAGACCATCCTGGCCAACATGGTGAAACCCCGTCTCTACTAAAAATACAAAAGTTAGCTGGGCATGGTGGCACATGATGTAGTCACAGCTACTTAGGAGGCTGAGGCAGGAGAATTGCTTGAACTCAGGAGGCAGAGGTTGCAGTGAGCAAGATCGCTCCACTGCACTCCAGCCTGGCGACAGAGCGAGACTCCGTCTCAAAAAAAAAAAAAAAAAAAAAAAAAAAAAAAAAAAAAAAAAGTCAGGATGTCCTAACTGGTTTATTGGCTTCAAGGTCAATCACCATAGGTCAGTAGTGCTGCAGCTACTGCTAGCATAGCAGCCACGGGCCCAGCTGCCCTACCCCCATGCACATTTCATGTTTATTGGGGCTCATCCATGCTCTTCTATAGGAAAATAGCCTCTACCTCACTTCTGCATTTCAAATCTCATAGAAATACATTTAGTTGGAAGGACTTAATTCATGTCCAGAATCCTAGCTCCAAAAATTCTGAGAAATAGAGTTTTTTACTTTTCAATCTCTTCAATAGAAAGGAAATGAGGTCATTCCATATATGTAGGTTTGGCAGATAAAATGCAGAACATCCAGTTAAATTTGAATTTCAGATAAACAATGATTTTTTAGTATAAGTATCTCCCAAATACTGCATGGGGCATACTTACACAAAATACTTGTTTATTATTTATCTAAAATTCAGATTTAAATGGACATCCTGTACTTTTATTTGATAAATCTGACATTTTGACAAATCTCCAGCACAGAGACTGAGAGCAGAAGTCCTTAATTTAGATGGGGGACATTGAGGAAGGCCCATCTTCCGAGGTGATATTTAAGGGGAGACCTGAGAGATGAATAAGAGATCATCATGCTCAGAGAGGAGAGAAGGGCATTGCAGGCACAGGTAACAGCTTTGCAACAGCCTAGAGGCAAGAACAATTTGGGCTAATTTAAGCAAAGTTGACACATGGTGAGTTAGGAGTAAAGATGGCACAAGATAATAATGAAGACGTAGGCAGAGACTAGAGCAAGTGAAATCTTAAGTTTTAGTAGTGGAATAAACAAGAGTGGAATGGGGGAGACCCAGGGTCACTACCTGCTAATGGCATTCCCAGAGTTGTATACGGCAGTCATCCCAAAGAGAGAAAACTATGCCAGTAATTTAGGTGAGAAAGGATGATGGCTTGAGATAGTGGGATCCAGTGGAGCTGAAAATGAGCAGGCCAATTTGAAGTGTATTTTGTAGATAGAATTGACAAAAACATTGAAGTGGCCTTTGGGTGATGAGGGAGGGGAAAATCAATCATGAATTTCTAATTTCTGGAATGGATGACTGTGTAATTGCAAGGCTGTTACAGAAATGGGCTACATACTTAATGAGCTTTGGATGTTGAGATGGGATCACAAGAGAGGGGGTAAAGACAAAGTGATGAGATATTTTGTTTCAGTTGGACCACAGTCCACAATAACTGCTTCTCCTCTCTGCAGAATATTCACTAACATGCACGAGACCTGTTTGCTCTGTCCTTCTCTCCTTCCTCCCTGCCCTCCCCTTCATCATTTTCTCCTTTTTATTCTCTGTCCTTTCTTTCTGTTCTGTAGTCATCCTATTTCCTTGACAGAATCGAAGCCTCAGCCAGTGAGATAGATGGAGTGTAGGTAGCTAGAAATGGAAAGGATTCCTGTGCTTCTGTGATTCACAGTCTCCCAGTGGGCCTTTAAACCATTTAACCTCTGTTGTCCAGACCCCAGGAAGAGGGGAGGCTGGAAGAGGGAAAAGAACTTGGACTGGAGCAGCAGGGGAGGCCCTGGAGGAAGGAGCAGGTATCATCCTCCAGCAAATGGGCAATCCATTAGTCCAAACTCCTCATTTTAAAATTGAAAAAACTGAAGCCTTTGCCCATTTTGACTAAACCAGATAAGAAATTATACAGTATGAAGGAACATTGACACCACTTAGAAACAGTAGGGTGTCAAGATTTGACTTGACTCTTGTTAGTTTTGTGACTATAAAGTGAAAACAATTATATCAAAAAATTTGTTTTAGGGATGATAAAAGTAATTTATATTTATTCGTTCAAAAGTACTTATTAAGGACCTACTATGTGCAGATACAGTGTTGAAAGCTAGGGACTCAGTGGAGATCAACACAGACAGGAACCTGGCCTCATGGGAATTCTAAACTCTAGCGGGGAGAACAGCTCATTAACAAATAAATAAGTGTAAAGTATGGTAGGTACCACGAAGCAACATAAAGCTGGGAAGAAAGACACAAATGCTAGCATAGTTTTCTCTCTTTGGGATGACTGCCTTATACAACTCTGGGGAATGCCATTAGCAAGTAGTGGCCTCGGATCTTCCCCCATTGCACTCTTGCCTATTCCACTACTAAAACCTAAGTTTTTGCTTGCTCTAATCTCTAAGTCTTCATTATTATCTTGTGCCATCTTTACTCCCAACTCATCATGCGTCAACTTTGCTTAAATTAGCCCAAATTGTTCTTGCCTCTAGGTTGATGCAAAGCTGTTACCTGTGCCTGGAATGCCCTTCTCTCCTCTCTGAGCATGATGATCTCTTATTCATCTCTCAGATCTGCCCTTAAATATCACCTAGAGAGATGGGCCTTCTCAATGCTGGATGGAGTGCTGGATGGAGTAGATAGAGTTACAATCTCAATAGATTCTATTTGAGCAAAGATTTGAAGGTGGTAAGAGAAGTCGTCAAGTGCTTATCTGAAGGAAGGATCATCCAGATGAAAGGAAAGGCAGAGGCAAAGGCTGTGATGCTGAAGCTGCTGATGTGTTTGAGATTTAACATGAGGCCATGTGGCTGGAGCAGAGGGAGCAGCGGGTGTGGAGTAGGAAGTCAGAGATGGGACTGGCCGACTGTGCAGGGCTTTGTCATTGTCAGGACTTCATTCAGTACTGGGTGAGGTGAGCCTGCCAGGGGTTGGAGTTGGTGGGAAGGGGCTGATTTCTGGACGTGAGTTACTGCATTGGTTGTGGAGTGTGAGAGCAAAGGAGGAGGCAGGAAGCTCTAAGGAATTTGGCCCCACCATGGGGAGGATGGAGCTGCCAGTGACTGCAGTGGGAAGAACTGTGAGGAGCTGGCCTGGGCAGGAAGATCAGGGGTGGCATGTTGGACATGTGAAGCCAGGAGGCCTGTGGGCCATCCAACAGTGCTGTGAACTGTGCAGCCCGATGTAAGCATATCTGACATTAGGAGTGGTGGAGAAACAAAAAGAACAAGGATAGTTCACTTTAACACAGTAATAATTTTATAATTTTATAATTTTCAAATCATTAAAGATTTTACTACTTTCTTAACTACTCCAGGAGCCTGTGTCACATTCCAGTCACAGGGAGGAAACTGGGGGCCATGCAGGATAAAGGTCAAAGCCTGCATGCTGGGACTCAAGTGCTTCCTCCCCAACAGTGTTAGAACACCAACTCCCAGGAGCACAGAGACTTGAAGAGAGTGTCCGGGTCGTGGACTATGAGTCAGAGAAACCAAGCCAGGGGCATGCAAGGCAGCACGAGGCAGAGCAGGGAAACCCAGCAAGGGAGGTGGCAACGCAGAGTGACCTAGAAAAGCCTGATGAGCTGAGAGCCAGCCGACAACAGGCCCCATGTGCCTCTGTGTCTTGGTCCACATGATAGACTCTCCCTCCCTCCCTTCCTTCCTCTCCTCTGGTGACCAGTAGCTAAAACATCACTGGCACGCTGCTGGCATCCAGCCTGCCAATTAGTTCAGGAGCCACTCCCTCTGACTGCCTCCTGAGCCTCAGATGTTACCTCCCCTGTCCCCCAAACACACCCCTCCAGCTCTGTCCTGCCTGCCCTGAATCTCTGGAAGGAAAACTTGCCCTGGGACTTGCCTTGGACTCTCTGGTTCCCCTCATCCAGCCCCTCCCTGCGCAGAACATGGCATCTCGTGCCCTTTTATCTGCCATTTCTGGCCACCTTTGCAAGCGTCCTTGAAACCAGCACTTGGTAGAGTTATCCACGCCCATGTGAGGCTCCCCTGCCCCCTGGGTGGTGTATGTGGCAGGAGGAGCAGGGAGGAGCTTCAAGGAAGCAGAGGGAAAGGAACCTATAAGAGTTCTTGGGATGGCTTCCAGGAAGCTGTGAGGACAGAGCTATGCTGAAAGGAGAAAGGCAAAGGCTACAGAAAAGTGAACACTGAAGAGGAATTAGGCAAGAACAAAGCCTACCAAGTTAGAAGAAGGGAATGAGAGGGTTAAACAACAGCACCAGAAAGGAATGAGGTTGCCGGGCACGGTGGCTCATACCTGTAATCCCAGCACTTTGGGAGGCCGAGGCAGGCGAACCACCTGAGGTCGGGAGTTCGAGACCAGCCTGACCAACATGGAGAAACCCTGTCTCTACTAAAAATACAAAATTAGCTGGGCATGGTGGTGCCTGTCTGTAATCCCAGCTACTCAGTGAGGCTGAGGCCGGAGAATCGCTTGAACCCGGGAGGCGGAGGTTGTGGTGAGCCGATGCGCCATTGCACTCCAGCCTGGGCAACAAGAGCAAAACTGCATCTCGAAAAAAGAAAGAAAGAAAAAGAAAAAGAAAGGAATGAGGATCAGGAGTCGGGGGGAGAGACATGATCTTACAGAACGGGCTGGACCTGGGGAGAGGATTTTGTCAGAACTATGGAAAGTTTGAAATGAGGTTGAAGAAGGAGTGATGGTAATACTTTTTACATTTTTAGAACATCTTCTTATATTTTATTTCATCATTCATTCCTCATAGATCTCATTACCCCCATTTTACGGATCAAGAAACTGAGGCTCAGAGAGGTGATGTGAGTTGTCCAAGATCACACAGCTAATAAGAAGGTACATTCTCCTCTATACCACAGAGCACCTCTTCTGTGTGTGGCATATTACATAGAAAAATGAGATTAGACATTTAGAAGTTGAGGATTCTCATCCTGCAAACACTTATGGGGCACTTTTTATGTGCCAGGCAACATGCTAAGCACTGAAGATACTAAGACGCCCTGCTTTCAAAGACTGACCTTCTGGTTAAGGAGTGATATGAGTGGTGCAAACCAGGTAGGGGGCGGGGCTGCCCATAGGCTGAGGGCTCCTCTGGGAGAGGGCAGCTTAGGGAAGCTTTTACAGCGGATGTCTGGGAAGAAGGGAACCACTTCCCCAGTGGGTGGTGGAAGGGGATAGCAGAGGGCATTTCAGGGAAAAGCAAGCAAGCAGAGTGTGTGGGAGAGCTCCAAGGAGTTGAGATCCACAAAAGAAGGATGTGTAGGGAGCTGGATGGAAAAGCTAAAGAAATAATGGGGAGAATAGTGATATTAATTAAATTCGTGATCTGTTTAAAACCATTGCATAGGGCAAGGCACAGTGGCTCATGCCTATAATCCCAGCACTTTGGGAGGGTGAGGCAGGAGGATCACTTAGCCCAGGAGTGAGAGACCAGCCTGGGCAACATAGCAAGATTTGTCTCAATGAAAAAAAATACTAAATGTTTTTAAAAGGCACAATGCATAGCTGTAATAAGAGTTGAGGAGGAATCTTACAACTACAGTGTTAAAGGAGACAAAGGGTGTTTCTTCATTATGTTGCGGTGATGGAAACTTAAATGAGATAAGGATATATTTGAGTCTTCCTATATGCCAGATGGCATGCAAAATGTTTTTATATACATTATGTAATTGAATTCATGTAACAGTGAAAAATAGTGAAGATGACCTATTTGGGTTGACATGAGAAGATCTATAAGATCGTGGTTAAAAGAAAAAGTCAGTGCAGAACATTATGTACTATAAATTATGACCCATAGTAAAGAAACACATACAGGGGAAGGGTTTTGGTCAGAGGGAGTACAGAGCCAGGGCAGCCAAGAGAAGGAGGTGTGTCTGAGCCTGGTGCAGGCTGCGTGCCTAGGGCTGGCACTGAGAGGGACATGGAGCTTGTCATACTGAGGGCATAACTCAATCCTGTTACACTAGGCAAGTCTCAGAGAATTTTCAAGTGGAAGTGAAACACACTCTGGTGACACAAGTTGTAGAGATTGTTCTGTCTGCAGGTGGATAGATTGGAGGCAGGAGGAGAGCAGTCAGGTAGGAGAGATCCCGAGGGGTGGACAAGCCTGGCCCCTGGAAACAGAGTCGGGGGAGAGGAAGCAAGGGTGAGAAACTGGGCTGAGGAAATGAGTGGGTGACAGATCTTCACATGGCTGGTAGGGGGAAAAAAAAGGAACACAGAACACAATTAGATTATTTTCAGGATTTTCATCGCAGTTATATATGCAAATAAAAAGTTAAACAAGTTGATGAGTTAATTTTTTAAAATGGCAGCCCTCACCCCCATCTCCACTACTTTCAACTCTTTTAGCTGTTTTGGTGTTCACCTTCACATCTGTAAATACAAGGATTATATTATTACTATTTGCTCTTCTAATTTTAGGCATTATCTATTATTGATTTGCTGTTATCAAAGATATAGCTTTTTCTTGTAACCACAACCTCACTTGATCCCACAAACACATATCCTCACTATTCCCACTGTCCCTGGTTTATAGCTATTTCAAATACACACACACACACACACACACACACACACACACATTTCTATGTGTATAAAACACAGATATGTAAATACACACAAACATGTCCTGAAGGATCAAATCAAACTAGGATTCAGGAAGATCATAGCTAAAGAAGACTTTCGGCTTGCACGGTGGCTCACACCTGTAATCCTAGCATTTTGGGAGGCCAAGGTGGGCGGATCACCCAAGGTCAGGAGTTCGAGACCAGCCAGACCAACATGGCAAAACCCCATCTCTACTAAAAGTACAAAAAATTAGCTGGGTGTGGTGGTGGGCACCTGTAATCCCAGCTACCTAAGAGACTGAGGCAAGAGAAGCCCTTGAACCCGGGAGGCTGAGGTTGCAGTGAGCTGAGATGTGCCAGTGCACTCCAGCCTGGGTGACAGAGCAAGGCTTCATAAAAACTTCATAAAAAAAAAAAGAAGAAGAAGAAGAAGATTTGAACCAAAAGGTAGAGAAGCACAAGACAAGAGGCCGTGAAAAAGCAAGTCATGCATTGGTGAGTATGTGTGTGGAGGGCAGGGATGAGGAAAATTTCAGAACAGAATCAATTCAGCCTTGTGCAGAAAGGAATAATGAAGGCAGGAGGCAGCAACTTCAGGGCTGTCTGATTTGAAGGAAATATTAAAGCCTTTATCAGGAAAGGGGAATCACTAACAGTCAGACAGAAGCACCAGACTGAAGGAAAAAAGATCACAGCCCCATATCCTTAGAGAGTATCAGAGACCTCAGATGCCAGGCATCTGCCATGCTGTTGATTTACTCTGCAGTGAGTCACTGGATCCTTGAAACTGGGGGCAAGGGTGAGATCATTACCCCAGAAGGCAGGGAGCAGAGACAACAAGGCCCTTGGGGTCCAGGCAGCTGAACCCGTCTGGTCAGAGGCCACTGTCACAAAACCAACAAAGAATTCATATCTAATAGGTTTTCCTCAGGGCTCAGATGAGTAGGTTTGGGAGTTACTGGGAGGCTGTGATACCAGGCAGGATGACAAACAAAAACAGTCAGCCAAGAAAACAAGCTTCAGAGTGTTTGCCCTGGGAGAACAATGGATGTCCGGGTAGAGCCAAAGCCACTGGCTCCTCCCTCCCCACAACTCAGAGCCACCAGGGACCTGGGCCACGTGTCCCTTTCCATGACCATGGGGTGTGTGACTGCGGGAGGCTGAAAGTGTCAGCACTGTGACCTGGAAATATATGCCTGGATTGGGGAGGTGGACACCTTGGAAATAAACTCCAGACTTCCTCTATTTGAAAAATTTTGTGGCCGGAAGCGTTGGCTCAAGCCTGTAATCTCAGCACTTTGGGAGGCCGAGGCAGGTGGATCACGAGGTCAGGAGATCGGACCAACTGGCTATGGTGAAACCCCATCTCTACTAAACAAAATACAAAAAATTAGCCGGGCATGGTGGCAGGCACCTGTAGTCCCAGCTACTGTGGAGGCTGAGGCAGGAGAATGGCATGAACCCGGGAGGCAGAGCTTGCAGTGAGCCGAGATCGCACCACTGCCCTCCAGCCTAGGCAACAGAGCAAGAGTCTGTCTCAAAAAAAAAAAGAAAAAAGAAAAAAAAAAAAGAAAAGTTTTTTGCATTGAACTGGATTCTGCACATATCTATACACATGCTCCAATCCCACTAATTCATCTTTTTTCCCAATGCCCAACCTAAACACTGAGAGAAAAAAAAAGAGCAGCCTCTGACATTCAGAAGTTGGCCTAACAGAGCTAAACCATGTTATTCACCTAGTAGGCATAAACTATATTACAGAATACCAATCTCAGACAAGTTTACTCCTAGACCTTGATAAAGTGAGACAATGCAAGGCTGCTTCACAAGTTTTTCTGAGCACAGATCCAAAAAAAGACACTGTGCCACCCACAAAATACCAAACACCCCTTCTCTTGGTTAACAGAAATGTTTGCTACTTCTTTACCAATTATAGCTTTCCCCTCGTTCTAGTCTCCCCTCCCTATAGAAAATATTTATTTGGGTATTCATTCACAGGATCTGCTCTGCTTTCTAACAGCATTAATCCAGAGCAAACCCCCACTTCCTTAGACCTTTCCCCAAATCACCTAACCAAAACCCAAACCCTATCATAGGTTTTTTCCTAACACTCTTATTAAAATGTCCCACACTCCCCATGGGGTGCATTCTCCATTGCTGCAAGGAGTAATAAACCCAGCATGTTTAATGACAGTTATGTTCCTGGGGGGTCTTTGGCTGGAAAACACGGGTAACAGTGTTCTTTGCTTCCTTCTTAACTCTCTGGGATCTACATTGAAGACCTGGCCCCATGTTGTGTGGGAGAAGCTGGTACAAAGGCAGGAGGTGCTCTTAGAAAGGACAAAACCAGTAATGCATTCACTCAACAAATATTTATGGAGCACCCACACATGCCACAGACTGTTCTAGGTACCAAGGACAATAGACAAATAAAGCAGGATCCCTGAATTTTTAGGAAGCTCTCAGTTGGGGTAGAGGTGAGAAACACACATAAACAGATCGTCTTGATTGTGGAGATTAGTGCAGTGATCAAAGTATGCCCTGGGGACTGCTATGTGCTTATAGATGTGGTGCCTAAACCAGTGTCGGAGAGGAGTGGGGGATCAAGAAAGGCTTTCAGGGAAGGAGGCGTTTGAGGCCCTGGAAGGCTGAGGACAAGCTAAGAAGAAGGAACAATGAAAGCGGGTCAGGGAGATGTAAACAATGTGGTGAGTGGGGAATTTTAGGCAATTTGGCCTTTCTGGAGTGAAAAATGGGAAGCAGGTGGGGGCAGGGGTTAGGCTGAAGGCAGGCCAACGTGCAGTTCAGGCTTTATCCTTTAGAGAAGGGAGGCATTATTGAAAGTCCAACAAGTTCTAACATGACCAGATTATATTTTTAGAAATCATTTGAATATCTGCAACTTACTTTAAAATGCATAAAATTATAAGATGGATAGAAGGATGAAGGAATGGGTCGATGGAAACATATTTGATAAAGCAAGTACAGTAAAATGCTAATGAGAAAATGTAGGTGGTAATATTTGGATGGTCACTGTAAAATTCATTCAACTCTTCTGTCAGAAGATTTTCAAAATAAAATTTTAGAAAAGCATAGACTTTGGCCTGGGTAATGGAAGATGGATTGGGCAGAATAAGTCTGGAGGCAGGGAAATGAGAAAGGCAGCTGTCATAATCCAGGTGAGGGCTGATCTAGACAGTGCTAGGAGGAAGATGGGTGGAGTCCTGTGGTAGGCGCTAACATCAAGGAGGTTGGGGCCTCAAGGACTGTAAGAATGAGGAAGAAGAAAGAGTTGAAGATAACACCTAGGTTGGGTGACTGTGTGGGGGTTGGTAGCAACAATGAGTATAAAACAGGCAGCAGGATCAGGTCTGGGAAGGGGGACAAGATGACTTCATGACCCCAGAGTTTCTATAGGAATATGCTTTGGGAGCTTGCAGACCCCTGGCTCCTCAAGGGGGCCACTCTGGTGGGGGAAGGGGCTCAGTACCGTGGATCTCCATCTCTTGACACTTGCCCCAGTTTTCACTGGATTTCCCCAGGAGTGGAGTGGCTCTTACTCTCCCTCCCTAGGGAGCAGCTCTTCCACCCTCCTAATGACTTCTCCACTCCTGCCATGCTTTTTCCTCTTTTAGCTTTTGAAAACCATCTTTCTCCTTTCTCTGGTTTTCCAAGCCAGATACTCAAATTTGACCCTCCCTGGAGAGTACACCCTCTATGCTCACTATCTCTTTTCCCTTCTGCTCATCTTAGCATCCCCCAAGTGTTGCCCTTGGCTCTTTTCCAATACCATTGTTTCTTTTTTATGTTCTCGCTTTCCTGTGGGTGACAGATTATGGAGTTGTGGGTTGAATTTTGTCTGCCAAGGACATATTGAAGTCCTAGCCCCAGGTACCTACGTATGTGGCTTTATTCAAAAATAGGGTCTTGGCCAGATGAGGTGGCTCACCCCTGTAATCCCAGCACTTTGGGAGACCAAGGTGGGCAGATTGCTTGAGCTCAAGAGTTGGAGACCAGACTGATCAACATAGCAAAACCCTGTCCCTACAAAAAATACAAAAATTAGCCAGGCATGGTGCTGTGTGCCTGTAGTCCCACATGCTGTGTGCCTGTAGTCCCACCTACTCGGGAGGCTGATGTGGGAAGATCACTTGAGCCAGTGAGGTGGAGGTTGCAGTAAGCCGAGATCATGCCACTGCACTGCAGCCTGGGTGATAGAGCCAGACCTTGTCTCAAAAAAGAAAGAAAGAAAGAAAGAAAGAAAGAAAGAAAGAAAGAAAGAAAGAAAGAAAGAAAGAAAGAAAGAAAGAAAGAAGAAAGGGAGGGAAAGAAGGAAGGAAGGAAGCAAGGAAAGAAGGAAGGAGGGAGGGAGGGAGGGAAGGAAAGAAGGAAAGAAAGAGAGAGAGAAAAAGAAAATAGGGTCTTTTCATCAAGTTCAGATGAGGTCATATTGGATCAGGGTGGGCCATTATAAGAGGAGGGAAATTTTGACACAGACACATGGGAGACGGCCATGTGAAAATGCTGTCAGAGATTGGAGTGAGGCATCTACAAGCCAAAGAATGCCACGGATTGCCAGCAAACACCAGGAGCTAGAAGAGGCAATGAAGCATTTTTTCCTAGAGCCTTTGGAGAGAGCATGGCTCTGCTGACACCTTGACTTCAGACTTCTTGCTTCCAAAACTGTAAGAGAATGTGTCATTGTTTCAAGCCACACAGTCTATGGTGATGTGTTATGGAAGCCCTAGGAAACTAATATAGCAGATAAGTTGTGTGTGTGTGTGTGCATGTATACGTGTGTGTGTGTCCGTCTGTGTAGGGAAATACCGTGGAAAGTTACTATTTGTTATAGCCATTTTATCATATATTTTATGAGATTTTATCTTTTCAAGTCAACTTTGCATGTGCTTTGTGTTGAAAGACCTGAGTTTGAACATTCATACCATATTTGGAATATGGGAATGTAACCATACCTAATTTAAGCAGTTGTGAGAAGCAAATGGAATAATGTATCTGAATCCATTTAATAAACTGTTCAACATTGTAAACATGCTGTTAGTAGTATCATAACTGTGTGAAGAGGCAGAAAACACTTTGGACTGGGGGATGGAAATCTTGGCCAGGGTTCAGTATTCACTTGACTTCCCGGCCATAACATCGAATGAATGGCCAGGACTCTCTTTGAGTAAATGAGCTTCTGAGAGGCTCCTAAAGAGGCGACCCCCATCCCTCACGGCTGAGAAGAGTGTGATCATCGTTTAAGGTTAAGGTCCAGGTTGGAAGACCTCCCCAAATTTAAACCTTGCTACAAAGTATTCTTTCATTTACTTTGAACCCTTCCTTCATTTACATCCCTTTAGGAACCAGGCCCTGTAGTGCTCAAGGAGGGTGGGAGAGTGAAACGAAAAGGAGTGAGATGCTGCTTCTGTTCTCGAGGACTTCACAGTCAACTTGCGGTAAGTGCTGCAGGGAGATGGCTGTAGTGGCTTTGGGAGTGTGCACACTTTTCCAACAGAAAGTACCAGGAACCCTGCCTGGGGAAGGCTTCCTGGAGGAGGTGAGGTGGAGCTGGTCCACGAAAATTGAGTGGGATTTCCAAGACATCAGTCTTTCGCGGGAAAAGAGAAATTAGGGCATGGTTTTAATTTAGTAAATATTTATTAATCAAGTACCCCATTCTAGGGTCCGTGCTAAGTGTCTGGGGTTGGTAGAGTCAGGAAGTATAAAATCAACTTAAGACATTTGGGAAAGATCTCCCTTTGTAGTAAGGAAGTTGAATCTGTACACAATGAAAGGAAACAAGGTAAAAGGCGCGAAGTCCATGACCATGACGAGGGCTGTGAGAACTGTAAATAGGGATTTGGGCAGTCCCGGCTGATTCTGAATAAAAGTCCGGAGGGGCGTTACTTTCGGGTCTCGGCCTGTGTGTCCCCAGCCCTTTGTTGTCCCCTCCGCAGGAAGGTGAAGGCTGTTTATGTAATCGGCGGCGCCTCGCGGGCGACTGGGGGAACTGGATGGGGGAGCCTGGCCAGGGCTGACTGAGCGCCCCTGGAATCCGTGCTCCGGGCGTTGGCTCACTCCCGCCCCGACACCTGGGCCCGCCCTCCCGCTGCGCAGCCACGCGCCGGGCAGCAGCGTGGGCTGGCGGGCGACTCCCCACGCCTCCTGCAACACCGCCCTCTCCCTACCGGAGCGAGGAGGCAGGAAAAGCCTAGAGACGCCTGGTCCCATCCGCCTACCCAGTCCCCAGCCGGCCTGAAGGGAGGAAGAGGAAGGAACCCATAATCATCCCAAACTGGCGCAAATGGTGGGTTTTACTGTCCAGAGGTCATTTCGTCTCTGCGTTTCCAACCTCCTCGCCCTTTTACTTTTTTTGGGCTCACTCAGGAAACTGGAGCAGTCCTTCTCTGGGTTTAACTTCAGTCCCTCACATGGCAACACTAGGAATGATCAAGACTTTTGTTGCGGGTAGTGGTGATGTGGGTTTGAGAGGAGGATGCATCTGGTCGTGGGATTAATTTTGGTTTCTGAGTATTATGAAGAACTAGAAAAGTTTTGCGTATGTCGGTTTTCAGGATGGGGTTCAGATGGGTCAAAGCCCTGTGCAGGTCCACGGGGGCTGCAGGAGGTAAAATGGAGGAGGAGACAGGCGGACAAGCTGGGGTCAGTGGTCCACTCCCCTGTGTCTGTCTTAACCGAGATGCAGCTGGATGCTTGCACGTGGCAGCTTTTTCAACCACCTGTTGATAGACGTTCGTTTCCAGTCTTATCCTGTTACCAACTGTGCTGCAATGAACAGCCTTGTGTATAGCCTTTTAGTGTATTTGAGCCTTTCTTTTCGACCCAGGCATATTGTAAGGAGAGAGGAACTGAGATAGAAGGAATATTTAAAGCAGGGTCAGAGAAATCAGGACTGGATCAGGAGTAAGCCCGAAGGGTGTAACCTTCCCATAGGGCTGCTGGAAGCCTAGCTTCAACCCTTCCAGCTGCAGCACATCCCAAACTGGGGCGAGAAGCGAGTGAGGAGGAGATGCAGAGGAAGGCAAAGAACAACTCTAGCGACCCAGGGTGATCCGGGTGCCGGAAAACAGAAGCTGGAAAAAGGAGATCTGCCCCGGAAAGGAGGCATGGAAAGTGTAGATGTGGGTCCTCGAGGTGGCGTCGTAGAAGACTACCTCTCCGCCCTAGTAATCCAAGCGGACGCCCACTTTGTTCGGACAGATCGGGAGATCCTCCCGGGAACCGCTCTCGATGAGCGCCTGGCACTGGGAGCCGCTGCTGTGCAGCTCCACGAAGCCGGTCAAGGGCTCCACCTCCAGGAAGCCCCGCCTGGGAACCAGCTCCAAGGCCAAGCCCGGCACGCAGGCCCCGCCCCCGGGCCCTTGGAGCTCCGCCTCCCAGGCGCCGCGGCCGGAGCAAAGGCCCAGCGAGCCCAGCACTCAGCGGAACCTGTAGAAGCGTCGGGGGTTGCCCCGCTTCTGCGAACCGCCCTGGGATGCGAGGTTCAGCGTCACTATCTCATCCTGGGAAAGGATGAGATCCGGGTGGGCCGAGGCTGCGTCCAGTGTCACAGGGGCTGTGTGAAGATGAGGAGAAAGAGGTGGCCAACCCCGGGTCAAGTTGTCCAAACCCCCTACCTTCCTCTGATACCCCCGTCCCACCACCCGCCCCGCTCGATGCCGCCAGAGAGGCTTTCTCTTCCCAGTCACAGCCTTTGTGGTCCCCAGAGAAGTCTTAGGCCCGGCACCGCCTCCTCCTCCTCAAAGTTAATCCCTAAATTTCACAATGTGTTGTTCTGTGGGCGCAGAGAGAAGTTCTTCATTGGTGGTGGTGGTGAGATCATTTCAACACCCGAAGATGAGACCATCTCTTCCTTGTCCATTTCCCGTGGCCCCTAATTCCCATGTCTAAGACAAGAATTGAGTCTAGTATAAGAGGGTCAAGGCTCAGACTTTCTGAGGGCCAGTAATTTTCTAAAGTGGAGTTCCTCAAACACAGGGATGAGTGAAAGTGTTGGAATACAAAAGGAGGAATAGTCATCCCCCGCCACACACACATACACTTTTACTAGGATTCCACGTTCAGTCGCAGTTTATTAAAGTTAGAAGTGTCTCCATCCACCCCCTACAGAGGCTTGCGTGGTGGTTCCAGTCTGCTAAATATTTCAGAATGGGGACCTCATTCTATCTACTGATTTATCAAATCTCATTAATTAATTTCCCTTGCTGATATGAGGGGTTGGGAGAGAAGGGGGACGTGGGAATGTAAGGAAGAGCGAGAGTGGTCGGGCTCATGGGGTTTGATGGACTGTGACCCAGGCTGGCGTTGCTCCTCTCCGGATTTCACTCCTGGCTGAACTGGTGCCTTCGGTAAACAGCTGCTTAAAGAGTGCGGGGACTGCTGCAGGGACTTCCTTTTTCCACTAGGCGGCACCACAGCCAAAGTGATAAGAAGTCAAGCGTGGGGCGGGTGGCTGGAGATTGTCTCTTCCCCTCCTTTTGCTCAAGAACTCGTCCATTCCTTCTCCAACTCTCTTCACCACCACCCCCGCCCCCATCTCCACTCTCAGTAGCCCGAGCCCTCCCATTCTCCACTCCTTCGACCCAATTCCACTAAGTCAAGAACCGTGGTCGGTCTCAGCCACTCACTCAGCGCCACTCTATGCTCCGAAGTCCGTGTAGCACCACCGCTCCCCGTGTTCTCTGAGCTGGCTTAGCTTGAAGGAACCTCACAAAACCAAGCCCGGATCGCTGTCAGCCACTCACTCAGTGCCGCATGGAGCTCCTCGGACAGCGCAACGTCAAATGTCTTCGTATCCTGAGAGCTCGCTCCTTGACCAGAAATCTCATCATAAGAGGCCAGGAGACATACTGGAAAAGTGACTTTCCCAGCAGACGAGGCCCGAAACAGGGAGTGGGATGGGGCTGAAGAGTGGTGATTTGGTGGCCCCGATGTAGTTCTGCCGCCTTTGCGGGAGAAGGAAAGGAGAAAAGAGGTCAGCGGGAGCACCTCGGCAGCAATCCTCCATTGCCAGACAGCACAGCTGAGCTCTACATACAGCAGGAGGGATGGAGGTGAAACTCAAGAAAGTACACCTGAACAAGTCGGAGCGCCCTCTGTTTCCTGGCAGAGGTGTAATTTGGGGAGGAACTGAGGAAATGGAATAAATGAATTCATTCATTTATTCATTTATTCCATTTAGTGGAATTGGGTGGATACAGCATTTTGACCACCTGTAGACTTAGAGGTCCCTTAGTATTCAGAGACAGGACTCTTACCTGCAGAAGATGACCCGGGCTCTGAGGTTTTGTTCATTTTATGATTATTTTTCTGTAACAAGCCCCCTAAAAATTGGGGAGAGAAAACCTATTTGGTCTTGATAACCAGAAGCTGCAAATTAAAAACAAAAACAAGCACCCTGCCATCATCAATCAGAACAGTCAATGGTTCTCAGTGGGACCCATTCCCCACCCAGGGGGAAGTGTGGAAACCTTTCAGGTTGTCTCAGTGACAACAAGAGTGTGGTTCTCTACTGGCTTATAGGGCTTTCTGGGGCCTGGGATACTAAGCATTTAACAGGGCAAAAGTCATGGAGCATAACAAAGATGGCCTTTCTAAACACCGGTAGCTCCTTTTGTGGAGAAATGCTGGTGGAATAGGATCCCTAAATCCTGCTCTCTGGCTTTGGAATGCATTCTGTAGTTTCTGGCTTTGGAGAAAGGAGTTCTAATTCTCTCTCTTTCACTTAATGATCATATGACCTGGGTAACTTACCTCCCCTCCCGGAAGCTACATGGACCTCACTGTAAGTTGCAGATAATAACACCTATCTTGGAGGATAGTTGTGGGGTTTTGAAATATTAGATGCGCACATAGTGGTCCTTTAAGAAATGGTACTTCTACTGTTATTGTCTTAGGTGGCAGAACCATATCTAATGACTTTAGCACAGGCTGTTATTACAGTGGGTCTCCATCCCCTGAGCTGTACTGACCTCACACCCAGAGGAGTTTGCCTCGAAACCTGGTGCCCTGTAGGGGCAGCAAATACTACAGAGGTGGAGCTGCCTCCTTCTTGTCCCACTTTTTCCTCCCTGTCTCTAGGAGTGAAGAAATACATTTGTAATTTTCTATTACTTCTGAATACTTCAAAGTTTGGGATTAGTGACTGTTTTGTGAGTTACCTGAGTTTAAAATAATAAAACAACCATATGCCTGTTCTCTCAATTGGCTGAGGAATCGGCATTCACTTATATCTGGCCTTCATGTAATCATAGAGACACAATTCTTCCCCTTTTCTCACTTTCCCCAAATGGCAGAAGCAACCAACCATCATTTCTCACTTACAGCTCTTCATGTCATTTTTATTCATGCTTTTGAAGAATCTGTTTTCATCTTTTTTCCTATCAGCCTGGAGTTGGTCTGGGGAATAAAGAATGGGATGAAATGGTGAGAGTCCAGAGGGGTTGAGCAAAGAACTCACTATCACACAGCAAGGCACTAATTTGAAATGCCTGGGAGAAGTAGAAGCTGCATTTGACTCTCATATTCTTATTGGACCAGGAAGGTATGCAACCCTTGAGAGATGCCCTTTCTGCTTTCCTGTGGTGACTGCCTAGCCCAGCACTGTCCAGTATGAATGATGAATGTAATCTGAGTCACGAATGTGAGCCACTTATATATTTTTAAATTTTCTAGTAGTCACATTTAAAAAGTAGAAAGAAACTAGTAAAATTAACTTTAATTATATATTTTATTTAACTCAATATTCTCAAAATGTTATTTCAACATGTATTATAAAAATTATTGCTATCTTTTACAGTCTCTTTTTACACTCAATCTTGTGAAATTAATGATTCTTCACATATAGCATGTTTAAATTTGGACTAGCTACATTTCAAGTGCCTGTCAGCACATGTGGCTAGCAGCTACTAAATTGGACAGTGCAGAGCTAGCCCCTTTCTCACTGCCTGACAAAGGTAGGTGCTCAGGACAAAGAGTGCCTTGAGGCTTCACCCTTTAGCTTCAGAAGGCCTACTGTAGGGCTAACCACCCAGGAGCCAGGTGGGGTAAGGGGGGGCCCCACTCTCCTAAAGCCTGGATGGCAGTCCTGCCCTCTTTCCCATGAAAGAGGGCTTGAGAGGGGGAACGAAGACAGAGCTCCTGCAAGGGGAGGCCGAGTGCCTTCATCTCCCAGTTCACCCCTGCCAGAAGAGACTCCTTTTGCAGGTAGAGGATGAGCCCAGAAGTTGGGGACAATGGCCCATTCCTGGCCTAGATTTCCTGTAGGGGTGCTGGACTGAGTGGAGAACTATAGGGTGGAGCCCCTAGATGGGGAGCTACTTCTGGCCCCAGCACCCTTCCCCCAGTGTCTTGCAGCCCCAAGACAGCACAAGACAGCCTGGGGCTAGGTAGTGGGGCAAGCGTGGGCAGCTTCCCTGAGAGCCACCAGCCCAGTCATGGGGACTGCTCAGGGGAGACGCGGGGGCCCTCTTAGGAGGGGTCTGCAAACCTAGAGCATAGGAAACACTGCCTGGGAGCACTTCACCTACAAGGGCCTTTAGCGGCTTCAGGGCCCAGCCACACCCTTCTCCACGTACATGTTCCAGACCCAGTCACCCCGAGCAGGGAGAACCAACCCTCATAATAAGAACTGTGGAGATTGGACCTGTGGTATAAGTAGACTCCCTACCACCTCCTGTATTTCCTAGGCTTTAATAGGGCCAGGTGGCCATTGTGCCTTCTTCTTTGGGGTAAAAATAAAATAAAAATAAGAGAAAAAAAAAGAAGGAAATAGGGCCAGGTGGGAGTTGGGGGACTGTGTGTGTGTGAGTTTGTGTATGTGAAAGAGGGAAAGAAAAGGGGGATACAGAGTAGAGCACACCAGTCTCCCCAACTCCAAACCTGATGAAGTGGAAAGGGCTGGGCTCCTTTATTGAAATTCCAAACTAGAACCAAACTATTCTTGACCTGAAGAGCCTAGAAAGGTGCTGGATCGGGCTGGACGTGGTGGCTCACGCCTGTAATCCCAGCACTTTGGGAGGCTGAGGCGGGTGGATCACAAGTCAGCAGTTCGAGACCAGCTTGACCAACCTGGTGAAACCCCGTCTCTACTAAAAATACAAAAAACTAGCTGGGCATGGTGGTGTGTGCCTGTAACACCAGCGACTTGGGAAGCTGAGGCAGGAGAATCGCTTGAAACCAGAAGGCGGAGGTTGCAGTGAGCCGAGATTGCGCCACTGCACTCTATCCTGGGCAATAAGAGCAAAACTCCGTCAAAAATAAATAAATAAATAAACAAATAAATAAAGTTGCTAGATCGGCTGAGATCATGCCCAGTGGGGTGGGAGGAGCTAGACAAAGCAGAGCAGTTAGTGGACAAAAGAAAAGCTCAGACAACAAAATTAAGAATAAAACAAAACATGCTTTCCTGTTTATGTCTGCCGAGTGGAGATTCCCGGCTGAATGGGTGGAGATCTTGGGGCATTGCCCTGGTCCTCCTTTTCCGTAGTCCCAAGGGGAAGTGTTTGTGTATGGGGGGCTGGGGGTTGGGGTGGGGGAGGTGGGTGTGGAACTCCAGGTGATAATTTCAGAAGATTCCATCTAGCTGTCTTTATGCCCACCTTAGACCAACACAGTCTTCACATTAAGGGGAGTCCTTACAAATACTAACCCTTCTTCCTAGTTGCAAACACAGAAAGGTTTATGAAAAATATCTGGCCGAACATCTAAAACCCAAGTCATCCACTACTGTTCTGCTGATTTCTGTTTCCCTGTAAGGCTGGAAGAGGTTTCTCCCCAGAATGTCACTGATTTTGAATTTATTTTCTCTTCTTCTGTAGGCAGGAGGAGACACCAGTGTGCACCAGAGAAGGAGAAGTCAGAGATGACAGTCCCTGCCTGAGGCCATCTCTGGTCCACCAGACAACTCATCACCAACTTCCCAACAGCCACTGCTCTAGGCCAGGTGTCCACATGGGGAATAGGTCCAGGCCCTCTATGGCTCTCGCAGGAGTCAGGGAGGCAGATAAATAACATATCACGAAGACAGAATATAAGAAATGCCTGGGAGGAGGCATACTGATGCGTGGAAAGTACTCAGCCAGAAGCCTGGCACTAGAAGGGCCCAGGGATTGTTGGCATGTATGAGTCACAGTTCCATTTCAGTGGAGTGAGCAGGGAGAGAATCTCCTGGAAGTAGGTGAATAGAGAAAATACAGCCTCTTCCTTACCTTTGAATTTTTTCAGGCTCCCTGTGATGGAGTCGTGTCTTGATTTTGCTTCACTGAGTTTTTTCTCCAGTTCCAGAGGAACAGGGGTTGGGTTGAGAAACTGAAACTCTTCACTTCTAGGAAGATGTGGTTGAGCTGGTTGGTGAGATCAGGGGATGAGGTGTGGGAGAAGGAGGATCTGAGATATGGGGTTGAGAAATGAGGGGATGAAGACCTGGGGGTAGAACTGAGAGCGGTGGCTCACACCTGTAATCCCAGCACTTTGGGAGGCTGAGGCGGGTGGATCACCTGAGGTCAGGAGTTCAAGACTAGCCTGGCCAACATGGTAAAACCCGGTCTCTACTAAAAATATGAAAATTAGCCAGGCTTGGTGGCAAGCGCCTGTAGTCTCAGCTACTTGGGAGGCTGAGGCAGGAGAATCACTTGAACCTGGGAGACAAAGGTTGCAGTGAGCTGAGATTGCACCACTGCACTCCAGCCTGAGCAACAAGAGCAAAGCTCCATCTCAAAAAAAAAAAAAAAAGAAGAAGACCTGGCGGTTAAGGGATAGTGAGCTGGGAGTCAGAAAGTCAGGGCTAGGGATATGGGGCAGGAGTGAGGTAGGGCATAGGGAGATATGGAAATGAAGATGGGAGATGGAGACAGAGAGGAGGGAAAAAAACAGGGTCAGGGAGACAGAGTAGGGGACCCAGGAGCTATTCAGTTGAGCAAGGGGGCATTCAGGAAATAGTAGAATCTGTGCTGAAGAAGGAGGAAGGCTGAGAAAACAGCTGGTTTCTTTAACAACCAACCACGTGCTAATATGGTTGGCATAGGCATTCCCCAGCTGCAGCCTAAATGTATGAATGCAGAGTTAGAGGTGGGTGGGTATTTCTGAGAGAGGAATGTTGACTGCATTTGGATATACGCTGAGAATTGTATGTGGATGAATCAGTAGGCAAAATACATTTGGGGTGGCCCATCATACCTGCACAAGACGACTTTGATATCCTAGAAGAGAAAGAGAAACAGCACAGCCTCAGCACTTGGCTGATTCCCAGGAGCCAAGGAGGAGATACAGAGCCTGCTGGGTGTGGGGCAGAGCAGGAGGAGTAAGAACCCCTCCAAGTCTCTCTTACCCCATCCTCCTCCCCTCTCCCCACCACGAAGGGCTTCTCCAAGAAGCACTGCTCTGCCAGTAAGCAGAAAAGTGTTTTGACCTCAAGAAGAACTGAGTGAAGAAGAGAAGAGTGAGATTTAGAAGATGAATTTGGCTCTGAGACTGAACAAGGGAGCCCTGCTAGCCAGGGCAGGAGAAAGGCTAGAATGGCTTTGCATGATCTTTCTTAAAATAAATAAATAGGTTTTTGAACCTGTGGGAGAATAGATGACTTGAGGAGGAATCATCTCAGCTTGTTTTAAGCACCAGCTAGACTTGCACTGTCCAATATGGTAGCCACCAACCACATGTGGCTACTGAACATTGGAAATTGTGGCTAGTGTGACAAAGAACTGAATTTTTAATTTCATTTTTACTAATTCAAATTTAAATTAAAAATAGAGGCCAGGCACGGTGGTTCACGCCTGTAATCCCAGCACTTTGGGAGGCTGAGGTGGGCAGATCACTTGAGGTCAGGAGTTCGAGACCATCCTGGCCAACATGGTAAAACCCCGTGTCTGCTAAGAATACAAAAATTAGCTGGGCGTGGTGGTGGGGACCTGTAATCCCAGCTACTTGGGACTTGGGCCTAGGAGGCGGAAGTTGTAGTGCGCCAAAATCGCGCCACTGTACTCCAGCCTGGGCAACAGAGCAAGATTCCATCTCAAAAAATAAAATAAAATAAATAGAAGAAGGGTAAAGTACTTTTTCCATTAAACACAACTTTATTGATTTGGTAAGACTATATTTTACTTTAACAATTGACAATTTAGCATCTGAATTGAGATGTGCCAAAGTGAAAAATATACACACAATTTCAAAGACTCAGTGTAAAAAAAAAAAAAAAAAAAAACCACCAAAAACCCAGAATGTGAAATATCTCATTAATACTTTTAAAATATTCATTACAGGCTGAAAGGATAATATTTCAGATATATTGAGTTAAAATATTTTATTAAAATTAATTTCACTTTTATCATTTTAATGTGACTAACTAGAAAAATTTGTAATTCCATATGTGGCTGAAACTACATTTCTAAATCACACATGTGGCCAGAATTATATTTATGAATTACATATGTGGCTCACATTTTCATTCTAATACATGCGGCTCACATATTGCTATTGGACAGCACTGGGCTAGAGGTAGGATGGTTGGGGCAATCTCAGGTATTCTGCCAGTGGTCCATGCTCTGACCTGAGACTAGGGATGGGCTGCTACCTCTCTGCAATTCTGCCCCCAAGGGACTCACCTCCAGCAGCTGCCTGGGTGGCATGTTCTGCTTGGTCTTCAGGGAATCAACGAGCTTCTTGAGATCGTTCAACTGTGGCTCAGTGGAGGCAACATAGTGTTTCCCCGCTTCCGTTCCCTCATGACCCAGCCAGTAAATCCGTGATAGCAGGAAATTCTTCTCCTCCTCTAGGACTTGATGCAGGAGTTCAAATTCTGTGAGGATCCTTTGCTTCTCATGTTCTACCTGGTCCTAAGAAACAGGGACAGGCAGAGGGTGAGAGGATGGCCTCGAAGGTCCTTCTAGCCCACTTTATTCAGCCATTAATTTTATTAAGTTTGTGTGGAATTCCCAACCAGAGCAATGTGCCAGGGCAGACCTGGAAGAAAGGAAAGGAGAGGAGAACAAACTTCTAAAAGCACCTACTACGTGCTCAGCTTTAAGCGAAATTATTAATTTATGGTTTACCACTTGCCTTCAAGGAACTGTCTAATACAATTCCAGAAGGCTTTTCAGTTTATAATCTTTCATATAGATTTTATTCCTTTCACGCACACAGGAAAATAGGTAAGTGGGGTCACAATGTCTTCATTTTCCTTCTGTCTTTTTTTTTTTTTTTTTGAGACAGTCTCTCACTCTGTCACTCAGGCTGGAGTGCAGTGCACGATCACGGCTCACTGCAGCCTCATCCTCCCAGGCTCAAACAATACTTTCACCTCCCAGCCTCTCTAGTAGCTGGGACTACAGGCGTGTGCTACCACGCCCGGCTAGTTTTCTTTCTTTTTTTTTTTAATTAAGAGGAGAGTCTCGCTATGTTGCCCAGGCTGGTCTCAAACTCCTGGGCTCAAGCGATCCTCAGCCTCCCAGAGTTCTGTGATTACTGGCGTGAGCCACCGCGCCCGGCCAATGTCTTCATTTTCTAATTGGGGAATCCGTTGAGGGCGCAGCTCGGCCTTAAAAACCTGTACTTGCGATTCTAAGACCAGCGCGGGTTTTCCGTGCCCCACCTTGTCTGCCGGTGGAGACTGAGCAGTCAGCCCGCTGTAATAGCGAGGCCGACGCGGGAGGTGATGCCGCCTGGCCGGTCAGGTGCTGAGGCGCCGAGGAGAGGACATGGCTCACTGGATCTTTTTCTGAGGGGTCAGTGTAATAGGGGATTCCAGGAGCTTTGGCAGAGATGTTTCTGCTTCCAGAGATCGTGGGATGGAGTTTTTCTTACCGTGAAGACATCGACCCTGTGTACACCTTGTGCCTTCACTTGTACTGTCTCCTTCTCCTTTTGCTGCAAGACTTGGATCTGCTCTTGAATCTGCCCCTGCGGAAAGAGGGCCGTTTGGACAGGCTGTGCCTGGAGATTTCTGGCCTCATAAAATCCTCCTGGTCTCTTAGGAGAGCTGGTGACACTCTCCAGGTGAGTCCTTGTGTAATTATTAAGGACTCGCCTTTCTCAAGCTGGCGGGGAAAGGGGTTGCTGAGAAGGGAGAAATCTGGAGCCTAAGTGACCTAAATGACCAGAACATAGTTATTTATGACTAACTAGGACTATGGATGGTGCTTTGGAATTATCAAAGAACTACAAACTTCCCTTCATCTGTCCTACCAACAACTTTAAGAGAGTTGTTTTGTTTTTGCCATTTGAAAGGTGAGGTACCTGAGGCTCAGAGAGGTAAAGTGATTCCTTGCAGGTTGTACAGTAAACTCACAAGACTGGGCTTGAGCCCAAACCTTCTGAGTCAAATTTTCACATCCTTTCCATTCTCCATTGCACCTTGATTTAGAGAGTCAGCAGTTCCCCAGACTCAGCTCTTTGAACCCACTGTGCCTGACTGCGAGCTGCCCACTCAAGCCCAAGGGGTGGGGGCAATGGGGTGCAAACCCTCAGTGGGAAGGTAGCAGTTTCCAGGGCCTCACTGAACTCCTGGGCTGATGGGGGAACAGGGAAGAAACCTCAAATGCCTACCTGATAATTCTGGGCAGCTTCTTCGATCAAGCTGACATTATGGGATTTGTGGTCCTTGGATTCACAACACACAAAACAGAGGAACTTCCCATCATCCTCGCAGAAATAGTGGAACATCTCCTGGTGCCTCGGGCATGTAGCCTCTTTCCTTTTGGACTGCACCTCAGAGGCTTGTAGAGCTTGGATTTTCTCCACCAGATTCCGCAACAGCGAGTTGAACCTGATTGCGTTCTTCCTTACGGAAGTTTTGCAGAGGGGACATTTGAAAAATCCACATGATGTTTCCCCAATCTGAGTGATGCATTTGAGGCAGAAATTGTGCCCACAGTCGATGGTGACAGGTTTCTGCAGAATGTCCAGGCAGATGGGGCAGATCACTTCCTCTTGCAGTTTGTTCACAAACTGCCCACTGGCCATGACAGAACAACAGGGCTGTTTCAAGACTGTAGGAAGCTGTGCCAAGTCTGTAGGAGCCCCGGAGTCCACTGTGGATACTGTTTCTAGGAAGGGAGAAGGGAGTCAGAGAAAGTGGAGGTCAGAGATTCTGCCAATTAGTTAGAAGAGCAGAGAGAGAGGAAAAGAAGAGGGAGAAAAAAATAAAGAAATGATAGAAAAGCGTAAAATTTAGGATCTAGAAAATATTATAAAGAGAGGAAAACAGATGGGCAGTCCTACCTTGCTACCTCTTGAGAACAAATGGATACTTTGAATGTGTAATAGGCTGCTTATAAAGTGAAATAAGTTGTCCTGAACTTTGGACTAAAGGTATGTTTGTATGGTGGTTGACTAAGATCAGAATGACCGGGGCACCAAACACCACTTATGGGGGATTTCCCAATCAGCTCTGAGTAGGGAGTGGAGGGGTGGGTGGTGATGCCTACTGAAAGGTCACAGCCAGTTCACTGCAATGCTTTGGGCATCTTGTATGCAAAGTTCAAGCCTCGGTAGAGCATCTGGAAAGTAGGGGAAGGGCAATTCTCTACCTCAGGTGCTTTGGCTCCTCACAGAATTTTGTGAAAATGTGGAGGTTATCATCACCTACCTTGGGGAATTTCCAGTCACAGGGTCAACCAACCACTCCCTAGCTCAGTAGGATAGGCAAGGAACTTCCTTTCTAAAGAGTTGTTCTTTGTTTTTGCACTTTGCTCTTGCCCCTGGTGATCTTCTGTCTCCCCACAACACCTGTAGTAGTCTGTCCTCTGTTGATTTTTTCTCTGTATGTCTCCAGTATGCTGGTGTCTCCGTGCCCATTCTTTGCTTTGCCAATTCTGTCTATATGTTCTTCTTCTTCCTTCTTGGTGCTTCTCTGATCCCTGACTTGCCTTCTATGGCTTTTGTTATGACTAGGAATATATCAACCAGTGTTACATACATTCCCTTCTGTACATTCATGTCCTAACCTTCCCTCCTTGCCTCTTGTCTTAAGGAAAAGGGTGCTTCCTCCCTACCCCTTCTCTTGGTATAGCTTCCACCCTCACCTCCTCACTCTCCATTATCAGCCGTCTGTCCCCAGCAAGAAGTACACCATTAATTTTTGTCTGATCTTAATCTTAGGTCAAACAGGGCTTGTGGATGATTATTATAATAATAGCCAGAGTGATCATACACTCTGCTTTGCCTGGAACCATCCTGGGTTTCACTTTGTCCTGGTGTAATTATTAATAGCACCTCCTTTCACTTTCAGAAATGTCCAGTTTGGACTATAAATTATGTGGCTCCCCTTATAGCAACTGCTGTAAACCAAAGACTTTCAGAAATGTTATACCTCCAGACCTTTCTTTTTGTTTGTTTTAGGGTTAAATTAAAACAGTCTAACATCTGTAAATTGTTTTACTTACACTCCTAAACTGCTGGCCCCTAGAAGCAGAATTTAACTTTTGACAGGTTTTGTTTGACTGGCATGATGATTTAGAAAATAATGATAATGTAGATGCCTTTAGAGAGGGTGGCTATGTTCCCCACCGCTCTGCTACCTCACGTCTCCTTGGCCCTTGAAGGCATTTGACATTATGACTCTGATTTATAGATTTATTTTGCTTATATTACCTCATTTAAGTCTCACCTGTAAGAAATTATCTTTATCCTTTCTCAAAAAAGGAACTCAGTATTCTTCAGAATCACTTGGAAAACTTGTTAAAATTCAGATTTGCTGAACTCCAGTAGAGACTTTCTCTTTCAACAGGTCCTTGGTGGAGCCTGATGATTGACATCTTAAGCAAATTCTCTGGAGAAGTCGATGCTCCTGATGGAGGCTCACACATTGATAACCCCTGGTTTAGAGACACTACTAATTGTTCCAGCTCATCCAGCTAATAAATGACAGATCTCAGACTTAATTCCAGGTTTCCTATTCCACATTAAGTCTTCTTTATTCTTTCTTGTTTCAGCATTAATGAAAACAAATAGTAATCTTTAAAAATGATAAACAAATATTTTAAAAGAACATTGGTATTTCAATGAAGCTGGGCAACCCAGCAGAGAGAATGAAAATACTCATATGAACACCACTGGAGAGTTTCAAAGAACTGTCACCAAACAGGTACTGATGGCTTCATGAGGAAGGAAATTTAGACATAAAAAATGAGAATCTACAGTGTTTCAAAGGTGCTTTACTCTCTCAGAATTATTATTGTTATCCTGGGTCATCCATCCACTGGACTGAATGGAGATATATATATACATATATTTTTTTTCTTTCTTCTTTCTTTTTTTTTTTTTTGAGACAGAGTTTCACTATTATTGCCCAGACTGGAGTGCAATGGCGTGATCTCGGTTCACTACAACCTCTGAATCCCCGGTTCAAGTGATTCTCCTGCCTCAGCCTCCCAAGTAGCTGGGATTACAGGCACCTGCCACCACATCCAGCTAATTTTTTGTATTTTTAATAGAGACGGGGTTTCACCACGTTGGCCAGGCTGGTCTTGAACTCCTGACCTCAGATGACCCACCTGCCTCAGCCTCCCAAAGTGCTGGGATTACAGGCGTGAGCCACTGTGCCCAGCCCTTGAATGGATATCTTAAACTCTTAGTAGGCTCAGTAGTCTGAAACCAAATGCCTCCAATTTGCAAGGGCTAGGGTCTTGAGATAGTTGGTATTGTGTTAGTTCCAAAGGACTTCCAAGCCAATTCTGAGGCATAGAGTTTATAAAAATTAGCCATAGAACAGGAAATGATGCAGAGCCTCATGCACATGAGACAGCTGTCACACACAAGAAAGCAGACACAGAGCCATGCAGCAGCGAGTGCACAGATCTGGAGGGGACCTGCCAAGACTAATGGGATGAGACACCTTATCAGAGGCCAGTGAAGGCTAGAGGCAGCTCAGTTGTCAGACTAGACAGCCCCACAATGTTACATAAGCCTCCCTGCATCACGATTCCAGCTACAGAAGCTTCCCCTGCCTCAGGATTCACATTTCCGGGCCTATGTGAATTGGTAGAATGTCTATGGAGGAAAATAATGTGATATGTTTCAAAACTACAAATGCTCATTCCCTTTATCCCAGAAATTCCACCTCTGGGAATTTAGTCTACAGATATACTCACACATATAAATTTATTTTGGACTTTGTGGTAATGTTTGCATTAGCAAAATATTAGAAAACAATCTAAATGTACATCAGTATGGAAATGTTTAAATAAATTATAGCCCAGCTTTATAACAGAATAGAAATAAAAAAGAATCAGGGAGTTCCTTATTTACATATGGAAAATATGGCCAAGATATGTTGTTATGTGAAGAAAGGAAAAAACAAATAATGCAGAAAAATGCATGTACTATGCTACCATTTGGGTAGAAAAAAAATACTTATTTTCTTGAATATCCAAATAAGTTCTTTCTGGAAGGATAAGAATTTAATAACTAACAATGGTTGTCTCTAAGGAGAGGGACTGACTAGCCAGGGAACAGGGGTGGAAGAGAGGCTTTTCTTTGTATGACATATTACATTTTGTGAATTTTTAATTGTATAAATACATTAAGTTTTTTTCTTTTTTAGTACTTTTTACATTATGTTTTACAACATTAAATAGTAAATCAAAAAATGGACAGAGAATGAAATGGACATTTGCAGAGCAATAAAACCAATTAACCAATAAATACTTGAAAACAGTAATCTTGAAAATGCACGCTCAACTCATTGGCTCATGCCTGTAATTCCAGCACTTTGTGAGGCCAAGGCAGGCAGATTTCTTGAGCATAGGAGTTCAAGAGCAGCCTGGACAACATGGTGAAACCCTGTCTCTACAAAAAATACAAAAGTTAGCTGGGCATGGTGGCACACACCTATAGTCCCAGCTTCTTGGAAGGCTGATGCAGGAGGATTGCATGAACCTGCGAGATCGAGGCTGCAGTGAGCCGTGATCATGCCACTGCACTTTAGCCGCCCTACTGCACTCCAGCTTGGGTAACAGAGCAAGACGTTTCCTTAAAAAAAAAAAAAAAAGAAAGAAAGAAAGAAAAAGAAAAAAGAAAATGCCAATTAAAATAAAAGAAGATATCAGTTTATATCTTAAGTTTAAGTCTGGAATATCAAATATAGCCAAGGACATGGAGAAATAGGTACTCCTATACCCTACTGGTGAGAGTATAAATTACAATAATTTAAAAATATTTAGTAGAATTTAAACGGTGTACTTTCATTTCAAGGTTCTGTAATGATAATGATGATGATGAAAATACTGCTACCAGTAAATAAAAGCTAACATTTCTTGAATGCTTACCATGTGCCAGGCACAGTCCCAAGCATTTTGCGTATTAACTCATTTATATAGAGAAGTATTATTATTCCCATTTTGAGGACAAGTCAACGGAGATCAAGAGAGATTAAGCAATTTGCCCCAAAGGTCATTCAGTAAGTAAATAGTGGAATGGGGACTTGAACCCAGGTAGCCTCTAGAGCCTTCTTACACCCTGTATGATTCTGCCTCTCTAGAGAAAACCTTGCACATGTGCACTCAGAGATGCATGTAACAGTATTAATATTGGCTGGGTGCGGTGGCTCCCGCCTGTAATCCCAGCACTTTGGGAGGCTGAGGCGGGCGGATCACGAGGTCAGGAGATCAAGACCATCCTGGCTAACCCGGTGAAACCCTGTCTCCACTAAAAATACAAAAAATTAGCCAGGCATGGTGGCCGGCGCCTGTAGTCCCAGCTACTCGGGAGGCTGAGGCAGGAGAATGGCGGGAACCTGGGAGGCGGAGCTTCCAGTGAGCCGAGATCGCGCCACTGCCCTCCAGCCTGGGCGACAGGGTGAGGCTCCGTCTCAAAAAAATAAATAAATAAATAAATAAATCCTATGTCAGGGTTTTTCAATGATAGCACTGTTGACATTTTAGGCTGGATAATTCTTTGGTGTGTGGTGGCCCTGTGCACTGTAGGATGTTTACCAGCATCCCTGGCCTCTACCACTAGATTCCAGTAGCACTCCTATCCCCCAGTTGTGACAAACAAAAATGTCTCCAAGCATGACCAAATGTCCCTGGGGGACAAAACCTCTGATGGAAAACCAGTGATCTGTATGTAGTCATATGGCTAGGTCTCAAAACAGTAATGAGTATGTGGTGATTTATATACACTTAGAAACACACAACACTTCATATAGTTTGCAGTTTCCATATATGTGATAGAAGTTTAAACACAAGGCCTGAAAGGATACATACTAAATTTATGGCAGTGTTTGCTTCCGGGAGGAGAGAGAGAAAGAGCGAGAGAGGAATGGAACTAAGAAGAGAACTAAATGGACAGAGGGATTCTCAAATTTTTTTGAGATTAAAATTTAAAAAATTAAATCTGTAATATTTAATTTTTAAAAATCTGAGGCAAACATAGCAAAATGTTTGTATTTGTTAATTCTAGGTTGTGGTTATAAGGTGCTTGTTATATGATTTTCTATTATTTTCTATATTAAGTTTTTCCAAAGTAAAATATTTTAGTTAAAATAGGAAAAATGTTGAAAATGAACAATGGATAGAAATAAAAATAGAAATTCAGAGGAATTCTAAAATAAATTCTAAAATTAAGAAAAAGTTCAACTCCTTTCCTACTACTCAGGAAAATACAAATAATGCGATACAAATACAAAAATGAGATAAACTTTGTACTCATCAGATTGGCAAAATTTTTCAAAAATGTCCAGAGCTGATGAGGATGTGGAAAAATGGGACTCTTCATATGTGGCTGGTTTCAGTGTGAATGGGCACTATCTTTTTCAAAAGCCTCAAGGCAAATGACTTAAAATGCATTTGAACGGTGACTAGAAAGAATATTATAAGAAAAGTAAAATGCACACAGGATTTCAAAAGGGTTTTTAGGCTTCAAGATAAGTCAGGGACGGTGGGGTCGAAATGAAGTCAAGGGACAGCTTACACAGAGATACCCTATAACCAGTCTCCCAACAAGAGAGCTAGATTTTATTTAGTTAAAAATAGAAATTAGAAACAGGAGGTAGTAAAAACAGGGTTTTATTCCTTTCTTTCTTTTTTTCTTTCTTTCTTTCTTTCTCTCTTTCTTTCCTCCTTCCTTCCTTCCTTCCTTCCTTCCTTCCTTTCTTCCTTCCTTTCTTTCTTTCTTTCTTTCTTTTTCTTTTTCTTTTTCTTTTCTTTTCTTTTCGAGACAGAGTTTTGCTTTGGTTGCCCAGGCTGGGGTGCAATGGTGCAATCTCAGCTCACTGCAACCTCCGCCTCCCAGGTTCAAGCGATTCTCCTGCCTCAGCCTCCCAAGTAGCTGGGATTACAGGGCTGTGCCACCATGCCTGGCTGATTTTTGTATTTTTAGTAGAGACAGGGTTTCACCATGTTGATCAGGCTGGTGTTGAACTCCTGACCTCCAGTGATCAGCCCGCCTTGGCCTCCCAAAGTGCTGGGATTACAGGCATGAGTCACAGCACTTAGCCATAAAAAAGTTCTGTTTAAAATACCAGAATGATTAAAATGTTTGCTTTCTGTTTGCATGTATATCATCCCATTAAAAATGAGTTTAAAGTTTTCTATAGAGATATATACATGCAAACAGAAAGAAAAAAAAATAGGAGGGCCATCAAAATAAATGGAGCAACAAAGTTCAGTTTATATATAGCAGTCAATATAACATTGGGCTGAATTGCTCAACCAAAGGATCAGTCATGAGATTAAAAACCCCAACAAAATGTAAAGCTCCCTTTCTTCCTTAGAGAAACCCATTAAAACATAGAAGCATAAATCCAGAGATAGTTTAAGGGCTGCTGTGCCTGTGCAGATGGGAGAACCTCATGGTGGTCTCACTCCTCTCCCTCTGCCAGGAGAAACTGCAGTCTCCTAACACCGCGACTCCAACTTAGGAGCAAGGGCAGGGGGAAGAAGCTGAAAAGGCCTGGCCTTCACTTGACTCAGTTATCCAGATTATTTAAATTATTGGATTGGCCGGTGGAATGGTTAATTTTATATGTCAACTTGGCTAGGCCGCGCTACCCAGTTATTTGCTATGGTTATGCTGCTTCTACAATAAATGACATCAGAGAAAAGTGGTTGAGAGAAAAGTGGCAAGAAGAAATAAAAATATGCTTGGGTTTGAGGATCTAAATGCCCCCATCAGAACACATCAGACTATGTAATATTCTTGTACCACAGAAGTACCGTGTCCAGAGCCTAACACAGAGCTCTTGGTAACTCACTCTGGGAAGCGCATTTTAATAAAGGTAACCGCAAACTGGACTGCCTTGAGAGGAGGTCACTTGGATGGCAAGCAGTTTTGAAATCTCATTTCAGGAGGCATGAGGAGGATCTGGTTGGCCCTGAGAGACTCAGGAGTACAGAGTGCTGCCTTCCAGATGCGGGGAGGTTTGTGGTGGATGTCTGTCTCTCCCATGGTCTCAACACTTCTATGCAGATTTCCGCGGGCTGAATTGTGTCCCTCTCACCCACTGCTCCAAACTTGTATGATGAAGCCCTAACTCCAAGAACCTCAAAATGTGACTATATTTGGAAATAGGGCCTTTGAAAGTTGATTAAATTGTCGACAAAGAGTCAAACTCTATAAAATATTCAAAGAGATGTATTTTGAGCCAAATATGGGTGGCCATGGCCCATGACACAGCCCTCAGGAGATCCTGAGAACATGTGCCTGAGGTGGTTAGGGCACAGCCTGGTTTCATACATACATTTTTGGGAGACATGATACTTCAATCAAGTACATTTAAGATGTACATGGGTTAGGTTCAGAAAGGCAGGATGACTCAAAGTAGGGAGCTTCCAGGTTATAAGTAGATTTAAACATTTTCTGGTTGACAGTTGGTTGAGTTTATCTGAAGACCTGGGATCAATGGAAAGGAAATGTCTGGGTTGAGATAAAGAACTGTGGAGAGAAAAGAGAAAAGTTCCTTTTTTTTTTTTTTTTTTTTGAGACAAGGTCTCACTCTGTCACCCAGACTGCAGTGCAATGGCATGATCTCGACTCACTGCAACCTCCGCCTCCCAGGTTCCAGCCATTCTCCTGCCTCAGCCTCCCAAGTAGCTGGCATTAAGGCATGCACCACCTCGCCTGGCTAATTTTTTGTATTTTTAGTAGAGATGGGATTTCTCCATGTTGGTCAGGCTGGTCTCGAACTCCCGACCTCAGGTGATCTGTCTGCCTCGGCCTCCCAAAGTGCTGGGATTACAGGTGTGAGCCACCGCACCCGGCACAAAGTTCTTAATGTGCAGAGGAAGCCTTCAGGTAGCAGGCTTCAGAGAGAATAGATTATAAATGTTTTTTATTAGACTCAAAAAGGGTGCCAGACTCTTGATTATCTCCTGGACCTGAAAAAAAGGGAAAAGGGGATTCTCTATAGAATGTAGATTTTTCCCCCACAAGAGACAACTTTGCAGGGCAATTTCAAGATATGGCAAGGAAATACATTTGGGGTTAAAATATTTTGATTTCTTTCCTTATTTGTTATGTAATGTTATGCCAGAGCCAGTTTGGAAAGTAGGCCACATTAGGGTTAAATTAAACCCCTCTGATGAGACTTTACGGTTTGTAGGGCATGACTCCCCAGGCCCCTTAGGTAGAAATTTGGGCAAGAGAAGGAAAAAGGTCAGAGTTTAGTCCTCAGAGGTAAAATAAGCCCATCAGAGCGGACCTTTGTCTAATCTGACTGGCGTCTTCATAAGAAGACGAGATTTGGACACACAGAAGGGCACCAGGGATGCTCCACATGAGGAAAGACCTTGTGAGGACTCACTGAGTAGACGGCCATCTGTAAGCCAAGGAGAGCGGCCTCACAGGCAACAACCTTGATCTTGGACTTTCAGCCTCCAGAACTTTGAGAAAATAAATTGCTGTTGCTAGAGCCACCCAGCCTGTGGTACTTTGTTACGGAGGTCCTGGCAAAAGAATACACAGATGAACTCCCATATCACCGCAGAGCCCACCTTCCATCCCCACAACCCCAGTTCTGAGTTTCCAGCTCTTCGCAAGGGATCTCCCAACCCTTACACCTCCTACTGGATGGAGCAGTGCTCATCTCCTCTTCTCTCTATTGCAAACTTCAGTGCAGGCACTCCACAATCCTGCAGCTGCAATGTGAGCCAGTTTAGCCCCTCTGGACTGTGTGTGGGCAATATACACCAAAATTATTTTAAAATGCACCTAAGACCGTTTGGCCCAGTAGTTTCATGTCTAAAAGTTTTCCCTAAGTGAAGCCATCCTCACAGGGTTAACAATAATTCTGGACAGAAATATAATTATAATTAAGCCTTAATCAGACTGCACTTTGACTCACTTCCTTGAAACCAAAAGTCATGTAACACTAGACACTGACCAGTCATATCCCCATTGTTGCTCTAGGTAGGATTTCTGACATAAGAATCAGCCAAGGCAGGAGGATTGCTTGAAGCCAGGAGTTCGAGACCAGCCTGGGCAACAAAGCAAGATCCCATCTCTACAAAAAAAATTATTAATTAAAAAAATTTTTTTAAAGAATTGCTTAAGCAGATCCTGAATTTTAGTAGAACAGCTGATGACAACTAGTTTAAGACCTCCACAAAGGAACTGTTTTCTCAACTTGATAATACAGCTTCTTCATCTCCTTGTCCCATGACTTCACCCTGCACTCTTCAGCCAGTCACTTTGGCCAACTCCAAAATCTTTAAAATCTCTAGCTCCAAATTATTTGGGGAGATGGATTTGAAGTTCCCTTCCATGTCCTCATTTGGCGGCCCTACGATTAAACCTCTTTCTCTGCTGCAACCAGGTTTCAGCTTACTGACTTTCTGTGCCTGTTGGGCAACAAATCTGTTATGGTTACATAAGGAAGTAATCAAAAGCATATATAGTCAGAGAAAAGAAACCAGAAGGATAACTTATTTGTTCATTACAATGGATACTTATTACTATGTGACAGGCATAATTCTAGGCACTTTTATTACAGTGAATAAAGTATACAGAAGCCCCACCCACTGAGAGCCAGGCAGTAAATCAGCTAACCAAATGAATCATACATTAGGAGGAAATTTTTTTTTTCACATTAAGGTTCTAAGGAGGAAATAAATATTATGGAGGAAAAAATAAAGCAGAAAGGGAGTATGAAGAGCAGTCGATATGGTTCCAGTTTTCAATAGAGCTGTCAAAATAGGCTTGAGAAGGTGAAAACTGGCATCAACTTGCAGGCAGTTAACAGTAAGGTGCCAATAGTTGTTATTGCTGGTTGGTGAAATTATGGGTAATTATATTCTTTTATACTTTTCTGTGCTTTCCAAATGCAGCACAATTAACATATTTGCTTTTACAATTAAAAAAATCCCACAATAAATGTTACTTAAAAAAAAAAACTGACACCTTCAGTTGTTCCCCATTTTCTACAGAATAAAGTCCAACTCGTCCTCCATTGGCCTCTTCCCTTTCATCTAAACTTATCTTTCATTCCTTAACTGTCTTTTCCAGTTGGCCTGATACCCTGTGACCCAGATTTGCCAAACAGGGTTGTCAGATTTAGCAAATAAAAGTACAGGACACCCAGTTAAATATGAACGTCAGATAAACAATGAATAATGCAATATTTGAGACATACTAAAAAACTACTTGTTGTACATCTGAAATTCAAGTTTAACTGAGCATCGTATGTTTTTCCTGACAATGTGACAAGTGATCTTCCTTCCCCTGTGCTGGAATAATCTCTTTTCCATCTTTCCAAATTTTTCCAGCTAATCAGAGGGTGGGGAGGAGGGATGGATGTGGGTGGGAATGAGAGATAAGCCTGCCTATCAACTCCTGTATTTAATATAGGATATTCCTGGGGGCCAGGTGTGGTGGCTTATGCCTGTAATCCCAGCACTTTGGGAGGCCAAGGCGGGTGGATCACCTGAGGTCAGGGGGTTCAAGACCAGCCTGGCCAACATGGTGAAACCTTGTCTCTACTAAAATACAAAAATTAGCTGGATGTGGTGGCGCATGCCTGTAGTCCCAGTTACTCGGGAAGCTGAGGCAGGAGAATCACTTGAACCTGGGAGGCAGAGGTTGCAGTGAGCCGAGATTGCACCACTGCACTCCAGCCTGGTGACAGAGTGAGACTCCTCACCAAAAAAAAAAAAAAAGAAAAAAAAAGATATTCCTGGGGAGTAGATGGGTGGTGGAGGGCAGGGGAACAAGGGTGGGGTATTGTTAAAACATCGTAAAAGGGCTCCTTTTTTGATCTTGAATTATGACTTTCCTATAGATAAAAATTGCACCTTTAATCAGAGAACAATGGCCCAGGTGTCAGGTATAGGTGAAAGTCCAAAGTTCTCTTCAGAAAAGAAACTCTATTTTAGTTATACAGAACATTTATTCAAATCTTCCACTATTTAATTTATGTAAAATATCCTAGTCAATGTTTTTAACCCGAGTGTTTTTAAACATTGCTTTTTAAAAAATAAAAAACTTTTAAAATATTGAACCATTTACGGGGGCTTTAAAAACAGACAGCTTTTGTTCCAAATGAGGATGCCTCTCCTTCCGTTTGTCTGACCTACCCTTTGCCCCCATGGTCCCCTACTCCATTTATTAGCTCCACAGAGACCTGACAGAACCTTAAAGTTGATCCCTGAGTCAGACTGGGCCTGTCTCAAGGTCAGCTCACATCTGAAATCAAGCCTCTGCTGAGTCTGTGGAGTAAAAGGCTGATACTCCCTTCTCTCCTGCAAGACAGCTGTGTGCTCTGGCCCAGAGTGGGCACAGAACTGCTGGGCCCAGGCTGTCAGAAACTTCTGGGCTGGCATCCAGCTGCTCCAATGCACAAAGCCAGCTAACGCAGGCCAACCATGCCAGTGAGTCCACATTACAGAAGGACGGGAAGCAGTGGGATGCGGTACCCAGGGGTAGCAGTCTAATCCCTCCCAAAGCCAAATTCTAGAAAAATTTTCCAAATTTAAAAAATGGAAAAGGGAAAAATGGAAAATGGAAAAAATTTTAAATTTAATTTTCCAAATTTAAAAAATGGTAAAAGCTCTTACCCATGGCCATAGTTTTTCATCTTGACATCCTCAGCACTTACCATGGTACCTGGCACAAAACAGCTAATTTTTCAGTTGCCATACTGAACAGCCATTTTATACAGGCTCTCTATATTCCAATGACAACAATCTTTAGGCAACATTGTTAAGTGACAGAACAGTGTTTAGTATGCAAAACTTTGCTTAATAAAGGGGAGAAATACCAATATATATAGTTGTATTTAACTTCTATTTACATAAAGAAACATTGAAAGGATACGCAGAAAACTAATAAAAGTGTGTACCGGTGGGCCAGGGACGGGGGTAGTGGTAGGTGGAATGAATGAAGAAGGGCAAGGTGGTCACAGTCCTACTTAATCTATACCTTTTAATATATTATTTTTTGAGCCAAGTGTATGTATAACCCTTTAAGTTACATAGTTAAAATCATCTATTTTTGGTTATATAATTTTGTAGTAGCAAAAAACTCAACTGAAAAATAGGAAGCTATTCTCTCCATTTCTCTCTGTGGTCACATAGCCGCTCATGTTTAATTCTTTCTAAGCTCACAGATTGACCAACACAGCCACCATACTTGAGTTTCCATGACTTTATAATTCTAGTGCCCATCACTGTCTCAATCTAGATTTCCTTTTCCCCAAAAAAAATCTGCTACGTCACTTGCTATAATTTCTAGCTCTCTGCCAAATGTTTCACACATAGCTTTTATCCTTTTGAAGATAGCATATACATTGTTATATAGTCTATGCCCAATAACCCCAGAGTCTGGAAGCCCCATGGGTCTGATTCTGTTGTCTGTTTTTATTTTTGTTTTTTTTTCTTTTCTTTTCTTTTTGAGACAAGGTCTGGCTCTACGGCCCAGGCTGGAGTACAGTGGCATGATCTCAGCTCTTTGCAACCTCTGCTTCCCAAGCGCAAGCCGTCCATCCACTTCAGCCACCCTAGTAGCTGGGACTACAGGTGTGCACCACCACACCCAACTGACTTTTGCATTTTTTGTAGAAACGGAGTTTCACCATGTTGTGCAGGCTGGTCTTGAACTCTTGAGCTCAAGTAATTCCCCAGCCTCAGCCTCCCAAAGTGCTGGTATGGCAAGCATGAGCCACTGCACCTGGCCTGTTTCTGCTTTTCTTATGGCAATCTCGCCTCTCTGGGGCTTGATTATTTTTGCTTGTTTGCTAGATGCATTTGAGGCCTAGGATGCTATTATCTTCTTCCCAGAATGATTGTTTTTGACACTAGCAGTTTAGAGTCACTTTGAACAAGTTCAATGGTTACTTGAGATTCTCTGGGCTGGGACACCATTTCTACTCCCTTTAAGCCTTTAAAGGCTGCCAAAAATGCAGCTTGGATTCTTAAACTCTCTTCAGCAAATGCTCCCAGAACAGAAGCGACCCCAGTTGCAGGCTCACCTCCATGTTCCTTTCCTTTCCCAAATTTTGGCCCAGCAATTCCTCACTAACCTTTGAATATTTAAGTAAGATACTTAAAAATATTTTACCCAGCATTTTTAGTTGTCTTCAAATGGAGGCTTGGTCTGAATTACTCAGTCCATTAATGGAAGCAGAAGCCCTTCTGATGCAGGCCTTAGTTTTTCAGTAGTTTGCTCTTCTCTGGGCCTTAGCTTTCAGAAAGATTCTCTTGTCTGTAGTAGTAAAGTCTGTATAAAGTCTGCATGGACTTTTCTTGCGTACACACATTGCCACATCACCTCCAGTCAAGGCTGGAAGAGAATCTTGCATTTTACACATCTAATATTTCAGAAGAGCTGGAGTCACAGCAGTCCTCTTCACTGAGCTCAGAAACAAAACCCTGCTTGTGCATATATTCAGGCTGGGACCTCTAAAATGCAGACACCTAAGTGCTCCAGCTTTGAGAATTCTAGCTTCAGTGTGACAACGGCATAAGGAGTTGCCCTACGGTGTAAAGGCCCCTGTGAGGTCTCAGTTTGCAGACCAGGATGTGACAAGGAGATTGGAGCTGCAGTCAGCTCTAGAGGCCGAAAGAGGAGCCAAACAGCAAACAGAGGTGCCAAATGCTGCCTTAGAAATCTGTAAGCCAGCTAAGAGTTCTGCAGTCTCAACTAAACAAAACTTTTTTATTCCATTGGTTTGGGGTGTACTGTTCTTAGGGCTTTTGCCAACTGAATTGGTCTGTGGTGTCTTGAAAGATTGGGGGTCTGCACGGAAAAGGCTCGGAGGCCAGTTCTCTGAGGCTGCCTTTGTTGCAGGAAATAAAATGAATCTTTCCAGAGCCACAGCACTAGCATTTGGAGACCACTCTCAGGGGCTTTGGGGCGTACGACTTTCGGGGCTCTGGTCCTCTGTTTCCCTATCCGTAGAATGGAGACGGCTACTCTGTGAGAAGCCCGAGGTGCGCAGGACCCAAGTGAGGAGCCGGCAACCTGAAGTCCTCAGGATGGGGAGGGATCCGAAGGAGGCGGTGTGAAGACTCAAGAGGACCGCCTTGGGGTGGGAAGAGGACAGCCCGGCACTGGCTGCTGGCCCAGGTGCTGTGATGGGTTTCGTGCGCAGAGAGGCCTGACAGCCTCTGCATCAGTGACCGGGCGAAGAGTGGGGCAGCTCGGACGGTGGTTGGGGAACGTTAGGGAGATTGGCGCGCGGACCACTGGGTGAGCGCCCAGGAACGCCGGACGCGCGCCTTCACGCCCGGGTGCCTGGCGGCGTTTTAGAAAAGCTGTATTTGAAAAGCAACCGATTGGGGTGAAGGCGGGGGAGCGGAATCCTGATTACACTGTCCCAATTTCAGTTGAGGTGGGCTTTTAAAAGAAATCCCAATTCACACATTCGATCAGGTTAGTTACAAGAAAGGCTGGGAGGAGGTGGGGCTGGAAACACCAGAGGGCCCAGATGTCCGTTGGCGACGGTCTTCTGCAAACGACAGAGCGCAAGCCTTGCCCCTGGAATTCTAGAGCCGCCGCAAAGATAGGAACTCAAAACGACCCGAGCCCCGGAGCCGCAGCCCCTCGGGACGGTCACGAGCAGAGCTCCCAAGGGGACCGCTGGGGACTGGGCGGGGGCTCTGCTTCTCACCTGTTCCTTCTCTATCCACTGAGCCCTGACACGTAGGACCAGCGCTACTAACAGACTTGTTTTCCGGTTCAGCTCCCCTTAGGGCTCCTGTTGGAAACCGACCCTATCTGGGGAGCCTGTCTGGGCCACTCCCATTGCCGGAGAACTCTCCTGGGGCGGGGAGATGGCCCAGGTTTGTGGGGCTTGAAAGCTTACACAGTGTTGTGTCTTTTCAAGAAAAAGGATACAGCCGGGCACGGTGGCTCACGCCTGTAATCCCGGTACTTTGGGTGGCCGAGGTGGGTGGATCACGAGGTCAGGAGATCGAGACCATCCTGGCCAACATGGTGAAACCTCGTCTCCACTAAAAATACAAAAAATTAGCTGGGCATAGTGGCATGTGCCTGTAATCCCAGCTACTCGGGCGGCTGAGCCAGGAGAATCTCTTGAACCAGGGAGGCGGAGGTTGCAGTGAGGCAGTGAGCCAAGATCGTTGCCACTACACTCAGGTCTGGCGACAGAGCAACACTCCGTCTCAAAATAAAAAAATTAAAAAAAAAAGGAAAGAAAGAAAAGAAAAAGGATACAGAATTTGACAAAATTAAGAATAAAAGCAAATATGACTTACAATGAGGAAAAACAATGACAGCAAATGATAAATGTTTAAAAACTGACATATCACAAACATCAAAAAATCCCCCCAAAATTCTAATAACTGCTTGAACCACCCCTATATTTTCCCATTTATATTTTTTGATTCCCTCTTCATTCGACAACACTTTTGTAATGTATTTTCCTGGGTGAGAATGAATAATTTGGTATTTCGTCTAGCATAGTTAAGCAAAAAAAGTTTTTATTGAAAGTTTAGAAAAGTTAATATCCATTTCACAATCGTTATTGGTAATAATATGCAAATTTTTAGTGCTATTAATTTTGGAGAAGCCTCTGTGAAGAGTTTCCTATGTAAGCCTGAGATTTCAGGGCATTTCAAGTTTTCTTGGGCAGTGACTAATCTTAAATACTCTTTTAAGTTGCTGAAAGTCATTGGCCTGTTTTTCGTTAAGTCCTTGTTGTAAAGGTGTAGTATGAAACTGTTTGTAGATGTCAATATTTTATGCCAAAACAACAAGTTTTTTAAGTTTTAATGTGTTTATGTGGTTAATTCTTCATCAAGTGATTGTCAAACAATCTAGGCATCTATTCTATTTAAAATGTATCCCTTCCCTTCAATAAATTGCTGGTTTTGGCTGGAACCAAACTTTTTTTCTTCTTCCAATTCCTTTTCTGATGTCAGAATAACTTCTATTAATTTCATGTGCAAATATGCAAGAGATCATTTTATTTCATGATGTATGTATAATTGTATATGCATATTTAATAAGTATATTCCTAAAGAAGAGAGCTTCCATTTTGACTAGACTTTGATGAGACTGAGTAATACGCTTATAATTTTCTACATCTAGGGGTTAAAAGGATTTATTGGCTTCACTGTCCACAGACTTCTGGTGCCTCATGTCACAGCACACATTCTTATTGTGACAGATCTCTGACCTTTCACTTTAGTCTCTGATGTCAGGTGAGTTATCTCAGTGGGTGGTGGTTCCTGTAAGCCACTTCTACACTGAGACGGGTAGCAATAACTTGACTATACATGAAAGTGCTTATGAACCACATATCCTAGTAATCTCAAACAATGTAATCCCAACTTAATTTCCCCTTAGCTAGAACCCCCACATGCTACCTGATACAAGAGAAACTGTGACAGAGGGAAGTTGACGTGGAAGGAGACAGTAATCCTAACCGTGGTTAAAATATGTTACTTTTGCAAATTTTACAAAACACTTAGCATGACCATATTGAACACATTGCTTGGAATTCCAGGGTCTTGGAAAGAACCAGTGCAAGGGATGAACTTAATGGCAGAGCTTCCTCTGCACACTTCACGACTGCAACAGGCTTGTCCCTGAAGTCTCTCCGCTGGGGTCCCACTTCAGGCTGACGTACTGTCTGTGTCACCGAACATCACTCTCTGCATTTGCTTACCCTTTTTGATTCTTCCCTGTGCCTCAGTTTGGAGTTGGAAGCTCATAAATTCCCCTATTATAGGGAAGTGGCTGATTGTGTAACCCTATCCTTTTGTTGAAATAGGTGTGTCCAGTTAAGTATTTACTGTAAACCAGCCCCTCATACGCATTCCACTGGGGGTGGATTCATTGCTTTCTACAACCTCGCCATATGTAATGTCCACACTGGTCCATCTGGCTGTGCTTCTCAAGATCAGCTGTTTTGTAGGACTTGAAATAAGGATTCCTTAACAACCTGGTGAATGCCTAATAGCCTCAATACATTTCAGGCTGTTTTAGTTTTGTTTATTTGGTTTTCGTGTTTTGTGGTGAGAACACTTAAAATCTACTCTCTCAGCAATTTTCAAGAACACAGTGTACCATTACTAACAAATCACCAGAAGGTACAACAGATCTCTTGAAGTATTCCTCCTTGAAGTAACTGAAACTTTGTATCCTTTGACCAACCCATCCCCATGCCCACCACGCCCAGACTTTGGTAACCACCATTGTATTAATACTGTCTGCTTCTACCAGTTAACCTTTTTACACTCTAAGTGAGGTCATGCTGTATTGGAGGTTGTTTCCTCCACGCGACTGGGTGGAATTCAGAGGTTCCTACCAATAACTCATTTCTTTCACCAGCAGCTCCCAAGGGCTCTGCTGAGTCCCCCATGCCTCCTGAATCTGAGATCTTGAACCCCTGCTCCTCCCCAACCCTGTTTTTCTGAGAACTGCCTCATCAAACATAGAGCATAGCAACTTTCCTGAGATTTCTCTAAATTTCCTCTTATTCAGGTCACTGTGCATGACAGATTGACTGCTTGATTCCTGGAAGTCTAGGGATAAAAAGTATTGAGTGCTGGTCTAAAGGACAGGTTTCAGCAGAGGACACAATCTCAGAGCAGACAACTTAAGTTTCAGTATTAGGCATTTCCGTTCTTAAACATTCCTTCACTATTTCTGCCCAAGACATTTCTCACTGGTAAACTTTCCTTGTTGGTTACCTGCCTTCTGCAGCCCTGCAGGCTCTGTCTCTCTCCTGGGCCACCCCTCTTCCTCTTACACAGTTTTATGCTCCCCTTCCCTTCTCTTTCCTTCCATCTTCAGTCTACATATTTCACGGCTAGCTTTCCACAGCCAGATGTTTCTTGCCCTGAGGAATTATGCTATCAGTTTTTAAGCCACCGTTTAAAAGACGGTTGCCAGTGCCCTAGAGTCTTGGCAACAATGCTCCACCTTCCGGAGGTGAAGCGAAATGGTGTCCTGTCTTGAAAGACAGCGCCACCTACTGTCCATCAAGAGACAGCTGCCGAAAACAGCTGAATGACCCTGTTCATTGCCTGTTCTGGGGAGGGTGGCAGATAATCCAGGCAAGAATAATTCGAAGGTACATTGAACTTGAGGTGGTGATGGAACACTTAAGAATGCACAGAAGTTTAAACTCAATAGGGATAGTAATACCAAGCTGGCATCGGGCCTCAGGGAGGTTACAGGATCTGCATAGTGCTAACAACTGTGCATCGGTAGAATGGGAATCTGAATCCGGACACTCCGCCTGTGAAGTCCACGTAGCTCCACCTCGCTGCACTAAGATAGAGTAGATCTCCTTTTATGGATGATCAAATAAGTGAGAGGGAACCCAGGAGCCAGTGGAGAGGAGAATTTTAAGGAGGGGACTGCTGATGATCTAAAGTTTGAGTCATCAGTTTGGATGTGAACTGAGAAAATACCGCTGGGATTTGAGTTTAGGACTTAGTTGGAGACCCTTAGAGAGTGGTTTAGGGTGCCCAGCCCTGGGATAGGCATAGGAGAGTATGGAAAGACAGAAAGACATAGTCCTATCCCTCATGAAGCTAAATGTGAGCCAAAGCCAGGGAAGTTGGCAAAAATCAAATGGTAATAAATGAGACGGTGATTTAGGAAAGAGAGATCCATGTAGAACCTGCAGGCCCCTCTGACACCTTTGTGAAAATTAGGATGGATCAGTTCACTTTCTTGGGGCCATTGCTGCCCTGAGCCAGAGCCCACAGCTTGGCAAGCAACCTCTGGGCTAGGTCTCAGCCCCCATTCATCAGAATGAAGACTGACTTGTTAGGAAAGTTTCATTCAGGAAACTGGGACTTGAGCTGGGCTTCCACTGATGTGAAGGGTTTGGAGCAGCTGTGTGAAAGAGGTAGGAGTTAGGTCTTCCCTGCTGGGAAATGTCAAAACAGAGGCAATTAAGAGTCATAAAGGAGAGAGAGAAGACAAAAATCACCTGACTCTTGGCTCCAGTATTTTTAAAGCATGAGAAATTAGATAAGATCACTCCTTTAAAACAGTTACTGAGCACCTAATATATTCAAGGAGCTATGCCGAATAGGCTGACTCAGGGAAATAAGGACCCTGACAGTTGCGCATTAGTTTGTAGTTTATGAAGCACATCCATTTCCAGCTATGACATTTTGTCCACTTTCTTGTAAAGGAGGCTGAAGTTGTGGCTGCCCCTGAACATGAAGCTACAAATCTCCACAATTAGGACCATAATCCAGATTCTTTGACTAGTCCAGAATTCCTTTCATTCTGACCATCCTCTTCTTAAACATTTTAAAATTTAGGTAATTGTTTAGATAGATGGCACATTTGCTGGCTCAAAATTTTAAAAACACAGGAAAAAGTCTCCCTCTTGCCCCTGGTTTCCACACATCTAGTTTCTCTCTCCAGAAGCAAATTTTACTAGTTCATTGATATATTCTTCCAGAGATGTTCTTTGCATAAAAAGCAAATAAGAATATTTATTCTTCCCCGATTTGTGCAAATAATAGCATATTATACACACTGTTCTGTACCTTGCTTTTAAATTTAATTTATTTTTATTTTTTAAAATCAGTAATCTATGTGTCCAAAGCATAAACCAGGCATGGGCATAGACCAGAAGCCAAGCTGGGATAAACAGGGGGTTGCTTTGTTCCTGTCTGATGTGAGATGGGCACCATTAAGCTTTTTTTTTTTTTTTTTCGAGACAGAGTCTGGCTCTGTCATCCAGGCTGGAGTACAGTGGCGCAATCTCGGCTCACTGCAAGCTCCACCTCCCGGGTTCACGCCATTCTCCTACTTCAGCCTCCCGAGTAGCTGGGACTACAGGCACCCGCCACCATGCCCGGCTAATGAGACAGGGTTTCACCATGTTAGCCAGGATGGTCTCGATCTCCTGACCTCGTGATCCACCTGTCTCGGCCTCCCAAAGTGTTGGGATTACAGGCGTGAGCCACCATGCCTGGCCAAGCTTTTTTTTTTTTAATGTATCAATTTATGTTGGAGATTATTCCAATAGCAAAAGTTCCCTTCCACACCCCACCCCCTACTAATGGCTGCACAATGTTCTATTGTATGAATGTAGCTAGTTTATTTAGCTTAACTTCCGTTGATGAACATTTGTTTTTTTTCTAAAATTTGAAGCAAATGTTTCTAAAACATTGATGCAATAGGTATATGCATATATTATTTCACATATGCATGAATATATATGTAAAATTTCTAACATCAGAATTGCTGGCTCAAAGAAAATGTACATTTGTAATCTTGGAGGAAATTCTCAAATTCCTACTCCTCTAAAGGAGGAGTACTAATTGGCATTCCCATCAGCAGTGTATGGGAGTGCCAATTTCCTCACACACTTACCAACACTGTGTTACCAAATGTTTGGATTTCTGTCAATCTGATAGGAAAAATAGTATGTCAGTGTTATTTTAATTTGTATTTTCTTCATGAGATTGAGATTATCTTTTAATATGCTTTAGAGACATTTGGTATTTCTTTTTCTATGAAATGTCTGCTGAGATACCTCTGCCCAATTTTCTTCTTGGTAGTTGATAAATTCTTATTTGCAAGAGCTGTATATAAAAGGTAATTAGCCCTTTGATTTTGATGGCAGTTGTAAATATTTTTCTTCTTCCAATGGTATTTCATCATTTGTCTCTTGACATTGCACTTACGGTTTTTTTTCCCCCATGCAGGTCTTTTTTAATGTGGCTGAATTTATCTTTCTTTCCTTTTATGGTTTCTACATTTGAAACATTCTCAAGCTACTGCTAGTTAAATACAGTGGATTTCTGCCTTCAAGTTGCTCAATAAACCAGTAGGAAAATCAAGAAAAGTACCTAAGTAACTAGTAGAAGTTACTATATAGTCAGTACTATAAGTTGGTACAAAGTGCTGTTTCTTCATCTGTCTATCCATACATCTAATTATCAATCTATCTTTCCATCTGTCCATTAATCCATCCATTTATCAAGCTTTTACTGAATCCTTTCTAAGAGCAAGAAAAGGTATATATAGAGAGATGACATTTTATGGTAATGAAGCCCATGGGCTGGGATAAGAGACACCCAGATCTGAATCCCAGCTCTATGTTTACACCACTGTGGCCTTGGGCAGGTTACTTAATCTGTCCACATTTTTGTTTCTTATACTATTTCATGAGATACGACAGGAACGTAGATTGTGGAGGGGTCAAGGATTGAAGGTTAAAAAACAGACATTGTCGGAAATGCCTTAGGAAGAGAACTATAAGTGAGTACAATGCCTACATTTATAATTTCAGGTGGTGAAATCTGAATCCTGACAAGGTCAAGAGAGTGGCCACTAGGGTGGGTGGCAAAAGCAAAGGTCATTGGATGTGAGCAGGACAAGAACTGAAAGGCCTTGGTGTTAAATGATCATGTACATAGTCTTTGAAATCACCAGGATCATGGTAATTTCACAGCCAGATGAAGGGCAAGTTCTGGGAGGATCCTGAGCACAGGAGCTTCTGTCCCCGGTGGAGTGTGGGATGTGCCACCCTCCCAGCATGTGGATGCACTCACCAACCTGGAATCTCTCCAAACCTCTTTGTTCAGGATCTTACAGAGGTTCCATTATTTAGGTATGATTGATCAAATCACTGGCTGTTGGTGATTAACTCAGTCCCTGGGCTCCTCTCCCCTCCCCAGAGGTCAGAGGTGAGACTGAAAGTTCCAACCAGCCAGGCGTGGTGGTTCACGCCTGTAATCCCAGCATTTTGGGAGGCCAAGGCAGGCAGGTAACCTGAGGTCAGGAGTTCGAGACCAGCCTGGCCAACATGGTGAAACCCCGTCTCTACTAAAAATACAAAATATTAGCTGGGCATGGTGGTGTGCACCTGTAATCCCAGCTACTCGGGAGGCTGAGGCAGGAGATTCGCTGGAACCTGGGAGGCAGAGGTTGCAGTGAGCTGAGATAGTGCCGTTGCACTCCAGCTTGGGCAACAAGAGTGAAACTCTGTCTCAAAAAAAAAGAAAGAAAGAAAGAAAGATCCCACCCTCTAATCACATGGTTCTTCTGCCAACCAGCCCCCATTCTTCCTCCAAGAGTCACCTCATTAGCATAAACCCTGGTATGGTTGAAAAGGGCTTATTATGAATAATAAAAGATACACTCATCAGAACATAACCATGTGGTAAGTTGAGGTGCATCAGGAATTAAGATGATTCAACTTAAAATTTTTGACTTTATGATGGGTTTACTGGGGTATTGAGTACACTTTCACCTTACAATATTTCTGACTTCAGTGAATTCACTGGGACGTAACCCCATCATAAGTTAAGGATCATCTGTTCAAGGGTTTTAGGAGCTCTGTGCCAAGACTAATTATATATATATCTCACAAGATCACACAACCCACAGCAAACAGTGGCAAAGTGGGATTGAGGGAGGAGGCTCTGAAATGAGGTTTTCAACAAGCGTCTTGGACCCTTAGAAGTTTCAAGTGACAGCCCTTATTAGTGGCACCCCTTAGGGGCTCCCTCAAACTCAATGCCAAGACTAGCCTGACTGGAGGGAACTTAGACAATGGAGTGGGCATTTGATGTTCCAGCATCTTGAGTGGGTGCCATTATTCTGTGACACCTGGATCCTGGGGTTCCATAAGCTGGGGTTCTAGGATGTCCATTCTTAGTTGAGTCTCATTTCCTGTCATATCGACGTCAAAGGCCCAAGACCTTCCTCCTCCCCTTGAGCAAACAAGCCACGCCCTGCACCAAAGTCCATCTCACCTTCCAGCTACCCTAGGTAATTTTCCTGGTAATTCAGTGTTTCTAGGAAAGCATGAGTCTTTCCACCCCCCGCCCTGAGATTTACTGACATATGAACACATATGATTGGCATGATATAAGAACCACTCATCTGCTGGCCATCTCTCCAGGTCTGGAGCCAGAGAAGATGATCTGAAATTGTAGCAGGAGAAATTGAGGTAGGATACTAAGAAAGCTTTTCAGGAGTGGGGCTAGGCAAGAGGTGCAGCATGAGGGAATAAGAGTGAATCCTCAGTATCTAAGGGAGGTGGCAGGTGGCGGGGGACTTCTTTCTTTGGGTCATCTTTGGTGGTGATTTGACAGGAAGGAACAAAGTGGCTTCAAACATTATACAAGTCTCTAGTCTGTTCTGTGTCCTGTTTTCTTTCTCATTCTTTCAGTGTGGAATCTATATGACCCTGGGAGGGATGTTGGTTGGAAGAATGACCAGCTGATGGAGATGCTGCTGTAATTATTGGTGGTAATAATGGGCAGCAGTGAGCCACCCGGTGTGACAGTGTAGGAGAAAACAGTCCAAACTCCTGCCAAACTCTCTCTACTGATGGCAAATCAGAGGAGACTCAAATTGTAAGTTTATAGTGGTCTGGCTTTTGGCCATGACAATGACACCTTGCCCTTTTAATTTGGGGCCCGTGCAAATATTCACTGAAAGCTGTCAAGAGGAAAACAGAATTGGTTATTGAATCACTTGCTTCCTCTAGGTGTATGAAAAATAATTTCAAGTTTAACAAACACAAGGAAACCGCAGGGTCCATGTCAAAGCTGATGAGCTATTTCTGAAACTCGTGCAGAATTGTGGTTTGTGTGGTCTATGTCACGGCACCCTTGAGGGAGAGTGGGCAATTGCCTGAACTTGGAGGCTGTGTCCTGTCCCCAGGCTGCTCCAGGGCTGCCTCCTTCCGACTGGGCCTTCTTATCTGGGACTGTTGAGGGCAACAGGCCTTCCGAAGACCAGTGAAGAAGGAGGCCCTGCAAACAGGAGGCTGACAGGGTAGGAACGAGGCCATGATCCCTTTGCAGAAGGACAACCAGGAGGAGGGTGTCTGCCCCATCTGCCAGGAGAGCCTGAAGGAGGCCGTGAGCACCAACTGCGGACATCTCTTCTGTCGAGTGTGCCTGACACAGCATGTGGAGAAGGCCTCAGCCTCTGGGGTCTTCTGCTGCCCCCTCTGCCGGAAGCCCTGTTCTGAGGAGGTGCTAGGGACAGGCTATATCTGCCCCAACCACCAGAAGAGGGTGTGCAGGTTCTGTGAGGAGAGCAGACTTCTTCTATGTGTGGAATGCCTGGTGTCCCCTGAACACATGTCTCATCATGAACTGACCATTGAAAATGCCCTCAGCCACTACAAGGTAAGCCTGGGTCACCGCAGCCAGGCCCTGCCTCCACCTCGCTGAGGTGCTGCATCCTACATGTTCATCATGCCTGGCACCTCAGAGTAGCTCAACAATGGACATCTCTCTTTGTTTCTTCTGCTTCATCCTGTTTTGGACCCTTGTCTTGCTTTTCTGTGTATATTTTGAGGCTGATGTTTCCATGCATTAATGTGAGTCTGTCTAAAAGAGGATATTGTCAGTGTGATGTTAGAGTCCCAGTCTGCTCATCTGTAGAATAGAGTAATTGGACTAACTAATGCAAAACCCTTTCAGGACTAAAACTGTGTGAACTCCTGGTTGATAGTACTAGAAACTTGGCTAGAAATGTAATCAGGTTTTATATACACTAGTAATTATCCTGCAAATATATTAAAACCTGAAAGTTACTACATAATTTTTTCTCTCTTTTTCTTCCTTCTGCATTTGTCTTATCTTTCCTTTTCCTTTCTTTGCTATGGCAATTATTTTATCTTATTCTGTTAAATTTTCTATCACAAAAGTTACATGCTGTAGGTAATAAATTCAGAAAGCACTGAAAGGTATAAAGTCAAGACTAAAAACTTGTCTTCCTTTCTCCCTCCATTCATAGTCCTCAGAGGTAACCATTGTTTGATTTTTGTACATCCTTCCAAAAAATGTGTGTGCTTATGAATGCACTCTTATACACACACACACACACACACACCCTCAAAGGATTCTCTCTATATTTTTTTCTGTAACTCATTTTTGTTATCTAAAAGTGTGGCTTGAACATTTTCTCATCAGCATGTATAGATCTTCTGAATTATTTTCAAGAACTGTGTGGTATTAAATTCTATGAATGTACCATAAATTGGCAGACATTGGGTCATTTCCAAGCTATTGTTTTGTTTTAAGATTACACAGAACGTTCTAATGAATATCCTTCAACATATATATTGGAGGACCTAGAATATCCAAGATATATTTTGGTGAGAGCATAAGGTAGAAATCTAACTTTAGTTTTTCCAAGTTATAATCAATTTGTCCTATCACCATTTGTTGAATGATTCATATAGTTTCCCCATTGATTTGAATGCCAATGTCATAATATACCATATATGCATATTTTCTTGCATACTGCCTTGATTCTTTGTGCTGTTCTATTCTGTCTATGCTTGCCTATAAGCCAAGGTATTTTAGAGATTTTATCCTTACCATATATTTTAATGTCAGGTATTTTGATAGAATCCTCACAATACTCTTATTTTTCAGAATTCGTGCAGATATTTGTATATCTTTATTTTGCCAATTAGCTTTGGAATTATTTTTATCAACCTTTCCCCTGACCCTAATCCAGTTAGTATTTGACTGGACAATTGACAATATTTTCACATGGCATCCTTCTATCCAATAGTGAAGGCTGAACTTCCAAAGCTGAGGTAGCTTTGAGATACTTGACTTTTGGAGAACATGTTATGATACAGAATGAGAAAGTGGGGAGTCCAGATTAAAAGTGACTACAGAAAGGTAGAGAAATAATTGAAAAAGCCAGAGGCAAAGTTCTATTTGGTTCTAACATCATTCCCTCCAGGTGCAATGTCCACAGGAGAGTGGGGAGGGATTCCTCACCTGCCGATGAAGCAGCATAAGATGGAGAAATTTATTTCCTCACTAAATGATTTTTTCAGGTCTGTCCTTTGTGTTAGATGTCATGCTAGGCATTGTAGAAAGTACAAAGATGATTCATAATTCTTGTTTCAAATCTGTCTTTAAATAATGACAAGAAAGCTAAAACAAATAAATAACGATGACACTTGTTCATTAAGTAAAAACTTAGTAAGTTCCTGCTGTGTGTGAGAAACTGCAGCATGTGCTAGGAATCAATGAAGACAGATGCCATTCCTTCTGCCAGGAGTTTGCAGTGTAGTAAGGGAGACACAAATAAGTAATCAAAGAACTGTAACTTTTTTTTCTTTTTTTTTTTTTTTTTTTTTTGAGATGGAGTCTCATTCTGTCACCCAAGCTGGAGAGCAGTGGCATGATCTCGGCTCACTGCAACCTCCGTCTCCCAGGTTCAAGCAATTCTTTGCCTCAGCCTCCCGAGTAGCTGGGATTACAGGCACCCACCACCAGGCCTAGCTAATTTTTGTATTTTTAGTAGAAACAGGGTTTCACCATCTTGGCCAGGCTGGTCTTGAACTCCTGACCTCATGATCCATCTGCGCTGGCCTCCCAAAAGAACTGTAACTTTTTATTAGTTAGGAAGAAAATAAACAAGGGTCTGGGATGAACAGTAATGGGTGGCCCATGTCCATTTGGTCAGTGAGGGCCTCATAGAGGAAGTGACCTTGAAGCTGAGGGCTGGCAGAAGAGAAATCAACCTGCAAAGACAGGGGGTAGGGAGTGCATACAGATGCCCACACCTGAGAAGTCTTGTTATATTTGAAGAATTTATCATTAGAGTTTGAATCGACAGGACTTACTGAGAGATTAGAAGTGGGTTCTTTGTAAGAAAAAAACAACCCCATCAAAAAGTGGGCAAAGGATATGAACAGACGCTTCTCAAAAGAAGACATTTATGCAACCAACAGACATATGAAAAAATGCTCATCATCACTGGTCTTTAGAGAAATGCAAATCAAAACCACAATGAGATACCATCTCTGCCAGTTAGAATGGCAATCATTAAAAAGTCAGTAAACAACAGATTCTGGAGACGAAGTGGAGAAATAGGAACGCTTTTACACTGTTGGTGGGAGTGTAAATTAGTTCAACCATTGTGGAAGACAGTGTGGTGATTCCTCAAGGATCTAAAACCAGAAATACCATTTGACCCAGCAATCCCATTACTGGGTATATACCCAAAGGATTATAAATCATTCTACTATAAAGACACATGCACACGTATGTTTATTGTGGCATGGTTCACAATAGCAAAGACTTGGAACCAACCCAAATGCCCATCAACGATAGACTGGATAAAGAAAATATGGCACATATACACCATGGAATACTATGCAGCCATAAAAACAGATGAGTTCACGTCCTTTACAGGGACGTGGATGAAGATGGAAACCATCATTCTCAGCAAACTAACACAAGATCAGAAAACCAAACACCACATGTTCTCACTCGTAAGTGAGAGTTGAACAATGAGAACACGTGGACACAGGGAGGGGAATATCACACACCAGGGCCTGTGAGGGGATGGGGGGTAGGGGAGGGATAGCATTAGGAGAAATACCTAACGTGGATGACGGTTTGATGGGTGCAGCAAACCACCATGGCACGTGTATACCTATGTAACAAACCTGCATGTTCTGTCCATGTGCCCCAGAACTTAAAGTATATATATTTTAAAAAGTGGGTTGAAGGAAGGAGGAAGGTCAAAGATGACTTCATGAGTTTCTGGTTTGAGAAACTGAATAGATGATGTGAAAGATAATAACTTGGTAGAACAGGTTTGAATGCAACACCAAGAGTTTCATTTAAGACAAGTTGAGTCCAAGTTGAGACACATCAAAATAGGATCTTACATACGCAGCTGGATCACAAATTTAGATCTCCAGAGTCTTATTCCTAGAACCTAGAACAAAGATCCATCCAGGCAAAGACAATATTTAAATCCAAGAAAAGCGGGCACGGTGGCTCACACCTGTAGTCCCAGCACTTTGGGAGGCCAAAGTGGGAGGATCGCTTGAGCCCAGGAGTTCAAGACCAGCTTAGGCAACACAGTGAGATACTATCTCTAGAACAACAACAGCAACAACAAAGTGAAATTAACAGGATTTAAAAAAAAGAACGTGACAATTTGGGGCTGGGTGCAGTGGCTCACGCCTGTGGTCCCAGCTACTTGGAAGGTTGAGGTGGGAGGATTGCTTGAGCCCAAGAGAGTGAGGCTGGAGTGAGCTGTGATTGTGCCACTGCACTGCAGCCAGGAAGACAGAGCAAGACCCTGTCTCAAACAAAGAAACAAACAACCAAGAAACCAAGGAAACTGATGTAATTGCCTCAAAAGAGGCTAGACAGAAAAAGAAGTTTTGGGGTAAGGTTCTGGGAAAGGACGTCATTTAGATGTAGGCAGAGGAGGACCCAGCAAAGGAGACAGGATGAGTTGCCAGAAAGGCAGGAGAAAAACAAGGGGAATGGTGCCCCAGCTGCTAAGAGAGAAGGGTATTTTAAGAGATTATAATAGATTGCATTGAACAATGCTAACACTTCAGTAAGATGGTGGCAGAGGCATGAGAGCTGAGTTGGGAGGAGGCACACTTCTTCCATAGTAATAACAGGGAACAAGAGAAGGTGTCTGCAAGCCTACATAGTTTTGCAGTTTTGGAAATCCAGGTTTTGTTCTGGTTTTTATTTTCTCATAATATTTGAGGAAGGAACATCAGCAGTATGGGTGGGATCAGGATGGATGTGAAAGGTTTGAAAAGAAACAAGATGGTGTGATGCAGTGTGGGAGAGCGCTTACAAGAGAAACTATGTAGGGTTGGCAGACAGTATGTAGCACCAATTTGAGGTCTGAAATGTTTAACATGTTTCAGGAGGCTGCCTGAGGACAGACAGCAAACAAGAAGGTGATGGTACATTTTACCATGGATAAGGAGTTGTCTGAAAAGTAACACAGAGAGGGAGGGTAAGGGAGTTGAGTATATTTCTGAAGAAGTGATTATAATGGTGGACCTTATGTGTACTCATGGATATTGACAGCGTAATTTTGAAATTAAGGAGGGTTTTTTTTTACTGATTTTTTCACCATATCTCTATTTATTTGAATTAAACTTTGTAGTTAAGTATTGTAAATTTTGTTCTTTTAAAAGAATCATATAATCCCTGACTGTACTCTAAAAAGACCGAAAAATTTATAAAATCTACAAATTCTTATTTGTATACCTGTTTCCTCACTGACCAGTCAATGTCAGTGTCAATCACTTTAATGTATTTTGCTGGTTTAGTAAGTGTGTGACAGTGATGTACGTTGTTTTACTTTGCTTGATTATGAATGCTAGTAGTGGTGAGGCTTTTATCCATGAAGACTCGCTGTCTGCATTTTCCCCTAGAATCAGGGCATAAATTCTACATGATTGCATCAAAATAGTTTATCTTTTGGATAATGAGCTCCATTAGTTGTGTTTGTTTAACCTACATTTTTTTATTCTGTTATTTCTTCTTAATTATATTTTTGGGCAACTTTTTAGAAATTTGCATTTAAATTGGCTCTATTCTTTTTTATAATATAATCTCCATGTCTTAAATACACAGAAATTTGTTTAATATGAGTGTGCTGCTCTGTTTTATTTTTAAAGGTTTATTAATTCCTGGCTTACTTGGAATTTCATATAGTATGTTGTGTGAAGGATGACTCCACGTTAATTTTTCTTTATTCTGGTATCCAGTTGTTCCCAAAATATTTATATAACAGTGAGTCCTTTCCACATTTACGTGTTGTTTCTCGCTTGACATCAATTAAGTTCTCATGATGGGCTGTTTTTTTTTTACTCTAGTCCATTGATTATTCTTTCTGTTATATAGTTTTGACAACATGTTACTTTATGGTTTATTTTTAAATCTAGCAGCATTTTTGCCATTTAATAATTTTATTACCTGATATTTTTGCTGTCTTTTAAGATGAGTGCTTTTTTACAATGTTTCTAAATTTCATAGATCATTCCATAAGATTTTAATGGTTATTGCATTAAATTTGTTGATTACTAAGAATCATGACTTTTGGGGGTTTAGTTAGTCTTCTCAACCAGTACCAAGATACATCACTAACGGCTTTCCACTATGTATCTGAATCAGATATTAAATTGTCTTTACTTAAACCTCATGTGCCCTGACTCTATTGAGGGTAGCTATGTATTTTACAACACTATTTTTTTTGACAATTTTTACTTGTAGATTCAAATGAGATTCTTTGCTGAGCTCATGTATTTACCATACATTTTTAAAAATTTTCTGACATTTTCTAGATCATAATTGTGTGAGTGATGTTGTTTTTAATTCATATTTTTGGACACAGTTCTGTAAGGAGCATGCATTTTGAAAGCTGTTAATTTTTCTTTTTTTTTTTTTTTTTTCAGTGTCAGGGATAGGTACTTTTTGTCTGTTAACCACTTTTCTTTTGTACATTGTGTTAGCAAGTTGTTTAAGAACAAATTTAATGCCCTTTTTTGTCAGATTTTAAAAATTTAATATGATTTAACCTGAATGACAGAATTTTAAAATATTCATTTAGACAAGACAGGTCTTCGACTATTTTCTAGATTTCAACTTGTCTTTTTTTCTCTGAGGAATATTTTGGTAGGTGAAAGTGTATAGAATTTAGCTTTTCAATTCTAATGAGTGTCTTATTTATATTATATGCACCCATTAAATACCTTTATGCAAAAATTGGTGAAAAAGTACTTTTTAGAAACAGAGGACTTTACCTTACTCATTTTGAATATTGTAAACAATATGACAGTATTATCTTCAGTCATTCTATGCCTTTATCTTTATTACTGTTATCTTTGCCTTCTTTTTTTCATTTACACAGTGTCTGTAGTTGGCTTTATTAAATTTTAAACTGCCAGATGATAGGACTGTGGCTTTTTGAACTGGACCTTAATAGGCCTGACTTTGACAGGCAGAAAAATAAAGCACTCCTGACAGAGAGAAGTAAAAGGCCATGAGGAGGTGTGGCTGCACGGGTGTGTTTGGGAAGCAGAGAGCAATGTTGTGTGCTGGTGAAGAGAGTTCAGTGAGCAGAGAGAGAATCCCGGACAATGTCAGTTGGGGCTGGGTCCTGGGGCACCTTGGATGCTGGGTGAAGGAGTTTGGGCTTATCTTTGTTGCTGAGAAGCCATTTTGAAGGGAGGACTAACATCAACAAAGGTGAAATGTGACAGATTTCAAGCTGAATGGCAGGCAGAATGGCAGTCCCAATGTCAGAAACATGAAGGTCAAGAGGAGTGGACTGCAGAAGAGCTTGGGGAACTGGGCAGCATGTTTGATTCTACCATATTGATTTTGAGCTGCCAACAGGGCAGTAGGCAGCACTTAGCTCTCACTTGGAAGCATGAGATGGATTGCTAGGAAAAAAGATTTGGTTTTGGAATTCTAAGATCTGAAGGCTCCAGAAAGGAAAGCTAAGGACATAGTCTGAGATAGAAAAGGGTTGAGGAGCCAACTTCAAGGCTCCTTTTTACAGAAAAAAATGAAGAGGCAAAGAAGCAGTGGCAGAAGGCACAGGTCTAGGAAGGATGGGGTGGAGAGGAGGTACAGAAAGGCACCTGCGGATTTCATGGCTGGAGATCTCAGGTGACTTTGGAGAGAGAGGCTTTAAAGGAGTGATGAGAAACAAGGCGGCTGGCTGAGGAATGACGACAGTGAGGAGGTGAAGACAGCAACACCAAACAACTTGACTGTGAGGGCAGCAAGTGAGTAGATGCAAGCGGTGAAGGCTGTTTGTGCTTTTCAGGACATGAACTCTTGTACTCGCACAAACAGTTCCACACCAGCCTGCCACCTTCTTCAGCGAGACTCATGAGCGACATCCATGATGCCCATTTATTACTTCCCACTCCTATGACTTTTTTATTTCGTCTCTGCTGGGAAATGCCTGCAGGAAACACCCAGTGACGTGACACGTTTTTAGTAACTTTGTGGTGACATCACTGTCTTCTCTGCTTACTGCAGCTTTCTGTTCACCAAATGCCCTTGCTGACCCCTCACACACACAGTCCTTTGACCTTGATTTCACCAGGAAATTCTCAGGCTGGAAAGAACTTTCAGTTGTCTTCACCATCCCCTGACTTCTACCTGTACATCTCCAAAATCTCCTCAAAAAAGATTAAAAAAAAAAAATCTGAAGTGGGAAAGATTTAGTGAAACACACACTTTTCAGCTAATAGCACATCCTGATCTTTAGTTCACAAATCTCTTCTCGTTTTGTTTTCTATTTTATCATTCACCCTCCAACTGCCCCCCGAACCATGGGCAGCCATTTAAAGCATTTGTTGTTATTTTTGCTTCTCTTATAGGTCATCAAAAACCTGAAAGCAAAATTTTTTTAGAAACTCAAATCATTCTTTAACTCCATAGCTTCAAGGACACAGCGACACATCCAGATGCTGATTTAAGATTGAGAGAGAAGGCACTGCCTACCTGGGCTATGAGTTTGCACCTAGTAAAGGGCTCTATCTTGTCACTCATCCCAGTGAGGACCAGGCAGCAGAGGTAGCAGAGGGTTGCCATTTCCTCTTTAAGGCAATTCCCTCCAGACTGGCTCCATGTGTTACTGTAAAATAGTAAGAAGTGCTAGAAGACTGTCATATAACTTTTGTATGTTGAGAGAAAGCACCCTGAAGTCAAGTAGAAATGGTTCTGTTGCTATCTATTATTTTTTCTGTACTTCTAAGACTGTAAAAAAATTACCCATTACTATTTCCCCCCATCATTATCCAATAAATAAACTCTCAAGTCCCTTACTCCAACCATGATGCTCTAAAAGCATTTCTTTTTAGGCAGAATTTTACATTAGTTGCATTCTGGGATCAGGCCCCCTACCGTGTTCCATTGACTCCTCCCAGTGGGTGCCCCCCTCACTCCCAGTCTGACAAGCAGGTGTGTCTGTCTCTTTAGGAACGACTCAATCGCCGGAGCAGGAAGCTCAGAAAGGACATTGCAGAACTTCAGCGGCTCAAGGCTCAGCAGGAGAAGAAACTGCAGGCTCTGCAGGTGGGTTTTTCGGGTTCCTGGGAAGGACTCCCTGGAGTGTTCTCAGGAGCCCTTACTTAACTATTCTGGACATCTGTCTGTCCCTGGAACAGCCTGATGTGGGCAGATGGTCGTGGAGGCTGAAAACCCGGGTGTTGGCCTTGGCGTCAAAGTTTGCTGGTTGAGTGACCTACGCAAGTTAAGCCCTCTGATCTTTATGTGACTTACATGTTAAATGAGAACCAGTCCTGCTCTGCCTGGATCACAGTAGGGATCAAAGGAGACCAGTGTCTCGTCAACTGAAAATTACTACACAAGCCATAGGCCTCTGTTTCTTTTTATTTTATTTTATTTTTTTTTTGAGATGGAGCCTTGCTCTGTCGCCCAGGCTGGAGTGCAGTGGCACGAACTCCGCTCACTGCAAGCTCCGCCTCCCGGGTTCACGCCATTCTCCTGCCTCAGCCTCCCGAGTACTGGGACTACAGGCACTTGCCACCACGCCCAGCTAATTTTTTCTATATTTTAGTAGAGATGGGGTTTCACCATGTTAGCCAGGTTGGTCTCGATCTCCTGACCTCGTGATCCGCCCGCCTTGGCCTCCCAAAGTGCTGGGATTACAGGTGTGAGCCACCGCGCCCGGCCGCCATAGGCCTCCATTTCTGTCTCTGACAGTCTACCTTTCTATTCCTCTTGGTCACATGGCATCTGTAGATATTCAGAGAGTGAGGTGGAAAGGTGAGGTGTCCCTGCCTTTATGAGAATCAAAGCTGCTTCTGCTATACCTGTGACACACAGAGGCAACACCATGAGGGCAAGAGGACTGAGGAATCAGCATTCCTGCTCAGACATTCAGAGACTGTGAAGGGCCAGGAGGGAGCCACCTGACACTGAGTCTTAGGGAGCCCCTTTCCTGTAGTTTCAGGTAGACCACGGGAACCACAGGCTGGAGGCTGGGCCGGAGAGCCAGCACCAAACCAGGGAACAGCTGGGTGCCCTCCCTCAGCAGTGGCTGGGCCAGCTGGAGCACATGCCAGCAGAAGCGGCCAGAATCCTTGACATCTCCAGGGCAGTAACACAGCTCAGAAGCCTGGTCATTGATCTGGAAAGGACGGCCAAGGAATTAGACACCAACACACTGAAGGTGCATACCCTGAGGCCTTCCCCAAGGGCTGGGATTCTCCCCGATAGGAGGCAGCCCATCTGCATCACCCTTCTGGGAGGTGTAAGAGGGAGGGGCCTGTGTGATATGTGGTGACTTGTGGTAGATGTGGCTTGTTCCAGGCTACAGAGTGCTGCTGCAGCAGAATGGGCACAGAAGAGGGGTGTTGCTATGTTCCCCCAGTTCTCAAGGTGGCACCCCAGAGTGGCCTCCAAGAGTGAATTGGGAAAGGAATTTGGAGGTGATAGGAACCTGAGAACCAATTATGATTCTCACTTTTTCTCTCTCCTAGAATGCTGGTGACTTACTGAACAGGTACGAGCTGTCCCTTCTTCTTTCCCACATGTGCATATAAACCCACACAACACAGACATGCACAGAGGTCAAGGAGACCCACTGCTCCGTTAGCTTTTGTATCTTGATGCTACATGGCCAATGGAAGAGCCAATGGAATATATGAATACATATTAATCTATGAAAGATTTCTTTGTTTCTAGGAGTGCTCCACAGAAATTAGAGGTTATTTATCCCCAGTTGGAGAAAGGAGTCAGTGAATTGCTTCTTCAGCCCCCTCAGAAGCTCTGACCTGTTCATCCCTGGGACACCTCACTTCAGGCTCACCTCAGCCTCCTCTCTCTCCTTCCTCCAACCTGTCCAGGCCCCCACTGGGTCTACCCAGTGCATCTTCGGGCCTGCCAGCTCCTGAACATGTCACCATTTCTTCATGTCCACAGTCATCACCTGATGCCTGACCCTCTGACTCTTGGACGATAGCCAGCCTCCTTCCAGGACAGGCTCATGCTTGGGGCTGCCACTGTGGAGGTCGGGGCCCATGGTCTCCAGGAGCATTTGTGAAATCTCCATTTTGCCTGTAAACTGATGGTAGTGCCCATCTCTCACAATCTCATTCAAATAGGATCCTCCAGGCCTCTGAATGGCCCGAGCTCATCAGCAGTGACACCACCTCACATGTGGAGCCCAGCTGAGTTCCTGCAGTACTTGTTGTCTGTACCACTCACCTGGCACTTATTTATTATTGTTGTGGAAGACAGACTCAAAGACAGCCTCCCTTCGTGATCCTCACCTCTTGGAATTCATGCCCTTGTTTGGTCCCCTCCCCTTGAGTGTAAGTGGGATCTGTGACTTGCTTCTAATGAATGGAATAAGGCAAAGGTGATAGGGTGTCACTCTGGCAACTGTGTTGCATTGTATAGAACTCCTCCTTGCTGGCCCACCCTTTTAGAGCCCCTCCTAGGAGCCAAGAGCAGCTTCCAGCCAACAACAAGCAGAGGCCCTCAGTCTTGTGGCTGCAAGAACCTGAATTCTGCCAACAACCCGAGTGAGCTTGGAAGCAGATTCTTCCCCAACTGAGCCGGATAAGAACCTAGTCCAGCCAACACCTTGATTATAGTCTTGTGAGTACCTAAGCTGAGGACCCAGTGAAGCTGTGCCAAAATTTCCCACCCACAGAAACAGTGTGACAATAAATGTGTGTGTGTTTTTTTGTTTTCTGTTTTCGTTTTTGAGATGGAGTCTCACTCTGTTGCCCAGGCTGGAGTGCGGTGGTGTGATGTCGGCTCACTGTAACCTCTGTCTCCTAGGTTCAAGCAATTCTCCTGCCTCAGCCTCCCTAATAGCTAGGGATTATAGGCGCCCGCCACCACACCCGGCTAATTTTTTGTGTTTTTAGTAGAGACAGGGTTTAACCATGTTGGCCAGGCTGGCCTTGAACTTCTGACCTCAGGTGATCAGCCCACCTTGGCCTCCCAAAATGCTGGGATTACAGGTGTGAGCCACCGCGCCTGGCCATGTGTTGTTATAAGGCAGTAAATTTGTGGTAATTTTTGTGGAGTAATGGATAATGAATACAATTGTATATTAGTCATTTTTGTATAAGCCTCACTTCTTTGGGTGAGCAGGGATCATATTCTGTCTGTGTCCTCATGTCTAGAACAGTGTCTGGCTCATAGCTGGTGTCCAGTAAAATTTTAAATGTATGTATAAGTGAACTAATAAGAAAGCATAAGGAAGGGCTCTTCTCAATCCTCTGATTAAAAAGAGCCATCAATTACCTTATAATCAGTATTTATTGAGCCTTTGCCAAAGTAGTCAATACCATACTGAGAGGTATAAGGAATAAAACATGGCCACAATTATAAAACAAGCCACGTGGTGGTGCAAAGAGTGAAAACTACAGGGTCAGACTTGAGTTTAGGTCTTGGTCCTGACACCTAATGCCTCTGTAACCTTGGGCAAATTACTTAGCCTCTCTGAACCTCTGTACTCCCCCCTCTAAAATAAGGGTTATGGTACCTGTGGCCTGGGATTGTTGTCAAAATTAAATACATGCTGAGTGTCTGCTAAAGTGTCTAAAACGTAAACATTCAAATATGTTCATTTTATCTTTTTTTTTTTTTTGGTGTATTCTGGCTTTATTGTTATTTTTTTTAAATTATACTTTAAGTTCTAGGGTACATGTGCACAATGTGCAGGTTTGTTACATATGTATACATGTGCCATGTTGGTGTGCTGCACCCATTAACTTGTCATTTACATTGGGTATTTCTCCTAATGCTATCCCTCCCCCCTCCCCCCACCCCAAAACAGGCCCTGGTGTGTGATGTTCCCCACCCTGTGTCCAAGTGATCTCATTGTTCAATTCCCACCAATGAGTGAGAACATGCGGTGTTTGGTTTTCTGTCCTTGCGATAGTTTGCTGAGAATGATGGTTTCCAGCTTCAACCATGTCCCTAAAAAGGACATGAACTCATCCTTTTTCATTTCATCTTTTTTTAAAAAAACCACTTCCCCTTTTGAAATGAAATATGGAATGATAAAAAAATTTTAAATAAATTCCACTTCACCATCCAGAAGTTTATAATTTAGCTGTGGAACTATGACTAAACAGCTACAGAATAAGAAGAGAGCGTGTAACTGCACTGAATTAGGTATCACAGAGGCTAAGTGCCCTGGGAATTCAGAGGAAAGAAACAGCGAGCCTGGGAAAGTCAGGGTAGGTTTTGTGGGGGAGGTGGGGATTGGACAAGTGGGAGAGGAAGGTGAGAACATTCTAGGTCACAATAACCACATGAATGAAAGCATAGAGGTAGGAAAAAGCCACGGTACCTTTGTAGGAGTGTGAGGAAACCAACCTGGTTAGGCTGGAATGTTCAGGAATGGGGAAGACGAGAAGTCAACAGGCTAAATGGATGACACCAAGACATAGTGAGGTTTCTGAGTCAGGAATGAAGGGAGAAGTGGTGTTTAATGAAAGCCAGTCTGGATCGTTTGCACAAGAAGGACTGGGACAGAGAGTTGGGGGCTGGAAGGAGAGGGGAGGAGAAAGAGCCTAGTGCAGATGTTCAGAAAAAAGGTATAGTTATTTGGCAAGAAGCTGCAGATCTCAGAGAAACATAAGATCCCAAATCTAAGAGCAAGACATTAGCCAAGGAAAGAACACCCCTGAAAGTGACAGCTAGCAATTTCTGCATCCCAGATGGAGTTAATGTCACCAAGAGAACTTGTACTAGGAGTAGGAGGAGACTGACAGCCCCCAGGGTCTCTCCTCAGGAGAGAATTCAGTTATACTGAAGATGCCTTCCAGGCCCCCCTTGGTCCCTTCTGACGTCACCACAGATGATCAGGCCAGGGGTGGGAGTCTGAACAGCAGATAATTGGCCAAACAAGTCTATGAGGTCACCTGTCAAGGAAGACCTTATCAAAGAGGGACAATAGTAATTAACTGAAACCATCAGGTCCTCTCGGAGATTCAGAAGGGATCCATGATGAATGTGTCATTAGTTGGCAAGAAGAGCAGACACAGAGAGAATCAGAGATGCATGTGCAGCCACGATGTATTGGAACAGGTGTCCATGACCCATGCTGCTGAGAGGCCGCAGGAATATCCAGTCTTCACGCTTCTTTGGACTTCGAGCCCACTTCTTACCGGTAGGTCCTGGGCATACAACATACCACTGCATAATGGTCATGAGCACAGACTCGGGAGCCAAACCACAAGACTTCAAATGCTGGCTCTGCGACTTACTATCAGCTGATTTGAGACCAGCTGCTCGGCCTCCACATGTCTCAGTTCTCTTATGTACAAGATGGGCACCTACCTCCTGAGGTTGTTGTGAGGATTAAATGAGTTAATATATACAAATATTTATTATGGTGTTTGGCCAAAATAAGTTCTATGTGTGTGATTGTTATCAGCATTTTTGGAATCTCTAGTTCTTCCTACAGGAACGAGTGGTGACCCCACCAACTCGCTCACGCCTGACATAGCTTCTCACGGGGCCTGGCTCATGGTGGAAAATCGCATTTTCCTTATTTCTGCTTTTATAATAAACTTACCTATCATTTGAACTAACTTGAGTGGGTCTCAGTTCTTTGCAATAGAAAGGGTTGCTACCATGTAAGCTTTGAAAAATGAGGTGTAAACTGTGGATGTTACAAATGTGCAACAGTCCTTCAGAGTCGGAAAGGGTAGCTGGGACTCTGGGGCCTCTAGACTTGAGCACTTCCTGGGGAGGGAACCCAGAGTCCCACTTCCGGCCAGCAGAGCAAGGAGGTTCATTAAGCTGCCTTATCTTGAAGTTACCAGGTTTTAGGATCTATCCACTTCCCCTGTGCTGACTCCATACTCCGAAAGCAAGTAAACTTCAAGTAAAATTACCCTAGGGGAGAAGCAGGTACTGACAGACCAACATGAGTGTTTTCACTTATGAGCAGTTTTATTTCTCAGTGTAAGACATATAAATTGTTCTCACTGACATATAACTATTAAAAGAAAAATAAAATAAAACAATTTAAAAAGAAGAAATATAAATTGTATTTCTGAATCCAAGTCACCTGTGGGGGTGTAGCCAGCATTAAAATAATCGCCAGGACCCATGCAGGCATCTATCTCTGAATGAGGCAGTGCAGCATAGCAGTTAAGAGCTCTTGGGTCAGACATGGATGAACTGGTTGCATGATCTTGGCTCGTTACCAAGATAAAGTGACACAAGGTGTGTAAAGCTCCCGAGCTGCAAGCCAGGATCTTCATACACATACATTTTAGAGGATAATAGTCCTTTCAAAAGACACAGCTAAAGCCAATAAAAATAAACAAAAATAGGATCTACTTTTCTGGAATCACAGGTTTGGGTGCTTTGGATATGTTTTATCATTATATAGGCACTTGTGTGTGTCTGTATTTTTTTGAATATACAACATTTTAATGAGATACTGCACACTCCCAGGGAAAGCAATTCAATCTCTAATCCCTGGCTTCTGATCTCCACCTCTTTTCTACCTGCTGAGGTAAGGATGAACAACAGAACTTCTCAATTGAATTCTAAGCTTGGGCCTAAGCACGCTGTGCCCTCTGCCTTTGAGTTTGCACCCTGGATGGCTCCCCTCCTCCCAGGAGACCCAGTAGGGAGATGACAGAGCATTGTAGTTTACACTGAGCAGAGTAAACAGATGATGTTAAGGAGACTGTCAGTGAAGGGCATGATTATGCAAAATAAAATACAATAGTGACAAGAACAAGAAAATAAAACATGGTCACTCTTCCATCCCATTTCTCAGATGTCACTACAGTAGTCTCAATTACGGTAGTCTCAATTCTTTAGACTAAAGTTCATAGGTCATCCAACTTATGCCCTGGCCTCCTTCTGGAATTCTTTTACCTAGCAGTTTCTGAGCCCACAGCTGAGCTATTTGTGACCCATTTGCTCCCACTATCTCATTTCTTGACCTCAGATGGTAATCAACTGATCAGGAAGACAATTTCCCTAGGGTTGAGTGTGGTCCCTGGGTTATGATTTATGGCTATACCTTATGTCCTCCTGCCCCCAGGCCCTGCACCTTAATCTCACCCAGAAGTGGCAACACCAGGAGGAAGGAGGCAGTGAGTGGCGTCGGCTGGGGATGGCACACATCTGCCCATAATGACAATGGAGACAACCCAGTGCTCCAGAGTCACAGGTCATCCAGCCAGTTCTCTGCTGTTTCCTCTTCTTAAGATGCTTCTTCCCCTCTTTTCCCTATTGACCATAGGCATCCTTTAGACCACCCTTTTCAGAAAGCCATCCCCCACTCACCCTCTCCTTCCAGGCTGGGCTATGCCCCTTCCCCTGAACTCCCATAATGCTGGGGTTGGACTTCCCGTAACACCCACCACACTGTGCTGTAATTTCCTCTTTATGTTTCTCTGTCTTCCCAAGAGCTCTTTCAGATATAGAGCAGGTTTTTTTTTTCTCTATATTTTCAAGTCACCAGTGGCCACCACACTGCTTGGTTCATAGTTAACACAAACTAAATGGTTCTAGAGAATGTGATTACATGAACTCTAACATTATTGGAAGAAAACAAGATGAAAAGAGGTGAGATGCCTTGTTTAAAGTCATACAACTGGTTGACAGGCTGGTTCAAGAACCCAGGTCTTCTGACTTCAAATCCAGTGCTCTTTCTATGCAGCTACTTCTGTGCCAAGCACGGATGGTGGTGAGCAGAACTGGCAGCAGCCTGAGTCCCCAGGTACCCTGGCCATCCACTGGGCATTGGGGAAAGGACTTGATCAGTAGATTGAGAGTCCTCTCTTCTATCCCTTACCACCCGGCCCCATCCCATCTTCTAAAGCAGTCATTTCTATTCCAAGTCATCCAGGTGATTCAGCCAGGGATCAAGTCCACATGGTACTTGGGTTGATATGAGTCCTGTACTTAGAGGAGAGTAGGTAACTGCTCCTTCTCAGGAGCTCAGGGAGAAACTGGACCCTCGGCCCCAGAGCCCAAAGAAGGGAATGACCTTCCTAGTGAAGGAGGCAGTGAAGGTGTAGATGGGCTCTCGGGTGACAGCGTTGGTGAAGGTCACCCAGCCCACCTCATAGTCAAGAGACACCCTCACCTGCCGGGGCTGCTCCTTCAGGGTCAGCCGTGTGGGGAAGGAGCCCAGAGCCGAGACGAAGCCCCAAGCCAGCCTCACAGCCCACACCCCCTCCTCTGGCCGCAGCCGAAGCTCCCCCTTCCGCTGCACATCCTCGCTCACCACGCCCACGGTGCAGCTGCCCCCATGGGCCAGGTCTATACTCACCACCCACGTGTGTCTCCCCCCTGTGATGCCAGTGTGGGCCAGAACACAGGTGGCCCGGTCAAAACGCTGGGGGTTGTCTGGTGAGTTCTGCCATTTGTAGGAGAACTGAGCTCGCTGGTGGTCCTCGGACAAGAGGAGCTTGGGGTGGGAAGTCTGAGGGTCTAGAGAAATGTGAGCTGTGGGGATAACCAAAAGGGACAGATGTCAGCAGACATGCTATTACCTCCAAGGAAGGCATAGAAACTCCCCCTGGGCCCCTCCTGTTAGTGTTATTATTACCAAAAACATGTATAGTGCCTACGTGGGCCAACAGTGTGGAACCACCTGGGAACTTGTTAGATATACGCTCTCAGAATCTGCATCCTAACAAGATGCCCAGGTGATTTGCACACAGGTAAAGCCTGAAAAGCCTGCCTCAGAGGATGTGAAAGCTCTCGTTTAGTTCAGTGTGGTCCTCGGGAAAGCTCTTCTGCTCACCGCAAGTTGGTTGGTTTCCAAAGCTGTGCGTGCCAGCTTGGATCTCCTGGGGCTGATATACCACATTCTCCCCTCCTCCCATCTCTATCCCACAGTGCAGCGACATTTCTCCCTTCAGTCCAAACTTCATGATTCCTCCCTGTTTTCCTCCCAGGGCACTGGTGACTCATTTACAGTCTTCCCTCCTGGCAGGCTCTCTGGCTCACCCCTGGGTTATTCACTCTGCCTCAGTAATTCTGAAACTGTCAGAGTCTGAGGACCACTTTTTACCACCAAAAACTGCTGCAGAGCCTTGCGTTTTGTTACTTTTAGTATTCATAAATTGAGAAGCTTCCATAAATTTAGGTCCATCTGTGGGTTAGAGAACCCCCTCCAACAACTCCGTGACTCCCAGGGTCTTAGGCTGGTTGATTGAGAAATGACAGCCTTGAAGGGGTCCATTCTGTTCATTTTTTTCCCACCCACAGGCCGCCCTCCTTCTGTCATCTGTGAAATGACATCTGAGAGGAAGCAGGGGTTCCTTACGTTCTAAAGAGGTGATTATAAACCCAGATCAAAGTCCCCTTTATCCAGAAAGCATTCCCAGATGGACTTTATCCCATTCTGCATTAATCTTTCTATCTACTCGACATGCGCAGATCAGGATGTGAGCTTCATACCACGAATGTAGTATGTGTATGTGCTTGTCCTTTCTTCATGTTTCTCCTGAGAGCCTTACAAACAATGTGACACACACACACACACAACCTATATATACACACATGTATTATATACACACACATATGTGTATATATAATATATATGATGTGTATATGTATCCATGGGTGTTTGTTATGACTATTGTCATAGTCATAACATAGTCATAGTGCAAATCCTGCAAAATTTTCTCTCCTTTCCGAGGACTTCTCATTCTCTCCCATCCTGACATAGGCTCCTTACCTGGCTCATAGTCCAACTCAAAGCATAGTTTTTCTGTAAAGAAAATAAACCAGGATGAGATTTTATTAGTCTTACAAAACCATCAGACACTTAATGATGAGAAAACTGAGGCCAAGAAGAGGGAAGGGACAAGAAGAAGAATGTAAGCTGGAATCCTCTAGACCAGTGGTTCCAAGCTTGCATCAGAATCATCTGGAGCTCTTGTTAAAACACATCTGTTTCAGATTCAGGTGCTCTGGGGTGGAGCTGAACATCTGTATTTCTAACAATTTCCTGGGCAATGCAGCTGCTGCTGCTGGTGGGAGCCCCACTGCCCTAGCCCTGATCAAACAGGGACCATGACTGCCTTGCTCACCTCTGTACCCGCAGAGCCCAGGACATAGTAAATGCTCAAGAAATATCTGCTTAGTGAATAGAGAAATGGGTTCATTTATTTATTATTCCACTTGGAAATAATTTTGGGGAGAGTCAAAGGTCAGCCTTTGATTAGAGTGAAATTTCCTTCACTGACAGGTCACTGGAAGTATTTGCAGGAAATGGAATTATGGGAAAAGTCCTTCTAGGGTGACATAACTGTGGGTGGGTCATTTCAAAATTGGTGTCATCATTCATTCTGTCATGGTTAGTGAGGAGGTGGTTGGCAGAGAGCCATGTCCCATTCCTGACTCTCATCCAAACCCTCCCCCACACCCTACCACCACTCCCTGTTCCGGAAAAGGAAGTGGAGCACAGTCCCCGTAGGACCGTCTAACTCTGAGCCAGACTAACAGAAAGAAAGTGAGAAGGAAGGAGGGACGAGCCAGATACCACAGGGTCAAGATAAATACTGTTGTTGGCTATTAATTAACAATGTTCATCATCAAAAACTTATCACATATTACAAATGTTGCTGTGGGATTTTTTAACTTATTAAGAATGATATATTGTTAATCATTATCTTTCATATTGCTTAATGACCACTAATCAGATTTGTTGAATTATTTTAAAATCAGTTTAACTTTTTCACCAGAAATATTCACCTTTATTCTCTTTCTTCATTGTCACAATATCCTAATAGGCAGATTTTATAAAAATCTGCAAATAAGGAAATCAAGGCACAGGAAGGAATAAGGCTTGCCAAAGTCACACCTTTCAGCAGTGGAGCGTGGAGGCCACTCCTAAACCCAGGCTTCATGGCCACCTGCGCTCTGTGGAGGCCTGGGGTTCTCTTACCCAGAAACATCTTCATCTCCCTCTGCAGCGGGAGGGCCTGCTGGGGAAAGTCCCGAATCCTCTGGCCCAGCTCTGGCGACACAGCCACCGGTTTCCGGCACTTTCTGGTTTCACATCTAGGGGCACAGAAATGGCTGGGTCTGGGAATTATCATCCTTAATAATGTCTCCAGACTCAGCTGGTCATCTTCTAATAGGGCATGATGGCGCTAGTTCCTGCAGGCAGACGTACTTCCTCTAGGATGAATCCCACTGCCCATTTTTGGGCATCTATGGATATACCTGAGAAGGCATTTGGGTATATAGAGGTTTATATGTAAATTTGTATCCTTAAGTGAGAATGTTATATACCTGTGTGGCAATAACTAGGCATGCAGTACATGTATGTATATTTATATGGAAAAAGAAAAGAGAGAAACTATATTGCTTACCTTATTAGAGTGCTTCTGATGTCCTAGGAGAAAGAGATACCAGAAATTCAGTTTCCAGCTTCTCCTTTCCATTTTTCTTTCCTTTCTTTTTCTACTTTTATTTTATTTATTTTTTATTTGCTTGTTTGTTTGTTTGAGAAAGGGTCTCACTCTGGTGCCCAGGCTGGAATACAGTGGCGTGATCATGGCTCACTGCATACTCAACCTCCTGGGCTCAAGGGATCCTCCTACCTCAGCATCTTGAGTAGCTGGGACTACAGGTGTTTGTCACCATGCCTGGCTAATTTTCTTTTTTTTTTTTTTTTTTTTTTGTAGAGATGGGGTTTTGTTATGTTGCCCAGGCTCCTCCCACTTTTCTTATGACTGGAAAAGACAAAATATATTTCTAGCCCTGGACAGGAAAAGGATACCAGATGCATAGAGTCACAGAGCATTAGGACTCACCCATCTCTGTGGATCAGAGCCCAAAGCCTTTATTTTTTAGATAAAGATGGTGAAGTGACCTTCCCCTGCTCACTGGAGGCAAAGTAAGTCTCATACCAAGGTCTCCTGTTTCTCAGTCCTAAGAGCATCATTCTAAGTCATGCTGCCTTTCCAATACTTTGTGGGGACCCCAATACCTCTCCTCCAGTGTGAGGAAGTGAAATAGACCAGGACAAACTTCCTGACTGGTGGTTGGTGACATTTAGGTTATAGAGAATGGTTTGCAACTTACTTAATACTTTTTCAAAGTGCTACTTTCACTTCCATCTTACTGTTGGATCCTCACAAAAGCCCTGTGAAATATTTAAGGAAAGTATCTTCCCTATTTGGCAGATGGTGGGACGGAGAGGTGGAGACCAGAGAGCAAAAAGTGACCAGGGAACTCTTGGAAAAGCATGAACTAGAATTGAGACTTTCTGGTCCTCTGACCCACCTCCCATCTGGGATACAGAGATGTGTGAGTCAGGGAGACATGGCTTAGGCAAGACAAAGATGCAAGAGTCACAGGACAGCACAGGTGGGGCAGGGTTCCGGTTCAGGCCTCACCGTCAGGAGCTCCCTTGCTGGCCTCTCATTCTTCTCCTCCAGTTCTTCAATAAGAGCACTAAACCGGCAGATCTCCCCAGCAACCAGCAAATCAAATTCATCCCGTTGCCTCAAGATGTCCCCATCCTGGCTCTCCAATTGTGCTAAGAGGATGCTCTGCTGTTCCTCTAGAAACTTCCTCAGGTGTGCGAACTCAGAAATCACCTGTTGTCTCTTGGTGGACACCTGAGTCTGAGGGGGCAGGAGGCAAGCCCAAGAGAAAGTTTGCTTCCTCCTTCTCCCTCTGCTCCTCTTCCTCCCCTGTCCCCAGGTAGATCTGGAACTGTGTCATGGTTTCCTTTTCACTTGTCATCCCATTTCGAGAAGCAAGACTCACAGTGTTGTCTCAGCACCATCTGCTGCAGCTTCTAAAAGGGGTAGGGCTTACAGGAGGTGTAGGAGGAGGTGGTGGGGACACCCTACCTCCTGTCTTGTATGAAAAGCACATTATGTGCACAGCCCTGAGCTACTTTACAGTCACAATCTCATTTAATGCTTACAGTAATTCAATGAGGTCATGATGATTTTTACTCTCCATTTTACAGATAAGTAAACTGAAGTTGGAGAGTTGCTTGAGGTCATAGAGTTAGTGTCAGAGTCAGGATTTAAACTCATAATAACTTCAAAGCCCTATAATCTATGTTGCCTCAGTTTCAGGAAGACACTGGACCCTGAGGAAGGGGAGGAACCTGGGGAAGGGGTGATGACTTACCAGGAGGACTTGCATCCTTTTATTTTCTCTTGACTGGATTTCTTGAATCTCCTCTCTCTCTTTTCTTAGACATTTAAGACACTTATGGATTTGTTCCTGGGGAGAAGGAACATAAAATACTCAAGATGGAAAATGATTTGTTCAGGTTTGTCTGGTCATCTGACCCTCTGCCTCCAGGAATGAAATGGCCCCAGGAGAGGAGTCCCTTCCTTAGCTGACAATCCCCGAGCCTTCACCACCCTGACAGCTTACTCCCTTTGGGTCTTCTTCCTCTTGATTTGTCTCTAAGACTTTGGATCAGGACTTTCCCCCTTTATCCTGTGCCATTAGAGGCTGTGACTTGGTTTTCCCACTTGAGTCTTTCTTCAGGTTTAACATTCTATTGTGTTTTGCTTCGGGTAAGTGGTATCTGGGGTCTGTACTGAGTTTGATATGCCCCGCACTGAAATCATTCTGAGTTTCCGACTCATCCCAAAGGAACATGTGTAAATAACAACCCTCCCTTGTTACTGAAATCAATTATCTGTGTATGACTCCAGAGGGGAGAAGAAACTTGGGTAATGTAAAAATAATTGATAAATTGTTTTCAAAATTATTTGCTCCAGAATAGAGTTAGGAACAGGTACACACACGATAAATATGTGTGTTCAAAGATATATTAGAATTCTCACTATCAACTGCTAATTAACTAATTAAGACATCCACACACAGACTTGTACTAAAACATAATTCATAAGCACAATGCATAAACAACTAAAACCAGCACACATTCATTTAATGACAGATAAAATGGCATGCCACATACATTTACCCAGCCTGAATATATGTAAACACGAATTTATTCACAAACAGGAGCTCTCAGTTACACTTACACACTCAAATATATACATACTCAGACTCCCATCCAAACACACCAGACACACTTCTAAACATGCAAACATTAACACATATACACACTGTTTGTACAATCATTCCCTCAAATGCAAACTTCAGACACACCTGATCCATGGCACAGACACACACACTCATGTTTGGTCACTCATTCATTCAACAAGTACTTGTTGAACTCCCGTTATCTGTTGGCCACAAGTGAACACAGAACACACTCAAAAAAACATAAAACATAAACACAATTTTCCATGCCTGGGTCTATTGCCTGGGTGATCATGTAAGTAAGGAGAAAGAATTTGGCCTCCGGGTGGCCTAAATAATCCACAACTCTGCTGTTTCTCTTAGTCCAGTCCAGTCCACCCTGGGATCCCCCAGTTCCCCTTTCCTACCCTATAGGGAGCCGCTGCATCCTCCAGGAAGCGCATGGTGTGGGTAGCGTGCTCCCCAGCCTCCCGGCACACCACGCACAACTGCATCTCATCATCCTCACAGAAGAAGTAGATCTTCTCTCCGTGCTCTTGGCAGACATCCTCCTCTCCCAAACCCAGTGTGGACACCAGCTGGAGGCGCTCAATGTTCTCCACCACGTTAGCCAGCTGCCAGTTGGGCCGGAAGCTCCCAGGACGGAAGGGTTCTTTGCAGAGTGGGCAAGTAGGGGACTCCTCCAGGTCTGGGCCTGGTATCTCACAGTAGCGGGTAAGGCAGGCCCGGCAGAAGTTGTGGCCGCAGTCGATAGTGACCGGCTCCCTCAGGGTACCCTGACAGATGGGGCAGTTGACTTCATCTGCCAGGCTGGTCACAGAGGCAGCAGAGGCCATGCTGGTCCTGCTGCTATGGCTTCCTCAAGGCCACTCTCTCTGCTTGGCCACGGGGGAAGGGCTGGGTCACACACTCACACACCCACACATGCACATGGCTGGACACAGGCACATACTAAATATGCACCAGCACCCATATCGTCACACACTTGCATCTCTGGCAGCCAGGGTTCTATTCTCCTGCCAACAGCAGAGATGGGAAATAGCAGAGGAGAGGAAGGAAGAGGGGCTCACAGCATTTCAGAGGTGACCTTAGATGACCATAACCAGGGGCTGGCCATTCCTTTCTGCCCATCCAGAGACACTCACAGTAGAAGGAAAGTGGTGATATGTCAGCTGTCCACTGTCAGAAGAAATATTCTTTTGGGGGCAAGTGGGAGACTGGGTCACAGAGTGGAGATGCCATTCCAGCCTTTCTGCCATATGGCCAGCTGTCTCCAAAGAGATTGGAGGTATCAGCCAGCCCAGGGCTTGCCCATCAGCAAGCAGGAGAGTGTGGGGGCTCAGATAAGGTCCTTGTGCCAGGGTGTACACTGCACCAGCAACTTCAATGGTGATGCCTCAACTGGCCTGCTGCAGGCCTCAAAAGAGGCTGGAATATTCCCTATGATGGGGAGGAGAAAGAAAACTACTAACGGCCAGAATTTATTTACAATGACGGTACAACTTACATTGATACAAGCAATTTGGCCAGAATTTATTTACAATGACGGTACAACTTACATTGATACAAGCAATTTAAAAGTATGATCTTATTTCTGTGTCTGCTCTGCAACATCAGTGCTATTAGGATCTCCATTTCATAAATGAGAAAGCTGAGGCCCAGCCAGGTTATTCAGCTTGCCCTAGGCACACAAGTAAGAAGGTGAGTGACCATAAATAATTTGCTGTCAGATCTGTCTTCCGAGCAATGCTATTCAACATAAACGCAAAGTGAGCCACATATGCAATTTAAAATTTCCTAGTGGCCATATAAAAATAGTCTAAACAGGTGAAAGTAATTTTAATGATGTTATTTTATTTAGTCCTATATTTCCAAAATATTATCATTTCAATATGTGATCCATATAAAAAGTCATTAATAAGATATTTTACATTTTTAAATTTGTGAAAAGCCTTTGAAATCCGGTGTGTTGGCCGGGCGCGGTGGCTCACGCCTGTAATCCCAGCACTTTGGGAGGCCTAGGCGGGCGGATCACGAGGTCAGGAAATCTAGACCATCCTGGTTAACACGGTGAAACCCCGTCTCTACTAAAAATACAAAAAAATTAGCCTGGCGTGCTGGCCGGCGCCTGTAGTCCCAGCTACTCGGGAGGCTGAGGCAGGAGAATGGTGTGAACCCGGGAGGAGGAGCTTGCAGTGAGCCAAGATCGCGCTACTGCACTCCATCCCGGGAGACAGAGCGAGACTCCATTTCAAAAAAAAAAAAAAAGAAAAGAAAAAAGAGAAAAAGAAAAAGAAAAAAAAGAAATCCGGTATGTATTTTACATATACAGCATGCCGCCATTCAGACCGGCCACATTTCAGTGCTCAGTAGACACATGTGGCTGGTGGCTCCTGTATTGGACAAACTAGTTCCTGGGCTGCACTCGTGGCAGGAAGAGCAGAGATTGGATGGGAAGGGGAGGTAATAAAGTGATTAGAGTAAAAAGGGAGCAACCACAAGGGGCTAGGCTGATCACCCAGTGGGAGAATGGGGGAAGGCCTGGTTTTATCCACAGATGTGTGCATGGGTGAAGGACCGTGGCTGCAGATCTTGGTCTTGGCATGAGGTGTGGGAGGAGCGTAGGGCTTTAAGCCAGGAGACTGGGATCGTCCTTAACGTGATACTTTCTAGCTTTGTGACCTTTGGAAAGTCACTTTACATTTGGAAAGTCAGTTTACATTTCTTTCTCTGTAAAATGAAGGTAATAATGTTTGCCTAGAGGGTTATTAAAATTGAATGTAGTAATATAAAAATACTAAACCCTAGATAAATGTGGTTGAAACTGATTATCTGACTAATCGTTTTCTAATGTGTATCAACATAAATCATTTGCATTATGGTTTCTTGCCTTCTCCCCGCTACAGTAAAAATAAATAAATAAATAAATAAATAAATAAATAAATAAATAAATAAAATAGTCCAGTGTTACCCGAACCCCAAAGGGGACTGTTGTGCCAGGTGGTGGGGGATTTGGGACCGTAGGAGGGGCCACCATGGGCAGATGTGGTGAGGGAGGAAAGGAGAGCAGAAGAGGGGACCCGATGAGCAATCCTTACACCCTACCTGCAGTGTCGAAACAGCGTCCCGCCCACACACTTCCGGCAGAATCTCCCGAAGTCCACACCTCTCACTCCAGCCTGGACTTTGATGCTGTGGGCACGCCTCAGAGCCAGAAGTTTATGGCTCCCACCTGCTCAATCTGACAGGAAGCTTCTGCTCCCCAGTTCTCCCCAGCCACTGTGGTCTACAGATTCCAGGAAACCCATCCCCCTGTGACCTCATGGTGTGCTCTGTTCTCCACCCTAGGGACCAGAAGGAGCCAGGAGTAAAGAACTGGCTTACTTGGCCGCCACTGGGAAATTCTGGGTAATTCGAGACGCCCTGGAATTTGGACCCACTCCGCTGATAGGTGGTGGCCAGGGTTCTAGGGAACACAAGAGGCGGAGCCAGGTGGCTTCCCTGTGCTGGCATTCTTGCCTCTCTCTCTCTTTCTCTCTCTCTGTCTCTCAGCCTTGCAGCCGTTTCCCTCTGCGATTCATGTAAGTGTGACTCGATTTCAGGGAAAGGGAACTCGCGTGGGCTGAGGAGACCGGAGTGGACGGGCTGGGGAAGGCACCGTGATGCCCGCAACCCCGTCCCTGAAGGTGGTCCATGAGCTGCCTGCCTGTACCCTCTGTGCGGGGCCGCTGGAGGATGCGGTGACCATTCCCTGTGGACACACCTTCTGCCGGCTCTGCCTCCCCGCGCTCTCCCAGATGGGGGCCCAATCCTCGGGCAAGATCCTGCTCTGCCCGCTCTGCCAAGAGGAGGAGCAGGCAGAGACTCCCATGGCCCCTGTGCCCCTGGGCCCGCTGGGAGAAACTTACTGCGAGGAGCACGGCGAGAAGATCTACTTCTTCTGCGAGAACGATGCCGAGTTCCTCTGTGTGTTCTGCAGGGAGGGTCCCACGCACCAGGCGCACACCGTGGGGTTCCTGGACGAGGCCATTCAGCCCTACCGGGTAAGAAGTGTAGCTTTACCTAGGGCCTGTTTGGGGCAGGATGATGTCCTGTTATGAGGGGAGGAAATCGGGCGGGGATCTGGATGAAAGGCTTCCACATCAGGGAACCCTAAGGTTACAGGGACTTTCGAGGCATTCCCAGACTGAAGGCAGATAGGGCTCCACTTGGATGTGTGGTAGTTCCTGGTCTGGGGGGAACTTCAGCTCCAGCTCTCAGAGGACCCCACAGAGGTGGAGTGCAAAGAACTGTAGCCTTGGCTTCACTCACTATGGAAAGAAAGCTCCAATGCCGAGTGGGATCTTCTGCAGATTATGGGCAGGGTAAACTTGTTCTCCCAGGATCCAGACTGGAAATGGGGTTTATAGGGCCCTGACTGCCAGGGCGCAGAGGGGAGGGAGGAGCTGGGAAGGGGAACCTGCTAGCACTGCTCTTCTTCTTGAGAAAGGGAGGGTGGCAGTAGTCCAGAATTGTGAGAATTCCCCATCTGGCCTTGGGGCACTTTCCTGTCAGCCTCTCAGATCTCTCTCTTGTCATCCAGTCACCAGGTCTGGAAGTGGTTACCTTAGAAACATCTCCCAAATCTTTAATTCTGCCTTATCCTCACAGCCAGGTTCTCCCTATCTCTTGCGCAGACTTTGCAGTCTCCATGGCATTTCCTGTCTCCATTCTCACCCTTTCCAGTCACCTTCCAATCTGCTGGGAGACAGATCCTCCTAAAACACAAAGTCACTCATCTGCACAAAATCCTCCCATGTATACCTAGTGCCCAAAGAAAGTCCAAGGTCTTTAGCAAGACATTCAAGGCCCTTTGCAGTCGGGATCCTTCCTCCCTGTCCGGCCTCATCGCTCAGCCTCCCTCCTCAAGGCACCACGTGTCTGGCCAGACTGAGCTGCACTTGCTGTTTTTTCCTGAGTTGTCTTATTCATTCCTGCTTCCAATACTTTTTGCACATAGTCTCTTCCTCCTAGAATACTCTTCTCCCTTCCTCCCACCTCTCTCTCTGTTTTTAAGTATACAATTCAGGGGCACTAAGTCCTTTTCTTTTTTTTTTTATTATACATGTTCTGGGATACATATGCAGAACGTGCAGGTTTGTTACATAGGTATATACGTGCCATGGTGGTTTGCTGCACCCATCAATCCATCATCTACATTAGGTATTTCTCCTAATGCTATCCCTCCCCTAGTCCCCCAAGCCCTGACAGGCCCCGATGTGTGATGTTCCCCTCCCTGTGTCCATGTGTTCTCATTGTTCACCTCCCACTTATGAGTAAGAACATGTGGTGTTTGGTTTTCTGTTCCTGTGTTAGTTTGCTGAGAATGATGGTTTCCAGCTTCATCCATATCCCTGCAAAGGACATGAACACATCTTTTTTATGCCTGCATAGTATTCCATGGCATATATGTGCCATATTTTCTTTATCCAGTCTATCATTGATGGACATTTGGGTTGGTTCCAAGTCTTTGCTATTGTGAACAGTGCTGCAATAAACATATGTGTGCATGTGTCTTTACAGTAGGATAATTTATAATCCTCTGGGTATATACCCAGTAATGGGATTGCCAGGTCAAATGGTATTTCTCATTCTAGATTCTTGAGGAGTTGCCACACTGTCTTCCACAACGGTTGAACTAATTTACACTCCCACCAACATTGTAAAAGCATTCTTATTTCTCCACATCATCTCCAGCATCTGTTATTTCCTGACTTTTTAATGATCACCATTCTAACTGGTGTGAGATGGTATCTCATTGTGGTTTTGATTTGCATTTCTCTAATGACCAGTGATGATGAGCTTCTTTTCATAGGTTTGTTGGCCACATAAATGTCTTCTTTTGAGAAGTGTCTGTTCATATCCTTCACCTACTTTTTGATGGGGCTGTTTGTTTTTTTCTTGTAAATTTGTTTAAGTTCTTTGTAGATTTTGGATATTAGCCCTTTGTCAGATGGATAGATTGCAAAATGTTTCTCCCATTCTGTAGGTTGCCTGTTCACTCTGATGATAGTTTCTTTTGCTGTGCAGAAGCTCTTTCATTTAATTAGATACCATTTGTCAATTTAGGCTTTTGTTGCCATTGCTTTTGGTGTTCTAGTCATGAAGTCTTTGCCCATGCCTATGTCCTGAATGGTATTGCCTAGGTTTTCTTCTAGGGTTTTTATGGTTTTAGGTCTTACGTTTAAGTCTTTAATCCATCTTGAGTTAATTTTTATTTCAGGTGTAAGGAAGGGGTCCAGTTTCAGTTTTCTGCATATGGCTAGCCAGTTTTCCCAACACCATTTATTAAATAGGGAATCCTTTCCCCATTGCTTGTTTTTGTCAGGTTTGTCAAAGATCAGATGGTTGTAGATGTGTGGTGTTATTTCTGAGGCCCTTCTTCTGTTCCATTTGTCTATATGTCTGTTTTGATACCAGACATATTTGATATCATATACTACAGCCTTGTAGTATAGTTTGAAGTCAGGTAGCATGATGCCTCCAGCTTCGTTCTTTTTGCTTAAGATTGTATTGGCTATGTGGGCTCTTTATTGGTTCCATATGAAATATAAAGTAGTTTTTTCTAATTCTGTGAAGAAAGTCAATGGTAGCTTGATAGGGATAACACTGAATCTATAAATTACTTTGGGCAGTATGGCCATTTTCACAATATTGATTCTTCCTATCCATGAGCATGGAATGTTTTTCCATTTGTCTGTGTTCTCTCTGATTTCCTTGAGCAGTGGTTTGTAGTTCTCCTTGAAGAGGTCCTTCACATCTGTGGGCACTAAGTCCTTTTCTCTCCCTCTCTATTCAACTGGAAATTTATCTTTCAAGGCACATTGTAAATGTTTTCTGCTTTCCAAACCTTCCCTTAGGCCTACAGGCAGAGCTGACCTCTGTGTTCCCATCTCACTGTGTGTACCCCTGGACTATTGCATTTATCTATCTGTATTTTAATCACTTGACATTGACTTCTTCCTGAGATGGTGGTCTCTTTAGGGCAAGGACTGGGCCTTTTCCACCTTTGAACCCCTCAGCACTCAACAGTGTGCCCAGGATGTGATAGTTAATAATTGTGAGTTGAATTATTAATTCAGTCACCTCTATCCACCCATTCTTCTCCCCACAGGATCGTCTCAGGAGTCGACTGGAAGCTCTGAGCACGGAGAGAGATGAGATTGAGGATGTAAAGTGTCAAGAAGACCAGAAGCTTCAAGTGCTGCTGGTACAGGCCACGTCACTGGCTACCTTTTCCTTTGAAGGTTTTCTTAAGAGACTCTGGGGAAACCCGTTGGCTGGTATCTGTTTCCTGGCTGAAAAGAACTGACAAACTGTTCTCGTTCACCTTCCTGTGGCTGCACAAAGGCATTTGGGATCTCAGACCATGAGCACTAGAAGTGGTTCTGATGTCTTGCAATCCAAGATCCATCTTGTATATCACATTTTACAGAGCAGAAAACTTAGGACCAGAAAAGCAATGCTCCCAAGGCCACATAGCAAAGCTGAAGTTCATGAGGAACCTGGATTTCTTGACCCTTAATTCATTGTTCTTTCCATCCTAGTCTGTTTGCCTGAACACACCACCTTCAGATGGGAAGCTTGGGGTCAAAAACATATGTTAGTGTCGGGATTCTAGTCCTGACTACAGGCTGACCTTGAGGAGAGTAGGCTGATGGTGTGGCTACATCTGGATCCCTCACGCCTCTCTTTTCATGCTATAAAGTTATGGAGGAATCACAGTGTGAGGATTTCTGGTACCTTGACCAAGGAGAGAGTGTGGGGACAAAGCAACCTATCCACCATCCCTCAGCTCTCATCAACGTATGCCCTGTAGTTGGTGATTTCCACGGCTAAAACCAAAATTACACACTCTCCCACTAAGTTGTGTTGACTCCAATCACAACTTCCTTTTGCCTCTAAGAAATTATTACAGTCTTCCCCACCTAACTCTAAGAAGGCATAGTAGGGTTATGATGGTATTGTAGTTGTGGAAATATTTTTGAAAAGTTCAACATCATTCTGAGAGCATAATGTAGCATTATTATTAGAGTATCTAGCTAAGACAGTAGCACAGCCCTCATCATTGGTAAGTTCATCCTGAGACCTAACTACTTCTAGGCATATTAGTAAATGGAATGAGTCTTGGACCAGTTGCTCCCTATCCCTGTTAATCAATAATAAGTATATAGATGATCATCCTGGAAGCTATCTCTGAGCCCCTTCCTAACCATGTCTGCCTTTTATCCCTTGAAGACTCAGATCGAAAGCAAGAAGCATCAGGTGGAAACAGCTTTTGAGAGGCTGCAGCAGGAGCTGGAGCAGCAGCGATGTCTCCTGCTGGCCAGGCTGAGGGAGCTGGAGCAGCAGATTTGGAAGGAGAGGGATGAATATATCACAAAGGTCTCTGAGGAAGTCACCCGGCTTGGAGCCCAGGTCAAGGAGCTGGAGGAGAAGTGTCAGCAGCCAGCAAGTGAGCTTCTACAAGTGAGAGACACTTCACCACTTTGTAGGATAAGAGAGGGACTCCACGGGGAAGGGGGTGGGCACCATGCTTTGGGCTGGAGAGAGGCAGGAAAGGGAAGTGGAGAGAGGTTAACGGGGTGCAGATCCAGAGGGGCTGGAGACTTGCCCAAGTCATACACTGTGGTCATGTTAAGGGGTTTAGGGTCAGACAGTCTTGGATTTGAATGTTGGCTCTTCCAATTGTGTGACTTGAGTGAGTCTCTTAGCCTCTCTAAACATGGGGACAGCAATAGCACCTCCCTCATAAAGTTATTGCAAAATTATAAGAAACAATCCATAAAAAATGCTTGGCATGATTCCTGATATACAGAAAGAACTCAATAACTGGTGTCTGCTATGGTTATGAATATGTGATCCTGGCTCACATCAGGTCCAGCTGATAACTGAAGGCAGGCCCCTGCTCTCTACCACCTCCTAATCATTGCAGACACAACCCACCCCCACGATAAGGCTGAAACAGGGAAACCAGCACAAATGAACTGACTACAGAAACCCAAATTAGTAAGAAAACATGATGTAAAAGAACAATCTAATGAGTAGGTAATTAAACAGGACAACTCTCTGCAGAAGGAGAGTTTTGAGTTCATATTTTAAGGGAAAAGTGATGTACAGAATCCCTGACAGGAAGGACTTATGGAAACTAAATGTATGTTCTTGTCTTTCTTTTGCAGGATGTCAGAGTCAACCAGAGCAGGTAGGGCCCACTCCCCGGTCCTGCCTCCTTTTACTCAACATCAAGACTGAATGGGAAGGGGCAGGGGCACTTACTGCCACCCACTTTGCCAGGAAAGCAAAGGCACTCTGGCAGACACACTGTCTCATTCAACTGTGCACAAACAGTCCAAACTCACTAAAGATTTGCGTTCTAAAGGTTCATTTTTAAATTGATTGGTTGGTATTGGGGACACATTTTTTCCCCTAGAAGTGAAGTTATAAATAATAATCATGTTTTTAGGTTGATCCAGGAACATTTATTTAATCTATGAAATTATTAGTACTTGAGTCAGTATCTAACACCATTTAAAATGTAATTTAAAGGGGGAATACTTTCTGTAGACTATGATAAGCATGGAAACCAGGAATACCAGCCTGTTCTTTCATTCATTCATTTTTTACACACATCTCTGGTTTCCTTCAGAATTTTCTAATGCTACTGTAAAAGGACAGCCACCAGGAGCCAGTGGCATTGTAAATGCATGGCCCTTTCCTTCCCTGTCTGCTATAAGCATTAGCAGTCTGCACTGAGATGAAGAGAGGTGTAGTGACTAGGGAACAATTGTCACGTGCTTTGTGCCTATTCCCGTGCAGGGAGGATAAACCCAGGGTCCATGAATCAGGAAGTGTCTCCAAACATGCTTTTCAAAGAGCATTAGAGGTTTAGATCTAGAAGGGCTTGGAGGTCTTCCAGTCTGAGGAAGAAACTGAGACCCAGGGGGTGAAGAGTCTTCAAGGTAATGCAGCAAGTGTCTAATGAGGACTGAGCTGGGACCAGAATCAGGAGTTTTTTTCATTGCAATATATATTTTCGTTGATCCTTTTTTTTTCTTCCCTTCTAGCCTCTTTTCCTTTACAAATAGCAGCATACACAAGGGTAGTTTAAGGCTGTTTTCAAATGGTACCCTGTTGCCCTCTAGAGACCAAAAGGGGTAATGATCTCTGTCCCTCAGCCCCTACAGAACCAAACATTCTCCTAAAGGGGCTTACCTCCAATTCTTGAGAAGTGATTATCCTTAGTTCCTCTTAGGTTTAACTGAAATGCCTACTATTTTAGTAACTACACATTTCCAGCAAAAGTAAAGAAATGATACTCAATTTCATTATTCACCACAGACGCCAAGATCATTCTTTAGTCTGATTTTAGCCTCACGTGGTCTCACCCGAACATTTGTTTTTGGAATTTGGACCTAACTGGTTACCAAACCTGTCTGCAGGTGTGAGATGAAGACTTTTGTGAGTCCTGAGGCCATTTCTCCTGACCTTGTCAAGAAGATCCGTGATTTCCACAGGAAAATACTCACCCTCCCAGAGATGATGAGGATGTTCTCAGGTAAAGGGGAAGGCGCCACAGTTTTCCCCAGTCCCATTAGCTGCCCTCCTGTCTTCCACCCATCTCCATCCTTCTCTGCCCTTGAAACCTGGCTCGAGACATCTTCCCTCCCCAGAGCCTTCCCTTAGTGATCTCAATTTATTCAGGGGCACTATTCCCAGAGCATCTCCTCCACTCCCTAAGGACAGGTGCAGGACTGAGAGTCCAGGAGGGTGAGGACCCTTCTCCTCCACTAGACCACAGCAGAAGCCAAGTCTTCTGTCCTCATCTTCACATTGTACTCAAGTCACCTTGCCCCTGGGGGTGCCTATAAGAAGTAATAAGTCACAGATCTCTCTTTCTATTTCTGCTTCCCTCAGAAAACTTGGCGCATCATCTGGAAATAGATTCAGGTAAACAGCTTGGGATTTGGGGAGTCATTCTTCCATTCATCCATTCAATCCATGGCAGCAAACAGAGCAATAAAATGCATGAATTCTGGAGCTTGATTGCTTGAGTTCTCGATTCCAGTTCTTGCTAGCTCTGAGACACTGGGCAAGTTATTAAGCCTCTGTCCCACAATATTTTCTTCATCAGTAAAATGAAAATAAAAGTACTGTACCTGTCCCATAAGTAGCTGTGAGGACAAAATAAATTAATACATGCAAAGAGCTTAGTATATTACCTGACTCATAGTAAGTGCTCAATTAATGTCATCTACTTGTGTAGATATTACTCGTTGAAAAATACTTATCAAGCCCTAGTTTTTTGAGAGCATTGTGCTGGGCTCTCTACTGATTTGAACAAAAAATGTGCAATTTTTTAAAAATCACATTTATTTTTAAATTGGTGCTTAATTTAGAAGTTGTTTCCATAAGCATCACCTCACTCACTCTGGTATAGGTAAGTGCTTTTCAAACTTAATATGCAGAAACGTCTCCTAGGGATCCTGTTAAAATGCAGATTCTGATTTAGTAGGGTGGGATGGGGCCCAATATTCTGCATTTCTAACAAACACCCAGGTGGTGGGGATGCTGCTGGTCCCTCCCGCTGCACTTTGAGAAGCAAATCCTTAACAGCACCACTTGCTGATTAGGTAGAAGGGCGGTTCAGAGAAGTGGCCCAATGGCAGGCTGCCCAAGTCCAGTACTCCTTCTGCCTCCCACGTGCGTTGCCTGCTCTAGGAACATCTGTGGTTGCCGCCCGCTGTTGATGTCTGCGCGCTCCTCCCTCTAGGGGTCATCACTCTGGACCCTCAGACCGCCAGCCGGAGCCTGGTTCTCTCGGAAGACAGGAAGTCAGTGAGGTACACCCGGCAGAAGAAGAGCCTGCCAGACAGCCCCCTGCGCTTCGACGGCCTCCCGGCGGTTCTGGGCTTCCCGGGCTTCTCCTCCGGGCGCCACCGCTGGCAGGTTGACCTGCAGCTGGGCGACGGCGGCGGCTGCACGGTGGGGGTGGCCGGGGAGGGGGTGAGGAGGAAGGGAGAGATGGGACTCAGCGCCGAGGACGGCGTCTGGGCCGTGATCATCTCGCACCAGCAGTGCTGGGCCAGCACCTCCCCGGGCACCGACCTGCCGCTGAGCGAGATCCCGCGCGGCGTGAGAGTCGCCCTGGACTACGAGGCGGGGCAGGTGACCCTCCACAACGCCCAGACCCAGGAGCCCATCTTCACCTTCACTGCCTCTTTCTCCGGCAAAGTCTTCCCTTTCTTTGCCGTCTGGAAAAAAGGTTCCTGCCTTACGCTGAAAGGCTGAAGTGGGGCGCGCGAAGGGCGGCGAAGCGGAGACGGCGGCTCTCCGGGATCCAGCTCCGCCCCTGGCCAGTGTGCGGCCCGGGGGCTCCCTGTGCCCGCGTGAGGCGAGAGAACAGGGGACTTGAGTCTCGAACAGCGGTTGTTTTTACTTTATTTATCTTAGGCCCTCAGCTCCCTGACGTCCTGAGCCTCCCTGTGACGCTCTGGCCTTCTCTGCACCTCAGAGTGCAGAACCACAGACGGCTTCGGCTGTGCCTAGGGCAACAGCCAACCTAGGAGCCAGCGGGCTTTCGGGGAAAAAAAAGAAAAAGACATCTAAAATAAAATGTTTAAACTGTTTCAAAATAATTATCTTGGGAAAAATCAGGGTTTTGCTGGACTTGCACTAATTTGTACAGTCAACTTCGTACTTTGACACACACCTGAAGATGCCTCCACCTTTGTAGGGCTTAGGGCCTTTTTATCAGCCCTGGGTGGACCCCAGGGCCCCTTCCTTTCCCTTCCCTTCTGGTCATTTCTCTGGACTTGTAGAGAATGTCCTAAGAAAGTGTGACTCACAGACCTCTGGATTCCATGTGTCCAATTAGCGCTGATGGGACTGGAGAAAGGCTTAAATCCAATGGGATCTGCCTGTGTTGGCAATTTAGGGCCGAGATGGCTCGAGGGAGTAGATGCAGAGAGGAAGGGTGATGATCCCTCTGTGACCAAGACACAATCCTGTCCCTTCTTTTAGTCAGGATATCCCTGATGACAGACAGTGGGACAATCACCAGGCCCCATTGTTTAATAAAACGAGGCTTTTGCTCAGGTCTAACTAACCTCTCAAATATTTGTTATTACTGCAGTTATTATTTGGACACAGAAACAGACCACAGGTTAAAATAACTTTAAAAAGCAAAGTATTAATCCCTATACAAGTGATGTTTCCTTCCACCCCTACCCTTTCTCCTCTCAAGTTGAACACTCACATTCTCACCCTTCCACCCCAACCTCTGAAAAAAATCTGCCTTCAACTCCAATCCAGGTTCCCTGTAGTGTAAGACAATACCCTGTGTACAAGAACACTTTAGGGTCGGCACGGTGGCTTGCGCCAGTAATCCCAACACTTTGGGAGGCTGAGGCAGGTAGATCACTTAAGGTCAGGAGTTTAAGACCAGCCTGGACAGCATGGTGAAACCCTGTCTCTATTAAAAATATAAAAATTAGCTGGGCGAGATGGCAGGCGCCTGTAATCCCAGCTGCTCAGGAGGCTGAGGCAGGAGAATCACTTAAACCAGGGAGGCGGAGGTTGCAGTGAGCTAAGATCAAGCCACTGCATTCCAGCCCGAGTGACGGAGTGAGACTCCATCTCAAAAAAACAAAAAACAAAAAACAGGCTAGGCGCGGTGGCTCACGGTGGTAGGCCGAGGCAGGTGGGTCACCTGAGGTCAGGAGTTTGAGCCTGGCCAACATGGTGAAACCCCATCTCCACTAAATATACAAAAATTAGCTGGGTGTGGTGGCAGACCAGCTACTTGGGAGGCTGAAGCAGGGGAATCACTTGAACCCAGGAGGCAGAGGTTGCAGTGAGCTGAGATTGTACCACTGCACTCCAGCCTGGGTGACAGAGTGAGACTCTGTCTCCAAGAAACAAACAAACAAATAAAACAAAGAACATCTTCATTATTGCGTAAGCCCTGCTCCTAAAGCATGGGTCAGATGTTTTAAAAGCACTCAAAGAGTTTGGACCATATGTGAATTTTATTTAAAAATTGTAACATGAATCAATGTGATGTGAATAATTAACCCTAACTTGACTGTTGGGGAAATAGAGGTTCTTGATATAAAAGAAGCCAGACAATGTGGGGTTTCTTCTGCCCCCCAGTGTGGTGAGCAGAGCCATCCTTATCTGACCCAAGTGGCTTGGTAGTCCAACCTAGTAGTAGTAGTAGTGGTAGTAGTAGTAGTATTGCCCAATGCTTATTATAAAAGTTGTATATGCTCATGGTTAAGAAAATTCAAACATTTTCAAAGTGTATAAATAAAAACCTCTTTCCCCACCCACTCAACACTTCCCCTTGCCACTCCCCATAGTTAAACATTGATATCAATTTTTTGTATATCCTGCAAGTTTTGAATACAAATATATATTGCTTTCTCTTTTTTTTACATAAATTAGATTATGCCATAAGTATTCTTTGCAACCCCTCCAAAAGAAAAACTATGTGCAACACATGCTAATTGTACCATTGGTCAAATTTGTTTTAATTATATCTTCATTTGAACCTTACAACAAGCCTGTGAAATACATAAGACCTATTTTGTTTTTCTCATGTGGTGGTTGAGAAAACTGGCACACAGTTAAATGAACTTGTCTAACAATTTTCACAGCTGGTCCTTGTGACCTGCTGAAGTAGAATCTACCTGTCCTGGAGCTCAGTGCAGTCACATTTCCACCACACTCAGACTTCTAAAACAGACACATCCCAATGGGGCTATGTTTCATTTGCTACCCATTGAATTCATGTTTTAGACAGGGCATTTTTGGTTTCATATGAAACAGAAAAAAAAAAAAAAGAACCGATGAACCATAAGCACACTGTATTTCCAAGTCTCTGGTACTTCTAATTTTAGAGTGGTCCAGATAATTTAAAAGTGTGGATATGCACATTTGGAGGCTTTGTGCCTATATTAATAAATTGTTCTGCATAAGAAAGGAAAGAGAAATTTAGAAGCCAAAAGAAATTTGGGAGTGGCTAAGACCTCAGGGTGAGGACTGAGAGCTGCCTGAAGGAAAAGCAGAGGAAAATTATTCATTTGGTGGTCCAGCTGGAGCCACAGGATGGCTGTGTTCCTGTGTTTGTGATGTAAAACTGTCCTCTATCTCCCCTACAAGATCCTCTGCACAACCTGCCTTGCCCCTAATGCTTTTTGTAGGTGTTCCTGAATTCCAAGTGCTGAGTTCTGTCCACTACTGGGCAGGAGGCAAAGAGATCCCACAAAATAATTGCTGGGCTGCTGGACTATGTGAGGAGCAGTCACACTGATGTGCCTCGGAGAACCAGAGGGGTTATTGTAAGGACCAAGGTGGGACCTATAAGGGAATCTCTCTGGAGCCCAGGAACCGTGATGACAGTGAGCTGGTTGTAATGGGAACTAGAGCCTAGGCAGATGCATTGTCTCTCTGGTCGGCTTACTTTGCTCTGGATGTGGGGCCCATTCTCCTGTCTATAAGGAAGCTTCCTAGCTCTACTCATGGCCTTTATTTTCTTTTTCATTTTCAGTTCTTTCCTTCTTTCAGACTTCCAGTGTAGAGTGTTGACTCAGTCATACCTCTCAGTTCTTGGAACACTATCATCATCAGTCCATGCAAGGTCTTCTGGTTTTATTTGTATTTTCTCCTCTCTCCCCAATTTTTATTCCCATTCTCCTCACTCCCAAAGGCAGCTACTCCCTAATGTTTTTCTTTTTTAAAAAATTTTTCAACTTTTAAGTTCAGGGGTACATGTGCAAGATGTGCAGGTTTGTTACATAGGTAAATGTGTGCCATAGTAGTCAGCTACACAGATCATCCTATCACCCAGGAATTAAGCCCAGCACCCATTAGCTATTCTTCCTGATCCTCTCCCTCCTCCCACCCCCGCCCTCCAACAGGGCCCAGTGTGTGTTGTTCCCCCCGCCTCCTGCCATGTGTCCATATGTTCTCATTATTTAGATCCTACTTATAAGTGAAAACATGCTGTATTTGGTTTTCTGTTCCTACTTTAGTTTGCTAAGGATAACAACCTCCAGTTCCATTCATGTCCCTGCAAAGGACATGATCTCATTCCTTTTTATGGCTGTAAAATATTCCATGGTATATGTGTACCACATTTTCTTTATCCAGTCTATCATTGATGGGCATTTAGTTTGATTTCATATCTTTGCTATTGTGAATACTACTGCAATGAACATACACATGCATGTATCTTTATAGAGAACGATTTCTATTCCTTTGGGTATATACCCAGTAAATGAGATTGCTGGGTTGAATGGTATTTCTGCCTCTAGGTTTTTGAGGAATTGCCACACAGTCTTCCACAATGGTTGAACTAATTTACACTCACACCAACAGTGTTAAAAGCATTCGTTTTTCTTCACAACCTTGCCAGCATCTGTTGCTTTTTGACTTTTTAGTAATAGCCATTTTGACTGGTGCGAGATAGTATCTCATTGTAGTTTTGATTTGATTTTCACCTATAACCATCTGATATTTGACAAACCTGACAAAAATGTCTCTAGTAGCAAGTATTACTAATCTATTAATTACTAAACTCCCTTTAATCCAAGAGTATTTGTTCTTTGTGCTCAGGATTTCTTTGGCTATTTGGGCTTTTTTTGGGAGGGGGGGGTTGGTCCATATGAATTTTAGGATTTTTTTTTCAAATTCTGTGAAGAATGATGTTGATATTTTGTTAGGGATTGCATTTAATCTGCAGATTACTTTGAACAATATGGTCATTTTAATGATGTTGATATTCCTTCTAATCCATGAGCATAAGGTGTTTTTCCATTTGTGTTGTTTTGAATTTCTCTCAACAGTATTTTGTAGTTTTCCTTGTAAAGATCTTTTGCCTCCTTGGTTAAATTCAATCCTAAATTGTTTTTGGTAGCAAAAATTTCTAAATGAGATTGCCTTCTTGATTTCTTTGTTGGCTAAATCATTACTGATGTAAAGAAATGCTACTGACTTTTGCATATTAATTTTGTAGCCTGAAACTGTACTGAACTCATTTATCATATCTAAGAGTTTTTTGGTGAAATCACACATTGTGTTTCTTTCTTTTGCCTGATCCTTATAGCTAGGATTTTAGTACTATGTTGAATAAGAGTATTGAGAGTAGACATCCTTGCCTTGTTCCAGTGCTTAGAGGAAAAGCTTTCCACTTTTCCTCATTCAGCATGTTAGCTATGGGTTTGTTACATACAGCTCATTTGAGTTTGAGGTTTGTTCCGTCTATGCCTAGTGTGTTGTATGTTTTTATCTTAAAAGAATGTTAAATTTTATCAAATGCTTTTTCTGCATCTATTAAGATGATCATATGGTTTTTGTTCTACATTCTATTGATAATATGTATCATGCTTATTTATTCATATTGAAACATCTTTGCATCTCTACTATAAATCCCACTTGATTTTGATGTAGTATTTTTCGATGTGCTGTTGGGTTTGGTTTGCTAGTATTTTGTTGAGGATTTTTGTATCTATCTATGATTTTGTATCTATGTTCATTAGGGATATTGACCTATAATTTTCTTTTTGTTGGTGTTGTGGTGTATCTGTCTGGTTTTAGTATTAGGGTGATGCTGACCTCATATAATTAGTTAGGGAAAATTCCTTCCTCTTTGACTTGTTTGAACAGTTTCAGGAGGATCGGTATTAGTTCTTTGTATGTTTAGTAGAATTCAGCTGTTAATCCCTCCAGTCCTAGGCTTTTCTTCTTTGAGAGACTTTTAATTACTGATTCAATCTTGCTATTAATTATTGGTCTGCTCAGGTTTTCTATTTTTTTCTGATTCAGTCTTGGTAGGTTGTGTGTTTCCAGGAATTTATCCACTTCCTCTAGATTTTCCAATTTTATCTAGTTGTTTATAACCGTCTCTGATGATCTTTAATATTTCTGTGATGTCAGTTGTAATGTCTCCTTTTTCAATTCTGATTTTGTTCATATGGGTCTTCTGTCTTCTTGGTTAGTCTAGCTAGTAGCTTATCAATTCTGTATATCTTTTCAAAGAACCAATTTTTCATCTCATTGATCCTTTGTATTTCTTTAAGTCTCTACTTTCTGCTCTGATCTTTATTATTTCTTTTCTTCTGCTAATTTGGGGTTTGGTTTGTTCTTGCTTTTCTAGCTCCTTCAGGTACATTGTTGGATTGTTAATTTGTAATCTTTCTACTTTTTTAATGTAAGCATTTATTGCTGTAAACTTTCCTCTTAGCACTGCCTTTGCTGAATCCCACAGGTTTTATGTTTCCATTTTCATTTGTTTTTAGATTTTTTTTTTAATTTTCATCTTAATTTCTTTTTTTTTTTTTTTTTCCAGATGGAGTTTTGCTCTTGTCTCCCAGGCTGGAGTTCAATGGTGTAAACTCGGCTAACTGCAACCTCCACCTCCCGGGTTCAAGCGGTTCTCCTGCCTCAGCCTCCCAAGTAGCTGAGATTACAGGCGCCTGCCACCACGCCCAGCTAATTTTTTTGTATTTTTCACAGAGACAGGGTTTCACCATGCTGGCCAGGCTGGTCTCGAACTTCTGACCTCAGGTGATCCATCCGCCTCAGCCACCCAAAGTGCTGGGATTACAGGTGTGAGCCACCATGCCTGGCCTTCTATCTTAATTTGTTCATTGACCCAATGGTCATTCAGGACCATGTGGTTTAATATCTATGTATTTGTATAGTTTCCAAAGTTCCTCTTGGTATTGATTTCTCATTTTATTCTATTGCAGTCTGAGAAAATATTTGATATGATTTTAATTTTTAAAAATTTATTGAGACTTGTTTTGTCACCTAATATATGGTCTATGTTGGAGAAGGTTCCATGTTCTGATGAAAAGAATATATATTCTGCAGTTGTTGAATAGAATGTTCCGTAAATGTTAGGTTCATTTGGTCTAAAGTCCAGTTTAAATCCAATGTTTCTCTGTTGATTTTCTGTCTAGATAATCTGTCTAATGCTGAGCATGAGGTGCTAAAGTCCCCCACTATTATTGTATTCCAATCTGTCTCTCTCTTTAGAGCTAGTAATATTTGCTTTATGAATGTGGGTGCTCTGGTGTTTGGTGTATATATATTTAGAACTGTTGAATCTTCTTGCTGGATTGATCCCTTTATCATTATATAATGACATTTTTGGCTTTTTTTTTTCACAATTCTTGACTTAAAGTCTGTTGTATCTGATATAAGTATAGCTACTCCTTCTCACTTTTTGTCTCCATTTGTATGGAATATCTTTTTCCATCCCTTTACTTTGTCTATATTTGTCTTTACTGGTAAGAAACTTTACTGAGTTTCTTGAAACAGCTTACAGGTGTATTATCTTTTTAAATAAATCCAGCCATTCTACATCTTTCAAGTAAAGAATTTATTCCATTTACATTCAAGATTATTATTGATATATGAGACTTTGTTCCTGTCATATTGTTGTTTTCTGATTGTTTTATATATTCTTTGTTCCTTTCTTCTTGTTTGTCATTGTGGTTTGGTGGATTTCTGTAGAGGCACCATTTGAGTCCTTTCTCTTCTTCCTTTGTGTGATTGCTTTACTAGCGAGTTTTATACTTTTGTGTGTTTTTATGATGGTAAATATCATCCTATCACTTCCAGGTTTAGGACTCCCTTGAGCATTTCTCGTAGGACTGATCTAGTGGTAACAAATTCCCTCAGTATTTGCCTGTCTGGGAAAGACTTTATTTCTTTTTCCTTTATACTTTAATTTGGCTGGATCTAATATTCTTGGCTGACAGTTATTTTCTTTCATCATTTTGTATATACCATCCCATTATCTTTTGGCCTGTAGGGTTTCTGCAGAGAAATCCACTGTTTGTTAGTCTGATGAGTTTTCCTTTTAGGTGACTAGGCACTATTCTGTTGCTATTTTTAGAATTTGCTCTTTATTTTGACTTTAGACAGTCTAATTATAATGTGCTATGGAGAAGACCCTTTGCATTGCATCTGCCTGGGAAACATTGAGCCTCCTATACCTGCATGTCCAAATCCCTTGCTAGGCTTGGAAAGTTTTCATCTATTATTTCATTATATAGATTTTCTAATCCTTTCATTTCTTCATCATCCTCGGGGATACTAACAATTCATATATTCAGTTGCTTTATGCTGTCCCAAATATCATGAAGGCTTTGCTAATTTTTTTATCTAGGCAAAGTAAATTGAATTTTTTAAAATTATTTTTTCTTTATTTTTGTCTGACTAGGTTATTTCAAAAGAGCTGCCTTCAAGCTCTGAGACTCTTTCTTCTCCCCAATCTAGTTCTATTGTTGAAGCTTTCAAAGGTATTTTGTATTTCCTTTAATAAATTCTTCATATCCAGATTTTCTATTTTTCTTTTAAAAAACAATCTATTGCTTTATTAAATTTCTCATTCATATCCTACATTATTATCTTTTTTCTTTCTATTGTTTTTCAGAATTCTCTTATATATCACTGAGTTTCTTTTTTTTTTTTTTTTTTTTTGAGATGGAGTCTCACTCTGTCACCCAGGCTGCAGTGCAGTGGCACGATCTCAGCTCACTGCAAGCTCCGCCTCCCGGGTTCACGCCATTCTCCTGCCTCAGCCTCCCGAGTAGCTGGGACTACAGGCACCCACCACCACACCCAGCTAATTTTTTCTATTTTTAGTAGAGACGGGGTTTCACCGTGTTAGCCAGGATGGTCTCAATCTCCTGACGTCGTGATCCACCCACCTCGGCCTTCCAAAGTGCTGGGATTACAGGCATGAGCCACCGTGCCCAGCCTACTGAGTTTCTTTAAAATCAGTACTTTGAATTCTTTATCTAGAATTTCATGAATTTCTTTCTGATTGATAACTGTAGCTGGAGAGGTATTGTGTTCCTTTGTTGGTGTCATATTTCTTTGTTCTTTAGTTTTCTGTGTCCTTACATTGATATCTGCACATTTAGTTGCAACAGTCACTTCTTCCATTTTTGAAATTGCTTTCATAGGGGAGGATTTTTTTCCTGAAGATTTTACGTGTTGTTTGTTGAGTAGGGTGCTTTGGCTTTGATTTTGAGTGCCTATAGTAGTGTGATCCCTGTATGATTTATTTGGCAGTATACAACATCAGTGGTATCTGTGACTTCCTCATTGACTTAAGGTGCACTTATTAGTGAAGGCTGTGGTGAAGTTTGGCTGGGAACTAAGATGCTAGGTGGGCCAGTCTTCAGGCCCTAGTGATGGCAGCGGTGGGTTGAATGAGCCTGTGCTAGGGCCCACAGAGTGGCTTAAACTGACAACAGCGTTAGTGGGTCTTGGAGGGCCAATTATTGGGCCTTCAGGTGACTTGCTCAGATGCTAGCAGTGGCAGCAGTGGGCCAGACATGTGGGCAACTTCTCAGGCTCCTGGGCAGCTGGTGTGAAATGGGTAATGGCAGTAGCAGTGGTGGAACAACCTGCTAGGACCCAAGCAGTCTGTGCTGGTGTTGGTGGTGGCTGTGACAAGTTGGGCAGGCTAGTACCCTGACCCACTGGTAGCATGTGTGGGTGGGTGTCAGTTGTGGTGGTATTGGTAGATTGAGTTGGACTGACCTCAGATCCTGACAGGAATGATTCAGATGCCAGTGGTGGTAGATTGGGCTGGGCAATTTCCGGGCCCCTGGATGATGTGCTTGTGTACTGGGGGGATGGGATCAGGCCAGCAGACCTGTCCTCAGGGCCCCCTGCAATGCATTCAGGTGCTAGCTGTGATAGACAAGAGATGGAGAGGTCCCCAGACCACTGGCAGAATGCTCAGGTGTGGGCTGGCTGTGGTGGCTGCACTGTAGTCCTGCAACCAGGGAAGGCAGGGCCACTCTCAGCTGGCGCATCATGAGCAAGTAGCTGTGGGAAGTGTCATCTGCTCACACCTTTGTCCACACCAGCCCATAGCAGCAGTGGTGGGATTTGTCCTAGGAACGTGCGGAAGTGCCCCGTCTCTACTCTCCCTCCTCAACTTAGCCTTGGCTTGGCGGCAGCAGCCCCAGCCAGGCCCAGGGGCAGAATGCAGACCCGGGTGGTTGAGCTCTCAGAATAATGACTACAGGTTTGCCACCGGGAGGGCAGGACCCCTCTCAGGTGGAAGAGCAAGGACAAGTAGCCACAGGGAGTGCAGTCTTCTCAAGCCCTGGTCTCACAGCAGCCTGTAGCAGTGGCGATGGGATTTGTCCAGGGGGGTGCATGGGAGTGCTCAGTCTCCCATCTCTTTTTTGCCAGGTGGCAGCAGTAGCAGCAGCAACAGCAGCGCCACATCAGTCCGGCCTCAGGTCAAGACTTATGTGATAGGCATTATTCTGGGTACTTGGGATGCATCAGTTTTTAAAAAGTTTCTTTTTAAAGCTCATGCCTGTAATCCCAGCACTTTGAGAGGCCAAAATAGGTGGATCACCTGAGGTCAGGAGTTCATGAACAGCCTGGTCAATATGGCAAAACCCCGTCTCTTCTAAAAACACAAAAAAATTAGCCAGACATGGTGGTGTGCGCCTGTAGTCCCAGGTACTTGGGAGGCTGAGGCAAGAGAATCGCTTGAACCTGGGCAGCGGAGGTTGCCAGTAAGCCAAGATCATGCCACCGCACTCCAGCCTGGGCAACAGAGCGAGACTCCGTCTCTATTAAAAAAAAAAGAGAAAATCTATGGCTCTTTCTGTTCTCCCATAACCATACTCTAAATGCACTCTTTCTGTACCCAGTTTGTCCCTGCTTTAGGACTTTGCTGTTCCCTCTAGCTGATGTGATCTTAGACCTTCCCTCTCACCATTCTGATTTCAGCTCTCATGCCATCTTTTCAGGGAACTCCCTTCTGATCACACATTATAAAATAGATACTAGGTCACTATCTATCACAGACTTATTTCACTTCCTTGCATAGTGCTAATTACTTTTTTTTTTTTCAATTTTAACATACTGCCTGTCACCATTTGCTGGAATATAACCTCCAAGAGTGCAGAACTTTGTTAACCTTATCACTGTTGTAACCTAGAAACATCCTGGCACATCACGGGTACTTAATAAATGAATTCAGGAGACATATGAAGCCTGGAGATAACAGATTTGAGAGAATACAGAAAATAGGAGGAAAAGTCAACAAGAAATAATTCAGGCAGGGCACAGTGGCTCACGCCTGTAATTCCAGTACTTTGGGAGGCTGAGGTGGGAGGATCACTTGAGCCCCAGAGCTCAAGGCCACAGTAAGCTACGAGTGCACCATCACTAGAGCCTAGGTGACAGAGTAAGACCATGTCTCTAAAATAATAAAAATTCAGCCAGTTGTGGTGGCTCACACCTGTAATCCCAGCAAGGCAAACACAAAATAGTTTGCTGAAAGGTATGAACTGGGTCTTTGGAGGGAGGTATGGGGCAGGGAAATGTTCCTATTTGTAAGAAGCACTGTAGAAAGTTTACCATATGTGCAAGTAGAGTTATACAAAATGAAAAACTATGAATATAAAAAATAAAAAGGGAAAATTTACATGAGCCCACAACTTAGAGAACAGAGAGGAAATATGCTCTTTGCCACTAGCGTAATTTTACAGGTAGTTTCGTATAATCCTCCCTTTTCCATCTTTAAGATGGCAATTTAAAAAATCAGAAAGGACTGCTGGGCGCGATGGCTCACGCCTGTAATCCCAGCACTTTGGGAGGCCGAGGTGGGTGGATCATGAGGTCAGGAGATCAAGACCAACCTGGCTAACATGGTGAAACCCCGTCTCTACTAAAAATACAAAAAAATTAGCCGGGCGTGATGGCGGGCGCCTGTAGTTCCAGCTACTCGGGAGGCTGAGGCAGGAGAATGGCGTGAACCCGGGAGGCAGAGCTTGCAGTGAGCCGAGATGGCGCCACTGCACTCCAAACTGGGAGACAGAGTGAGACTCCATCTCAAAAAAAAAAAAAAAAAAAAAAAAAAAAAAAAAATCAGAAAGGACAAGAAAAACAGTTGACTGTGTTAGGATGCAAGGCTGAATCTCTGCACATTCTATTTCCTCTGAGGCAGTGCTTATTTTCCAAGGAAGAATTTTTGGGTGTGCTATACTGGAGGTCTCCCTTCTCAGGGAGAGTCATCACTTGCTCCAAAACGCTGGACCTCAGCTCAAGGGCACCACTGCAGGAGGAATAAAAAGGTGGAGCCACGCAACAACTCGTCTGTGTTCCGCAGTAGGCTCTTTTTGAGGGACTTCCAGAAATGACAGCATGTGTGCAGAGAACAGAAAGCAAAGTTACACTGTTACAGAAGGCACAGAAGGAAAACCTTCGGCTACTGCTATCAGTGGAATTTCTCTGTAGCCAGACTGAGGTCTGGTGGCATTTGAGATATAATATAGATATAGACCTACAAATACAGATCTCCAGGCTGTTCATTCAACAAGTCTTTATTGAGCACCTACTCTGTGCCCAGCACTGCACTAGGTGCCATGAGAATACAAGAGTAGTATAAGATGTTATCCGCCCTCCAGGAGCTTACAAAACTAGAGGCAGAAATAAGATGTACATGTGACTCAGGCAGCATGTGACACACACAAAGTGGGCAGCTCTGAGACAATGGTGGTCAAGTGACCACTGAGGCCCAGAGCCGTTGGAACAGTCTCTTAGAACAGGGTGGAGGACTTAAAACTTGGATGAACAGGGGCTGGCAGAGCACTTGGAATGGGTAAGGACAAGACTGGGAGATCAATTTGGCTGGAGCAGGGGAGCTTGTGTTAAACTGTGATGATGAGGGGCACCTGGACAGAGGTTGGGTCCGTGGGCAATGAGAAGACATGTTACTCCCTCTCTTGACATGAAGACCTGGTGGGCTTGTGGCCTCCTGCTGCCTTCCTTTCCCTGTCTTCCCATCTCCACTCTCTCCTAGGAAAGTGGAACCTGGATGCTGGTAGGGCCAGAGACAGAGGCTTAACACCCTGCTGGGGAACCCGGTCAGAACTCCCGAGGCAGGAGAGGTTCTGCTCCACTGGATGTTTGTCTTGGTGTTTTTGGATGTGCTGATCAAGAGCAAGATGTTCTGGATTCTTAAAACTCCCCTCACAAGGACCAATCTAGAGATAATTTATTGATCAGTGATCACAGCTTGTACCCCAAAGCCGTGTATGTCTGGATCCTTCCCTAAGACCACAGATAGCTCCAGGGAGTCCCACCTCCTTGGCTATGGAAATATGCTCAGCCCTGGTTTCAGAGAAGCCTGGACTCCACTCTGGACCCCATGAGATGATATGCGCTGGTACTCCAGGCTTTAAATGGCCTGGGAAGCCTCAGTGGATTTTGTTTATTTTCAGCATTGCCATGTATGCTTAACTCTGAGTTGGGGTGGGGTAGGTCTGTTTAAAATGCCAGGGAAGGTGGGCAGCAGAGTGGATTTGTGCAAGAAGGAACCTGGGGGGTTTAAGGACAGCAAAATGATCTTAGGCGTAATTGACTGGTTTTTCTGAGGTCTTGCCACACTGGGCAAGAAAATGCTGCATCGGGCCCTTATTCCAGAGAGTGCAGAGCTGGGGCCAAGGTCGTGGTCAAAAAGGAAAGGAGCCCTCATGGACTCCAGGGTCAGAAGTTCCCTCGGGAAACCAGCAGGAGGTGGGAAAAGAGCCCCATTAGGGCAGTAGATGGAGCAACAGCACTGAGTGAGATTTCAGGGGGCCACAGCAATGGGGAGGTGGCTACCAGTGGATATGGGGTCCCCTGCTCCAGGTGCTTAGGCCAGGCATCCCGTCCCCCCATTGAGAGTCCTGGAATTCCAAAGAAGTGAAGCATCTGAGGGTTGGGGCTGGGGGCAGATGTCAGGGCTCAGGGTCTTAGCAGGAGGCGTGTTCCTGGCCACTTGAGCCACAGGAAGGGGACCAGGCGCCGGGTGAAGGTGGCAGTGAAGGTGTAGATGAGTTCCTGTGACTCTGCGTTGGTGAAAGTCACGGTGCCCCCTTCATAATCCAGGGCGATGCCCACTCTCCGGGGCCGCAGTGCTGGGAAAAGCTCAGCCTCGGGGCTGGTGTTGGCCCAGATGCCGGAGGAGGAGAGGCGCAGCGCCCACACGCCATCCTCTGGCCGCAGGGAGAGGTCTCCCTTCCTCTTCACAGAGTCTCTAGCCACCCCCACCATGCAGCTTTCCAGAACTTCCTCCTCTTCCTCCTCCTCTTCTTCCTCTTCATCGCCCAACGATTCCTCATCTTCGTCCGTTTCCCAGTCGTCATATCCATCCCCATAGCCGGCCTCCTCTTCCTCCTCCTCCTCTTCTCCCTCTTCCTCCTCATCCCCCTCTTCTTCATCCTCAGACCAGCCCTCCCTCTCCACTTCCACTTCCCAGTAGACCTTGCCCCAGGTGAAGCCCTTGCTGCCTAGCACCCCAGGCTCACAGTCAAACTGCTGGGGGTGCAGGTAGGCACTCTTGTACAGGCTGGTGTAGGTCACGCACTTCCAGTCCTCTGACAGCTGCAGGTACCCACTGGCCGACTGTGGGTCCAGGGTGACGCTCACTGTGGGGACAAGGGAAAAAAAAAAAAACAGCATCACTGTTTTGTTTTGTTTTTTAAGTCAGAGGGAATAAAATTTATTTTGGCAGATAGCGTTAAACAAAATTAAAGTTGCATACATTAGTAATATAACTCAACATCCTTAATTTGGTATAAGTGTGACACATTTTCTGGCTTTGTATTCTGCTAAATCACCATAACTAAACTGCTTTATAAACATGATATACTGAAATTTAACTTGACTGTTTTCGCTTACGCTCTGATTCCAAACAAAACTTTTCATAAGCTTCCTCTATCTCTGGATCTCTGGGTCCAACTCATCATTAATATCATCCAAGTGTGGATCACCAGTCCCTGAAAAATCTGTTCCATTTTCTTCATAATCCAGAAAAAAAGTCCTCTTTTTCAAGTAACTCTTGATATGCTTCTTGGTAATCCGGATCAGCTGCAGTGAAAGGAACACTATGAAACACAATAACTATGTGAATGACCACTATAAAATGTTGGTTCATTCACATAGTAATTGGGATCTTTTTTGGCTGTTGTATTTCTGTATGATGAAGTTGCATGGACTCTACCCCAATTACTGCACTGGAGTTCTACAAGCTTCAAGAGCATCTGTTTCATGTCTCTGCCACAGCTTGCATCTATAACAACATTTTCAATTTCCTGAATAATTTCTTCCATATCAGTCCTTCCTTTTCCTTCCAAGCATCTTCCAAAACTGACCCTGTCAACTTCAGCAATTTTATTGCACAAATTAAGCTGTCATCCACGGGATTAGAAAAGAGGGCATTCAGGCATTCGGCAACTCCTGAAGACCAACCTGAAGAATATCTGCCCTTGTAACCTGTCCATTTGTTCCTCTGATCTCCAGGTTATGATAAAGCTCTCCCAGAAAGGGTACAAATGCATGAAATTGTTTTGGAGTAACTTCATCCCCTTTTGCAGCTTGATCTTTAATGTCATATTCAGTCCGACATCTTTGAAGTAGAAATTGGCGGAAGGTGCTACTCTCTGTGCTAACTGTCAGATGATGTCAGGTAATTACACAGGTGAGCTCCCATGTAAGAGAAATTTGGGGCTGGGCACGGTGGCTCACGCCTATAATCCCAGCACTTTGGAAGGCCGAGGCGGGTGGATCACAAGGTCAGGAGATCGAGACCATCCTGGCTAACATGGTGAAACCCCATCTCTACTAAAAATACAAAAATTAGCCGGGCATGGTGGTGGGCACCTGTAGTCCCAGCTACTTAGGAGGCTGAGGCAGGAGAATGGCGTGAACCTGGGAGGCGGGGCTCGCAGTGAGCTGAGATCACACCACTACACTCCAGCCTGGAAGACAAAGCAAGACTCCATCTCAAAAAAAAAAAAAAAAAAAAGGCCGGGCGCGGTGGCTCACGCCTGTAATCCCAGCACTTTGGGAGGCCGAGGCGGGTGGATCACGAGGTCAGGAGATCGAGACCATCCTGGCTAACACGGTGAAACCCCGTCTCTACTAAAAATACAAAAAATTAGCCGGGCGAGGTGGCGGGCGCCTGTAGTCCTAGCTACTCGGGAGGCTGAGGCAGGAGAATGGCGTGAACCCCAGGAGGCGGAGCCTGCAGTGAGCCGAGATTGCGCCACTGCACTCCAGCCTGGGCGACAGCGAGACTCCGTCTCAAAAAAAAAAAAAAAAAAAAAAAAAAAAAAAAAGAAATTTGGGACAGATGTGGCCTCTGAGTTCCACAAGTTCTTGCAAAGCATCATCTGTTGTAACACAAGCATTCAGGGTCTCTGTAAACTGTTCAATTTCAGTTTCAAAACTACCAGCCTGCTCTGTAAGATGGTTCAAGAAACCCTGAACAGGTACTGACAGAGTGGGATAATCCTCACCATCATCCTCATAGGATTCTCTATAATTAGAATAACCTGATAGGTAAAATTTGACGGTATTCACAGACAGCTCAGACATTAATAAAGAAGCTACAACCACCTAAGGTTTAACCACTGCTAACTCAGTTCTGCTATGGGATTTTATCCTGTGAACTAGATGAAGCTCTCAGGGCCTCGTTTGCTCCCAGACAGGCCGACCTCCTCAATGGTTCTCACGAAAGCAAGTGTGAAAGTGAGCCAGGAGGAGACCACCAGTCTTCACAATCCAAGGGGCACCATTCACATCTTGGTCTATGTGGATGGCGCTCCTTGGTGGTTGGTATGCAGTGTACAACCTAACTGCAGGGCTGAGAGGGGGCACAATAGTGGGGCCTGTGGTGGATATGGCCTCTGGTCTTAGGTTGCCCCTGCTGTTTGCTCTGAATATAGGAGCCATGCAGCCAGGAAGATGAGAGAAAGCTCGGCCACAGGAAAAGGACTGGTGGTAGGACCTGTGAGGATAGGAAAAAGAAAAGCAAACACAGGGCAGAGAAGGATCAGACTAGCAAGCAGAGGCCTCTACTGCAGACTAAAGAGTAGGCTGATTAGAAAGTGCAAAGAGGGAGGGGGGCTTCTATTGTGCAGCTGGGAAATTCTTCCTGTTGCAAAAGGGGCTACCTGGGGGAAAAGTGAGCAGTCAGAATCTCTGCAGGCGGAGTTTTCTATATTTGATGTACATCTGGGAAACACCCTCTAGACACTCACCTGTCTTATATTCCAAGTCTCTCAGCAGCTTCCCTGGGGAGAAAAAAGGACAGCAATGACTCAAGTCCCGAAAATTTATGAGCCCATTTCTTGCTCGGGCAGTATCAATTTCCTGATAGGGATCCATGTCTAAGACAAGAGGCCCTCAGAAGAGTGAGGATCGACAAGGTGATGGAAAGGAGCTGGGTGCGCTCTTTCTACGAGGTAGCCCTGCTCTGACTCCCACCCTTTGTGCGCTCCCCAACCCTTACCCTGGAATTCCCTCAGGCCTCGTTGCAGAGAGAGGAGTTTATCTGAGAATTCTCCGGTCTTTTTTTTAACCACTCGAGCAATGGGTTTCCCAACCCAGAACTTCTTCCGTGGATACCTAAGAAGATGACATACATAACAAGCTGTTACTCAGCTCTTCTTACTTTCCTTCATACTTATCTCTCAATCCTCATGGCAATTATGAAGGGGAGAGGAAAGGTATGATTATCCCCAAACAAGTGACAGAAAAACAGTGGCCCAAAGACACCAGCTGAACCAGGGCTTCAGAACATCAGTAGACTCCACATCCAGGGCGCTCTGTCTACTAAGCCATGTTTCTAACCTCTCTGCTCTGTCCCACCTCAAATAAGGCCAGTGGGCCAAGGAGCTGGGGCTACACAGAGAACCATAAGGAGGAGAGCAAGTCTCCAGTTCTCAATGATGTGTCCTGCTCCTCAGAAGGGCATCAGGATGAACCATGGGATGTGAGTACCTCTGGCACCATACCACTCCCCATGAATTCAAATGCACCTGGTCAGAAGCGGGGGAACATAAACAAGGGGGATGAGGTACGCCATGGAGAGGAGACTCTTTTACCTGTTTAGGAAGTCTCTCGTGTCCTAGAAGGGAAAGAAAAAAGCACAAGTATCAATATGAATCAAATAAGACTTCAATGCATCTGCACCCAACACTGTAGCAGAGATGGGACATATCAGTGAACAAAACAAATGTGGTCCCTTTTTTATGGAGCTGACATTCCAGTGGGGTCACTGCATAAAACAACAAGAAAACAAACAAAATCGGCACAATGACAGAAGCCACAATGGCTGGGAGATGACATGGGCAACCTCTCTGGGAGATACCTGCGCAGAGAATTGACGGATAAGAAGTACTGGCCGGATGAAGAGAGGTAAGGTAAAACAGGAAAGGGCTTGGTGAGAACGGCAGAGGCCAGACTGCGCAGGGCTGGATATGCATGGTAAGGAGTTTCACTTTTGCTCCACGTACAGTGGAAACCCACCAAGGGTTTCAAGTAGGGGCATGATATGTGTGATCCGCTCTACATGTGGCTGAGACTGCTGTGTAACCTCCAGAGTCCACTCTCCCCTTCCTCCTTTTAATAATAGAACCCCCGGAGTTATTGCTGGTCAGGCGGCCACCTGGGAAGACTACATTTTCCAGATCCCCTACGACAAGGTCTGGTCATGAGACTAAGTTCCAGCCAATGGAATGTGATAGAAAGCAATGACCATAATTCTGGGCATTGTCCTTTAAAAAAAGAAAATTGCTTTCTACTTCCTTTTTACCCCAACTGAATTTTGGACATGGTGGTGGTGAGCCCAACTTTGACCACGCAGCAGAGGACAACATCCCTAGAAGCTGGTGGAAGAACCACATGGAAGTAACCCAGTCCCTTGGATAAGCTTATGTACAGCTACTGTGATAGCTCTAGACCCTGCACCTCTGAACTGTTAACTGAGGCAGAAATAAACTTCTATTCTGTTTGCGTCACTGTACAGCAGTGAGCCAAAACCCTAAGTGACCACTCACTTGGCTGCCCCACAGAGAAGGGACTAAGGAGGCAAGAGGAACATGGGGAGGTTGGTCCGGAGGCTTTTGCCGTGGACCAGGGGAGAGCTAAAGATGGCCTGAACTAAGGTGGTGGCAGTAGGGAGAAAAAGAGAGAAGCAATACATTCCAGGTATTTTAGAGACAGATTCAACTGGACATACTGGTCAAGGATAAACAAGAACAGAGCATGGTTTGTACAGGGGGGAGAATGGTGGTGCTATCTCTGTGACAGACAGGTGGTAGGGCAGGGTGAGTGGGAAGAGGGCTATTCTGACATGCTCAGATTCCCTTTTGTGAGTCAAAAGCCTCCTTAATACCCTGTATTAATTGATTTTTGCCTTCCTTTCACTCATTCCACAAATATTTATTAAGTGCTTCCTAGGTACCAGGCACTCATCTAGAAGCCTCAGAACAGTTAAAAAAAAAAAAAAAAAAAGAGAGAGAGAGACAAATCCCTACTTCTGTAGAGCTGACATTCTAGCAGGGGGAAGCAGACAATAATCAATGTAGCAAATACATCATACTACGTGAGTGATACGCACCACGGGAAAAGAGAGCAGAGTGAAGGGGGATGGGAGCAGGGGCCGGTGGGGTGCAGGCTGGCTTCCTGGAGAGGGTGAGATTTGGGAAACAAATGGAATTAACAAATTGTGGCTGCTGATGACTGCTTCCAAAAGTTTGGGAAGAGTTGTGAGCTTTACTCCAGAGGAATAAGACAAGAAGTCAGAGGCACATCCCAACCCCCCGCTATGAAGCAAGTGCCCAGAGACTGGTAGCACATTTCTGGCCAAGTCCTCTAACATGCCCCTCAAAACATGTAAGTCCAAGGCGGCTTCAGAGGACAGGCAACAAAACAGACAGTGTGTCCTGACAGCTCTGCTGACAAAGGTGGCATAAAAGAGCAAATGAATGGAGCAGTAGCTGGAGTGTGGGCCAGAGGCCCATTTGGGCATATTTCCTGACATGGAAGTTCCTAGAACAGTAGAAAGGGAGAGAATCATACAGGAGAAAGAAGAGTCCTCTAAAGGTTAAAGGTTGTGAGCAGCCCAGAGAGGGTGGGTCCCGAGAGCCAGGGCAGGGCTGGCCCTGAGGAGAAGAGGCTGAAAGACTCAGGAGCCCCCATCCACAGCCACATACAGGGCCTCTGGAGGGAAGTGATCCGCCCAAGTCTCCTGGAGGACTCTTCTCACCCAAGACATCTGAAGCTGTCATGAAACAGGCAGAGCCGAGCAGTGGGGCTGCGGCAATGAGTCATGGCAAGCTCCCGGAGGGGATGTGCCCGGTTACTAACAGAGAGCATCAAGAAAGTTCTTCACGGGGGTGTACAGCAGGAGAAGCAGGGTACAAGCATGCCACCTGATCCTGCAGGGCCTGCCCGGGTTACCAGGGCAGGATGCAGTGTCTCTCTGGGCCTCTCCTGTCACCCCAATCCCTTTAATGTCTTCTTGATGCTCCCAGCCCATAGGTTTGTCTTTCCTTTCCTATCACCTCTATCAAAAGGTCTCTTCTATTTTACACATTTTGTCCTGCTGCTTCTCCCTCTCACCTGTATTTCTATTTTATTTTAATTTTTTTGAGACAGGATCTCACTATGTTGCCCAGGCTGGTCTCAAACTCCTGGGTTCAAGCAATCTGCCTGCCTCAGCCTCCCAAAGTGCTGGAATTATAGGTGTGAATCACCACACCAGCCTCACCTGTATTTCTCTATCAGACTTCTGGACCCTATTTTAGGTCTTTTTCTTACTATACTTTGACAGCCAAATAATCTCTGGGAAAATATTAATGCTAATTAGGGAGGTAGCTGTCCAGTTCCCACGCAGTACAATCAAACTCAAATAAGCACACAGACAAAATCTACCAATACCATTTTTCTGCGTATGGTTGGTTACCCAGTTTTCCTAGCACCATTTATTAAAGAGACTGTCCCTTCCCCATTGTATGTTCTTGGTTCCTTTGTTGAAAATCAGTTGGCTGTAAATATGTGAATTTATTTCTGAGTTCTCTACTCTGTTCCATTGGTCTATGTGTCTGCTTTTATATCAATACATGCTGTTTTGGTTACTACAGCTTTGTAGTATATATATATATGTATATATACATATATATGTATCTATATACATATATATGTGTATATATATACACATATATGTGTGTGTGTGTGTGTGTGTGTATATATATATATATATATATATATATATATTTTTTTTTTTTTTTTTTTAATGGAGTCTCACTCTATTGCCCAGGCTGGAATGCAGTGGCACAATCTCGGCTCACTGCAACCTCTGCCTCCTGGATTCAAGTGATTCTCCTGCCTCAGCCTCCCGAGTAGCTGGGATTATAGGTGCGCACCATCACGCCCAGCTAATTTTTGTATTTTTAGTAGAGATGGGGTTTCACCATGTTGGTCAGGCTGGTCTCAAACTCCTGACCTCGTGATCCGCCTGTCTCGGCCTCACAAAGTGCTGGGATTACAGGTGTGAGCCACCACAACTGGCTGTAGTATATTTTGAAGTAAGATAGTGTGAGGCCTCCAGTTTTGTTCTTTTTGCTTAGGATTGCTTTGGCCATTTGGGGTTTTTTGTGACTCCATATGAATTTTAGTTTTTTTTCTATTTTTCTGAAGAATGTCATTCGTATTTTGATAACAGGGATTGTATTAAATCTGTAGACTGCTTTGGGTAGGACAGTCATTTTAACAATATTAATTCTAATCCACAAGCATGGAATATTTTTCCATTTGTTTGTGTCCTCTTCAATTTCTTTCATCAGTGTTTTGTAGTTTTCATTAAAGAGGTCTTTCACCTCCTTGGTTAACTTCATTCCCAGGTATTTTATTTTACTTTTGTAGCTATTGTAAATGGGGTTGCTTTCTTGATGTCTTTTTTAGCTAGTTTGTTATTGGTGTATTAAAAATGCAGTAGACTTTTTATGTTGATTTTGTATCCTGCAACTTTACTGAATTTGTTTATTAGTTCTAAGGGTTTTTTGGTGGGGCCTTTAGGTTTTTCTACATATAAGTATAGCCGTTACGGAAAACAGTATGAGAGTTTCTCAAAAAACTAAAAATAGAACTACCATATGATCCAGCAATCTCATTACTAGGTATTTATCCAAAGAAAAGAAAATCAGTATATCAAAGGGATACCTGCACACTCATGTTTATTGTGGCACTATTCACAATAGTTGAGATGTGGACTCAATCTAAGCATCCATCAACAGATAGATAAAGAAAATGTAGCATATATACACAATGGAGTACTATTCATCCATAATAAATTTGAGTTCATGGAAGTAAGACAGTAGAATAGTAATGATTAGAGGTTGGGAAGGGGGCTGGGGAGAGGAGGGTGGGGAGAAGTTGGTTAACAGATACAAAGTTATAGCTACATGGGAAGAATAAATTCTAGTGTTGTGCAGCATTGCAGGGAGAATATAATTAACTATAATTTACTATACATTTTCAAAAAGCTAGAAGAGAGGATTTTGAATGTTCCAACACAAAGAAATGATAAGTGTTTGAGGTGACAGATATACTAATTACTCTGAGTTGATTATTATATATTATATACTTGTATCAAAGTATCACTCTAGGCCAGGCACAGTGGCTCACGCCTGTAATCCCAGCACTGTGGGAGGCTGAGGCAGGCGATCACCTGAGGTCAGGAGTTCAAGACCAGCCTGGCCAACATGGTGAAACCCTGACTCTACCAAAAATACAGAAAATAGCCAGGTGTGGTGATGTGCGCCTGTAATCCCAGCTATTTGGGAGGCTGAGGCAGGAGAATCGCTTGAACCCAGGAGACAGAGGTTGCAGAGGCAGGAGAATTGCTTCAACCCAGGAGGCGGAGATTACAGTGAGCTGAGATCACGCCACTGCACTCCAGCCTGGGAGACAGAGCGAGACTCTGTCTCAAAAATAAACAAACAAAAACCTCTACATCCCATAAATATATACATTATATAGCACTAAAATTAAAAGAGAAAACACAAAACAAAAAAAGAAACCTACCAGTACCAATAACATTTCCTATACTAGTTTCAAGCTGACACCATTTTCTCTCCCTTCCCTTGACCTTATCCCACCCCAGGGAGAGCTGCAATCTGAGTGCTCTGAGTCATTGAGGGCCAGGCTTCTGCTCTGAGGGCCACTTCTCTGGGTGCATTAGGAAAAGGCACCCCTCCGGGCAAACACAATGGATTTCAGCCCCACCACATCCTCAGCTGTGTGCCTCTGTTCCACACAGTAGGCATTCACACATGGCAGGGGCGTGAGGAGAGGAAGGAGAAGAGAAACGGGCAAAAGGAGATGCAGAAAATGACCCAGTCAAAGAGTATGACGAGAGAAATCTGAGAGAACAGAATGACATCTGGAGGAAAAGAGGGGGCCAGAGAGACATTCTGGACAAAATAAGAACAAGAGCTCAGAGCCCAGGAGTCAGGACATCTGGGCTCAAGCTGTGACCTGACACCCACCCCATGGCCTGGGACAAACTCCTCCCACTCTCTGGACCTCAGTGACTTCATCAGTAGGGGCTGAACTGGAAGGTCTAAAATCCCTGCCAGTCCTCATTCTGTACATCTGAATTCACAACAATGAGGAGCAGGTGGCCGCCTCCTTCTGCAGTCTGTCCCAGTGCACATACTGCAGAGTCTGCCTTGCTATCTCTCCCTCCTAGCTATTGCCCTGCCATTAGCCTGGGACTCCACCTTCCTAGAGATCCTGGGTGGCTCTGCTGCTGACAGACAGACCCAGCCACCCTAAACAGTGCAAGTGGGGGAATACCATCAGAGAGCCCCTCCCCTCCCAGCCTATGAGAGCAGGAAGGTTGAGCCCTCTACCCCTCCAAAGGGGACTGGGCCCTCTTCAGGGTAAGTGTGATCCCCAGAGGCTCCCGGGGGGGAGGAGATGTGGTGCCATTTCAGCTTCACAGCCAGTTCTTCAGCCCCAAACCCTCCCTTTCTCACTATCAAAGCCCCCTCCTCTAGGAGGTGCCCCGAGGCCCCCTTGTCTGCTTTCCATCTTGTTCTCTGTGTGGTAATCCCATGGGCCAAAGAAAACCTGGCCATCTCTGTCTCCCTTCCCCAGTTACCCTATCTCTTCCAGATCCTCTGGGTCTTTGAGAGGAGCTGCTGGTCAGCCCTCCCTCAGCCACCCCCAACCACAACACCATAAAAAGCTTCCACCAGCTGCTAAGTGTCTGCCAATGACTTGTTAAGAGGGCTTGTGATGGCAGTGATGAGGATGGAGGATGGTAAATGATATTAATAATCTTCCCTTCCATTTTCTACTATACCATTTAGTTTTTTGAACAGTTTTGTGTAAAAAGTTTATTTTTTGAAGTGACAGCATGCCAGTTATTTCATTTTATGCTCATGCAATCTACAGACTAATTGGCAGCAGTAAGGATTATCATCTCCATGTTTCAGATGACAAAACTGAGCCCCCAAGTCTTCTAAGGTCCTGCAAGTGAATGGCAGGGCTGGGACCCACCGTCCTGGTCCCTGGCGCCCTGCCCAGGGACGGCCTCTCACCTGCATGAGCTCTGCAGCTGGCTGCTGCGCCTTGCCCTCCAGTTCGGAGATGACCAGGGCCAGCCGGGCAAGCTCCCCGACGCCCCGGCTCTTGAACTTCTCCCTGCCCTCCGTGAGCTCCTGCTCCAGCTTCGCCAGCTGTTCCAGCAGGTGTTCCTCCCGCTCCCTCAGGAACTGATGACCCTGCTCAAACTCAGCCACAATGTACTGCCTCTGGTCCTGGAGCTTCTTCTGCAGGGGGCAGGAAGGGGAGAAGGGCTGACACCTCTGCTCAGGGTGGAGGGCCCAGTGCTGGAGGTGTGCAAGGCTGGCTCGTTCACCTCGCTACCCCCGTTCAGGAATTCTACAGGATCTGGAGTGGGAGGAGCTACAGAGGGTTCCTGGTCCACACTCCGCTTCTCAAAGAAGACTCCAGTAATGAATTAGTTCAGTTCACCCCACCACTATATGGTCAAAACCCTGTCTCCACCTGACTGGTCAGCCACAATCTGTTCTAGCTAAACCAGTACGCTCTGGGGCCCCTAGAGAAACTCTGTGGGTCTCACTCATGAGCCGACGCACTTTTCCCTCCTGGACAAAATCTGTCACCTCTTCCAGGAAGTTTTGCTTGATTAATGTCATCTAAGCCTGACCAGCCCTCTCTTCAGCACCCCACTGTTCAGTCTAAAATATCTATATGTACCCCACCCCTGCCATGTAAGACTGCATCCTGTTTCCTCAGCAAAATTGTGTGACGTCTGTGCTTAGGGACTATGTCCTTTCCTGCCTCCAAATCTCCTCCCCAGCTGGGGTTGGGGGAGTCCTCAGTGGCCCTGTTGACTGGTGCTGAGCTGGGGGCAGCCATGCACACTGAGGGCCTGGAGGGGTCCTTGGACTTGGCTGTCTCTAGCTTACTGTTTCCCTCTCCCTAGGCCTAATGACTCACCACTGGCCCTGACCCCACTACTCCTCCACTGCCCACTTCCTCAACATACACAGTTCCCCAGAAAATCAGAACCATTTGATCAGTTCCCCCCAACCCCATCTCTAATCAAGTACATAATGTGCTGCCTGTTTTCTAACTACAGTTGTCCCTTGGTATCAGTGGGTGATGGGTTCCAGGATCTCCCTCCCCAAGGATACCAAAATCCAAGGATGCTCAAGTTCTTATGTAAAATGGAATAATAGTTACATAAAATCTACTATATACTTTAAATTATCACTAGATTACTTATAATGCCTAATATAATGTAAATGCTATATAAATAGCTGTTACACTGAATTGTTTAGAGAATAATGACAAGAAAAAAAATCTGTACATGTTCAGTAGAGACGCTTTTTCTTTTTTCTGAATATTTCTGATCCATGGTTGGGTAAATTCGCCGCTACGGAACCCACAGATATGGAGGAGGTCCCACTGTACTGGCAACCATGATCCTGGGCCTGGACCTCACTACATACAGTGCCATCAGAATTGGCAGACCTGCCTTAGCTGTTTTCTAGCCCTTCCCTCTCAGTTCTTACCCTGGAGCCAGCTCCCTCCTTCTAAACCCTCTCCACTCTCAGGCAACCTTGTCTCTCTCTCTCTCTTTGAAAGGAAGAATGAAGCCACACCTTCTTCAGTCCCCTGGCAGAAGAGAACCAGCAGCTGGACATGGGCCCTGCCTTCAAGGTGACAGTCACAGAAAACGGAAGGGACTCTAGCTGACATCCAGGCAGCCCACTTGTCTCTCAGACAAGAAACAGGCCCAAGACTACACGGCTCAGAAAGACAGCACTTGGGCTAAAACCCAGGTCTGCTACTGCCAGGCTGACACCCATCCTCCCTGTGAGCAGCGCCTAGAAACACCTCCCAGCTGCCGCCTACTTGCCCAGGCTCACCCTGCCCTACACGGGCGCACCGCCTCAGGGCTTCCTGAAACAGCCTCACTTACCAGCGCGGCCAGGATATCAGCTTCTCCCTTTGCCTGGAAGCCCTGAATTTTGTCTCTGTCCCTCCTTAGGGTACTCAGGTGGTTCAGGATTTTTTCCTGTGGAAAAACAAGCAGTGGCAACAGGTGGATGCTCTGGGCTGGGGCAGGAAGGGAGACTCAGGCTGAGTCCTCTGAGGACTGCAAGGTGGAGCATCCAGAGAAGGTGGCAAGGCACCCTCGGGGGTGAAGAGGGCTTACCCTGTGGGGCTGGGCGGCCTTCTCCATGAGGACGGCCGTGTGGGGCCTGTGCTCCCGGGACTCCCGGCACATCACGCACAGCAGCTTCCCGTCGTCCTCACAGTAGTAGTGCAGCTTCTCTCGGTGTCGCTCGCACAACTTTGCATCCTGCTGCTCCCGGGTCACCTCTCCCGGCTGCCTGCCCTTGTCCACCTTCAGCCGCTCAATGTTCTCCACCAGGCTGGCCAGTTGCCACACGGGTCGGATGTTCTCCTTCTTAAAAGGCTTCTTGCAGAGTGGGCAGACGGGGCGGCTCCCTGAGATGGGGCGGACGTCTGTGGTGCAGCTGCGGCAGAAGACGTGGCCACAGTCAATGGTCACAGGGTCCCGCAGGTAATCAAGACAGATGGAGCAGGTCACCTCCTCTTCCAGGCTCCGTAGTGGGGCTGACGTGGCCATGGTATCCTTAGTTCAGAGAGGTCTCCGTTCACTGGTGAGGACTTCTTCTCCTTGAAGACGCGACATAGAGTCAGGAGCAAGCACAGTAAAGGGGCAAAGGTGGCAGCCTGCACAGGGCTGCCAGCTCCAGCACTCAGTCAATCGACAGACACCACCAGCTCCTACAAGGTTCACACAATGTCAACGAGAAGAGGACCTTATAGATCTAGTCCAACTTCCTCATTGTACAGATAAGGATATGGAAACCCAGAAAGATTAGCTTGGTAGAGTGAAGAGCAGGACAGCCACTAGCCTATACCTTGCTGTTGGGAGAGCCTCAACACCCTTTCCTTCTATCTGTTGGAAAATCGCTGTAATGCACCAACTGTAATAAAAAATCTCTCACTACCTGCTGGGAAACTCATAATGATACATATATAAATCTACAATGTCTACTGTGGACACAGTGCTCCTTCACTCAACTGTGCAAAGCACAAGACACACGAGCAGTCATGGGGGTCCTGACAGAGTCAAGAGACCGCCCGTTTTTTTTTTTTGGTTTTTTTTTTTTTGAGATGGAGTCTTACTCTGTCGCCCAGGCTGGAGTGCAGTGGCGTGATCTCAGCTCACTGCAACCTCCGCCTCCCAGGTTCACACCATTCTCCTGCCTCAGCCTCCCGAGTAGCTGGGACTACAGGCACCCACCACCACACCTGGCTAATTTTTTGTATTTTTAGTAGAGACGGGGTTTCACCGTGTTAGCCAGGATGGTCTTGATCTCCCGACCTCGTGATCCACCTGCCTCGGCCTCCCAAAGTGCTGGGATTACAGGCGTGAGCCACTGCACCTGGCCAAGAGACCCCTTTTGTTTGCTCCTCAAGGTTTCAGGTTTCAAGAACTAAGAGAGGGCAATGTGACATGGCTCACCCTGTAAATCCAACACTTTGGGTGGCTGAGGCAGGAGGATCACTTGAACCGAGGAGTTTGAAACCAGCCTCAGCAACATAGTGAGACCCTGTCTCAACTAAAAAAATTTAAAAATTTTTTAAAATACCCCAGTGTAGTAGCATGCATCTGTAGTCTCAGCTACTGAGGAGGCTGTGGCAGAAGGATTACTTGAATCTGGGAGGTGGAGGCTACAGTGAGCCATGATTGTACTACTACACTCCAGACTGGGCAACAGAATAAGAGACTGTCTCAAAACAAACAAAAAACCAGAAAACATTAAAAAACAAACAAACAAACAGCACTGAGGTTCTTTACCAAAACTCGAGAAGCATCAGGAAGCTTCAGGAGTCTGACTGTCAGCATTTCCCTTTGTGAGTATTTCCCTGGGCTGTTCTATAGTTTGGGTTTAATTTGCTTCCCCTAGAAGGCTGGACTCTAAACACAGCCCTCCAGAGGAGCACAGCTTAGCCTCAGTGGACTTGTTCTTGGCTGTAACTGCCTCGTCTAGATGGCAGGAATCCTCAGGTGGCTGTGGCTGCTATGTGCTGTGAGGCCTTGGCTTGTACAGGGAGCGGGGACACACAGAAAGGACTCTGCTTCTGTTTACCTTTGTAGTCCTGACCCAGTTCCAGGCTGAGGTTATGAGCCTCAGCACATCTAACCCAAGAGCAGCCTCCTGCCCCTGACTCTGTGTGACAATACAGAAGTCACTTAAGTACTGAGCCTCAGTGTATCCATCTGTAAAATGGGAAGAGTGATACTTACCTTTAAGGGTTTCTAAGCAGGTCATGTGAAAGAATTATGGGAAAAGTGCTAAGCACAAGCCTGGTACACAGACGGAAATCTAGGAGAGAACCCACAACCCCTGGTTTCCAAATCCAGTGAGTGTCCAAACCACAAACAAAGAGTTAAATTCAAAAGTGGCAGCAAAAGAGGAAGTGAGCAGAACCAGCCACAGTGACACACGTGCTACAGAGTTCAACAACATCGTCACAGGGCAGTACCTGGAGGACTTGCTCTCCTATAGATCCATGGAAGGCAACTACAGCAGCGCTGGGAAGACAACCAGCAGGGCACAGAGGTGACTGCGAGGCTGGAATGAAGCAACCTGAATTACAGGCAAATCAATACTATTAATGATTATGTATGGTGAAAGTCCATCACAACAGAGTTCAGTGGCCTCTGTCAGTAGTGACATTAATGGGACAGAAATAAAACCCCCAGTCTATAAGACCCAAGAGTAAACAAAACAGGGATATAACGTCCACTCATTGAGGGTCTAGTACAATAATACATAAAAAGTGTTTTATAACGTAAAAGGACTACATAAATATAAGAGATTCTTATAGTGCTGATAATAAATTCCAACTGGAAGCACTAATGGATCTAGGTATGTGTGACTTTAAGAGACATAATGAGGGGAAAATCAAGCACCTTCAAAGCTCAAATGAAGGATTCAAGGAATTTAACTGTCAAGTGAAAGTAATATCAAGTTCCTACATGTTAGTAATGCTGGTAGAAATGCTAGGAATTGGCCGGGCACGGTGGCTCACACCTGTAATCCCAACACTTTGGGAGGCCGAGGCAGGTGAATCACAATGTCAGGAGATTGAGACCATCCTGGCTAACACGGTGAAACCCCATCTCTACTAAAAATACAAAAATTATCCAGGTGTGGTAGCATGCACCTGTAGTCCCAGCTACTCAGGAGGCTGAGGCAGGAGAATCAATCACCTCAACCCGGGAGGCAGAGGTTGCAGTGAGCCGAGATCGTGCCATTGCACTCCAGCCTGGGTGACAGAGTGAGACTCCATCTCAAAAAAAAAAAAAGAAAGAAATGCTAGGAATTGCCTGGTCCAACTCCTTGGCTTTACTGTTGAGGAAATAAGCCTGGCTCAGCAGTTTTTCAGTTGTAACATACTGCAAGTGTTTGGAAAGAGGAAAAAGGAGTGGTACTGGGCGTGTCTGTGGGCTTTCAAGCCCTTTATCATGCCTCTTTGCCAAATGGCCTAGAAGTTTAAAAGCTGAGGTTTTTCTTTGTTGAAGGATAGCCTGTGTTATCTTTGGGTTGGGAACTTATTTTGCAATTTACTTGCAAAATAAGAACAATAAAAGGACTATGAAGAGCTCAGCTACAGCTCTTCTTCCATGCAAAACAGGACACCTCATCACCCAGGCTCCATGCTGGGGTTTGATGGTCTCTAAACCTCCTGAAACTGTCTAAAAATTATTGCATATGTACTAGATACCTAAAATTGTCTGGGGATTACAGAAGAATAACCTTCTGTAAGATTAATCAGCAAATAAGTAGAAGAGGGATAACAGAATTAGAAAATCATTTTGCGACTGCCATTATAATAGCACAAGGATCATCAATAGATGCTAAAACTATTAGGTGAAAAGTTTTGGGGGATGAGATAGTACCCATGGTGCCAAAGCACCAATGAATGGATTACTTCCTGACATACCTTCATAAGGAAGAGATCCAGTGGTTATCTTAACTAAGTGACCAAATCCAGCGTCATCAGCAGACGGGGCAAAGTGGCATGTGCTTTCTGGCATGGCACTATATGAATCACACAACATTACCTATGAAGTGTTTGTGCCAAAAATGTTTGACTTGAATGAATCTAGTCAAGACTTTAGATCTAACTTCCAGTTTATAAAAAATATAAAGGAAAGGAATACTCTGAAGTATGTTATAACTGAAAAAGTACCGATGGAGGAATTAAACCACACCATAAGGAAAGAACCAGATAAATCCAGAATGCTGGACATTGCACATGGCAACTGGCCTAGTCTTTTAAAAAGTCAATGTCATAAAAAAAAACCTTCGAAAGAACTGCTTTTGATTTTTACAGACTAAAGAGAAATAATAACCAAATGCAATACGTGAACCTTGATTGGATCCTGTAAAAAGAAAAAAAAGGTTATAAAAATAGTCTTGGAACTATTGTGGGAAATTTGTAAGTAGGCTGGGTGTTAGATCATATTAAAAAATTATTTCCTCTCTTTCTTTTTTTTTTTTTTTTTTTTGAGACAGGGTCTTACTCTGTCCCCCAGAGTGCAGTGGAACTATCTGGGCTCACTGCAACCTCGGCCTCCCTGGCTCAAGCAATCTTCTCATCTCAGGCTCCCGAGTTGCTGCAACAACAGGTGCATACTACCACACTTGGCTAATTTTTAAAGGTTTTTGTAGAGAAGAGTTGCCACTATATTGCCCAGGCTGGTCTCAAACTCCTAGGCTCAAGCCATCCTCCCACCTCAGCCTCCCAAAGTGCTGGGATTATAGGCATGAGCAACTGCACCATGTCTAAAATTATTTTCTTAATGGTATTTACTGAGGTTATGTATGAGAATGCCTATACTTCTTATTTATTTATTAATATATTTATTTATTTTTGAGATGGAGTTTTTCTCTTGTTGCCCAGGCTGGAGTGCAATGGCGCAATCTGGCTCACTACAACCTTCGCTTGCCAGGTTCAAGCGATTCTCCTGCCTCAGCCTCCCTAGTAGCTGGGATTACAGGTGCCCACCACCACATCCGGCTAATTTTTTGTAGTTTTAGTAGAGACGGGGTTTCACCAGGTTGGCCAGGCTGGTCTCAAACTCCTGACCTCAGGTGATCCACCTGCCTTGGCTTCCCAAAGTGCTGGGATTACAGGTGTGAGCCACCGCGCCCGGCTGAGAATACCTGTATTTCTAGGCAATGGATGCTGTAGTATTTAGAGCTCCATGTCTCCCACCTAATTTGAAATGGTTCCTTTCTTTTTTTTTTTTTTGAGACAGGGTCTTACTCTGTCCCCCGAGTGCAGTGGAACTATCTTGGCTCACTGCAAAGCAAAATAAAAAGCTAGAAAAGTTTTCTGGGGAGGGAGCTACAGTTTTCTATCACATTCTTAAAGAGGTCTGTAGTAACCATCAAAAATGGTTAAATCACTGATACAGAGATCATGGTGCTTGACACCTTGTAGAAGCTCAATACACATTTACTGAACAAGTGAATGGATTCAGGGGAATTGCAGACAATGTTAGTTGTATAGAACCATTTGTTTTTGAGAGTCTGCCATAACTAGATAAATGAAACACAGTACCACTTCTATGACCAATCCCTCCCCTTGCTTATACAGACTCCTTCTGAGGAAACTGAGGCTCAGCAGGGTTAAGCAACTTGCCCAAGAGCACATGGCTAGGAAGCAGTGTCTGGTGCCAAGGCCTCTGCTCAATCCACTACACTCTCTTCCCTACCCAGGCACACTGTAAAATGGGGTCTAATACCAGCTCCTTTGTTAGGAAGCTCAGATGAGGTCATCTACATGGAAGGGCTTTGTAAGCGGAGTAATGCTGACAAAAGAAAGGGGGCATATATTCTGCTGATACTGACCAAAAGCACCCTAGCCTTAGCTATGACAAACTTTCACATATGGGGTGAGCAATAAAGTGTCCCTGTTGGACAGTAGTTTTCCTTCTTAGTGATAGAGGATCTCAAGATTTCAGAATTAGGAGAAATGAGGTTGAGTATGAGAGATGTGAGCAGACCAGAATAACCGCTCCCCTTCCCCATACACAATTCTGTCCGGTCCAATGCAAAATTCACCCTCTCCAAAAACTCTTCCCCAACTTACCGCACCCTGCTATGGTTCTGCCCTTTTATGCCGTCAGTATATTCTCTGTGATCTCAACAGGTTTCCACAATAAGAGGTAAAACCATTACCCTTCTCTCCATTCCTGACTCCTGGGCAGACAGAAACCAAAATCAGAGCCAAAAAAAAAAAACCTCAGAGATGACCCACTCCACCCCCACTCCCTTTACTCAGATGAGAATTCTGAACCTGAAGAAGTCACTTCATGAACTCCCTTGCACCAGAGGTCACACATCCCTGCTGGGGGTGAGGGGGTATTTTTCTGTCTCTTCAATAAACCAGAAGCGGCCGGGCGCGGTGGCTTCTGCCTGTAATCCTAGCACTCTGGGAGGCAGAGGCGGGTGGATCACCTGAGATCGGGAGTTTGAGACCAGCCTGACCAACAAGGAGAAACCCCATCTCTACTAACAATACAAAATTAGCCAGGTGTGGTGGCGCATGCCTATAATCCCAGCTACTGGGCAGGCTGAGGCAGGAGAATCGCTTGAACCCAGGAGGCGGAGGTTGCAGTGAGCTGAGATCACGCCAATTGCACTCCAGCCTGGGCAACAAGAGCAAAACTCCATCTCAAAAAATAAAAATGAAAAAATAAACCAGAAGCTAGCTGCAATTCTATAGAACCAGGAAGATGCAACAAACAAGCCCTGCAATGTCCTGGTACCCTCCTCACAGGCAGAACTGCAGACACTCCCTACCTTTCTCTAAGAGGTTCCCTTTTCCCTGAAATCCACCCCTCCCCTATAAGTCTCTGGATCTCATAAATACCTAATCTGCATATGTCAACAGACTGGTCAAGGTGACACCATGTAATTTCAAGATGTGGATGCATGCACGATTATTGGCTCCAAGAATAATCACTATGAGCTACAAAAACTAGCTGAAAGCCGGGCACGGGGGCTTGTGCCTGTAATTCCAGCACTGTGGGAGGCTAAGGCAGGAGGACTGCCTGAGCCCAGGAGTTTGAGACCAGCCTGGGTAATATAGTGAGACATTGTCTCCAAAAAAAGAAATTAGCTGAATTAGCTGGGTGCGATGGCACATGCCTATAGTTCCAGCTACTTAGGAAGTTGAGGCAGGAGGATCTCCCGAGCCCGGGAAGTTGAGGCTGCAGACAGCCATGACTGCGCCACTGCACTCCAGCCTGGGTGAAACTCTGGCCTGCCTCCGGCTCCTAGATGCCACCCAGAGAGGTGCCCTGGTAGACAGTGAATCCCAAATGTGGACTCTGGGGCCCAAGAAAGTAAATGGAGAGGCCTGGGTTTTCATCCTGGCCTCCAGGGTACCAGTTCAGGCCTCTCTTGAGTATCCCAAGCTGCTTCTCAAGCATATGTCTGGACCTCCAAACAAGAGCAAAGCACCTGTAATCCCAAAGCACTTAGCCTAGAGCTCCATTCCCTGTGGGTACTCCATTTAAGGGCTCCTGGGTCCCAGATTAATCCCCATATTTTAATCTGAGATAAGCAAACTCTCCATGGGGTAAACTTCCGTGAGACACCTCTAACAAACCTGGAGAGGCCAGAATTCGGGGCAAAAAGCAAGTGATCTGGATGTGCATACTAGGAGTGACTGCACCCCTACTGGCCAGGCCAAAGGCCTGGATCCCAGGCTGTCCCAGGAGATCCCAGTGACTGTGGATGATGCGTTCTTGTGGTCACACTTGGCTTACTTTCCCCACGGAGCCGAGCATCAGTGGTGCTCTGAAGCACAGTGCAGGCCACAAAAACTACCAGGGCTCTGAACGCTAGAAATCCCCACAGGGCTCAAAGAGGGGCAGGAGGTAGCAGCCAGCTGGGAGGTGGATGAGACAAGGCGTTAAATTGCCCTGGTCTTGTGGCTGACCCACAGGGGAAAATTGAGGGTTCTTCATATTTGTGCCAGAATATCTGTCTAATGTTGAATCATGAACCAAGCTCTCTTGTCTAAAATATTCCTAAGTGTCACTTGGTGCTTTGCACCAAATATAGGAAGGAATCCTTTATCATCTTGTGGAATGGTTCAAACCTTGACTACACATCAGATTTGTAGTCTTCAAACTGGTGAGTCTTCAAAACATACCTAGACCAACTGACTTAGGATCTCCAGAGGTGGCCCAGGCTCTGGTATTAAAAAACAAACTTCCCAGGAGATTCTAAAGTCTATTCAGGACTGTGAATCACTAGAACCCCTTATTTACAGAGGAGGACAGTGAGTGCCAGAGCCTCGGACTCATTTGCCCAGCAGCAGAGCTGGCTGGCAGCAAGGCCAGCACTAGCACGAGGTGGGGTGAGGTGCACCTCCCAGCTCTGGGCTCCTTCCATTCCACCATACACTGCACTTTGGTGCCTGGAAAATGAACTCTTCCCTGCCCATATGGAGTGCTGTGGAGGGTTAGCCTCACAGGCAGAGGAAATCATCCGCCGGAGAAAGGGTAGCGGTGAATTTGAGGAGCTGACAATTGGCCACAGGTGGAGTGCAGTGAGGCGAGCAGAGGAAGGGTGGAGAAACAGGAGGGAACAGATTATGCAAGACTGTGACCCAGGTTAAGAATTTTGGACTTTATCCTAACAGCCCTGGGAAGCCATTGAGGGTTTAAGCAGCAGGATGTTGAAAGTTATTCAACAGCTAGCAGATGTTTATTAGGTGCCGACTATGTGTCAGGCACCGAGGTTACAGCAGAGAACAAAAGTGGCAAACTCCCTGTCCTACCAGAACTTACATCCAGTGACCTGAGGAATCCTTTAGAAGCTGAAATCAGATCCAACTGTGGGATCATCAAACCCTCAAGGGTTTCCTGATTTACATAAACCTCCTCTCCCCTTTGCTGCCCCAGTGCTGCAGCCACTCTGGCCTTTTGATCCTCAAACACACTCGGTCACGTGTTAAACTGCCAATCTGCCCGGGTGACCAACCAGGTTAAACCCCTCAATGGCTTTCTGGTGCTCCAGGAATAAAGTCAAAACTCCTGTCCTTCCTTTCTTCTGTGAGGAGGCTGTCCCAGGAGATCCTAGCTGGATTCCCAGATAATCATGGCCCAGCCTGTGTCTCCAGGCTCATTTCCTGCCACTCCCCACCTCAAACTCACAGCCAAACCAAACCGCTCTCCATGCCTCAAAGTGCTATGCTCTTTCCTGGCTAAGCCCTTCGACAATGTAATTCCTTCTGCCTAGAACACCATCCCTTTCCCACTTAGCAAATGCCTTTTCTAGCTTGAAGTCTCAGCTGAAAGCCACCTCCTCTGGCAATTCTTTCCTGACCTGTCAGATTGGGTCCACATGTAGTCTAGTTATACAGCCCCAAAACACCCCATGCTGCACCCTGTACTTCTCTGCAGTTTTAAGTCCTGACTTATTAGTGTAATTACTCGCTTAACACCAGCTTTTTCCATGAAACAAGGAGAGAGATTGTGTCTGTCTTATCACCAGAATCTACATATTACTTGGCACAGAGTAGACAATAAAAACTGACTGAGAAAACAAAGCACAAGCACAGAGTATCTGACACAAAGAAGATGCTTCCTACACATCTGCTGAAGGAATGCGAACAATCTTAGCCACCTGCCCTTTCTCTCCAGCAAGATGGTAGTAAATTGGTAGAGAGAGAAGCAATTTCTTCATATTCCCTGTAGCAGCAAGAACAGTGGGCTGCACGTCACCAGCAAATCATCGTATCCAAGGTTTCGCTCCAGCAACTTACAGAAACCAGGAGAAGAAAAAGCTGTGTCTGAGAAAATGGTTGTTGTGGAGTAAATTGTAATAGTGAGAATCACTCCTTCCCTTTTCTTTAGTTTTAGACCTAGGTATACACCCCATAAACAGAGTTTATTTTCTCAGGTTTTGAGCCTCAAATGAATGGAATTTTTTTCCTTTTTTTTTTTTTTTTTTCCATGTATTTGGGTGGGGGGCTGTCAACATGTTTGTGAGGCTCATCCATGTGATTATGAGCTGATTTTACTTAATTGCTGCTCTCTAACTATACAATTTTTAATGCAGTCTACTGATAGCCATATGAGTTGTTTCCAGTTTGGGACAATTACAAACACTGCTTCAGTGAATATTTCTGCATACATGTTCTAGCACACACAGGCAAGATGTACCCTCAATTTGACTAAGCAGGCCAAACTGTTTCCAAAGTGACTATAGTGCTATGTAGTCTGCTCAGCAGGCTATGAGCACTCATGATGCCCCACAGCCTCACCAACACCTGATAATATCAGCTTTAATTTTTGCCACTCTGGAGGATGGGATATAGAATATGTGTGTGTGTGTGTGTGTGTGTGTGTGTGTGTGTGTGTGTATTTAACTCCCCAAAAGGAAACAGCATGAGACAGGCCCAATAACAGGCCAAGGAATCCTATAGCAGCAGACCAGATATTGTGCTCCTCGACCCAACCAGTAAATGTTGTAAATGTTTATCTTTGGGGAGAGAAGGGGAAGGGCCCACCCAGCTTCTGTTCTTCTTTCCCTTGGTAACTTACCATCTATGAGTTAGTGAGATGGAGACATCCTAACCATTAATCCAGGGAAAGGGAGGAATCTAAGCCATCAGCAAGGGAGTTAGTGCTTTTCATCAAATTTGAGACACCTGTGACATCACATTTTAGCATCTCTGAAATGTGATCAATTGCATGTCATAATTTAACTGGCAAAATATTTTTTTGATGTGGAGCATAAAATAAGGGCACATAAAAGATTTGGTGGTGCTGTGGTTTGAACATGTCCCCCAAAAGTTCACGTGTTGGAAACGTAATTGCCAATGTAACGGTATTAAGAGGTGGGGTCTTTAAGACGTGACTGGGTCATGAGGGTGTAACTCTCATGAATGGATTAATGCCTTTCTTGCAAGAGTCCATTGGCCAGAACCGTGAGCTGAATAAACATCTGTTGTTTACAATTTACCCAGTCTGTGGTATTCTGTTACAGCAACAGAAAATGGATTAAGACAAATAGCATCTTAGATTTGGTGAGATGTGGCATATTTCCTAAAAAGTGCTGCCAGGATCATCCTTCTAGCACACAGGATCTCATCCTTGTTATTCTCCTGCTTCAAATCTCCTAGCTGAGGCTGGGTTTGGTGCCTCATGCCTATAATCCTAGCACTGTGGGAGGCTGAGGCAGGAGGATCCCTTGAATCCAGGGGTTCAAGACTAGCCTGGCCAACATAGGGAGAGACTGTCTCTAAAATAAAATAAATAAATAAAAATAAAAATAAAAATAAAAACAAACACACCAAAAAAACTCCTACTAGCTGAGGTCAAAACTGCACAGGTGGCCGGGCACGGTGCCTCACGCCTGTAATCCCAGCACTTTGGGAGGCCGAGGTGGGCAGATCATGAGGTCAAGAGATCGAGACCATCCTGGCCAACATGGTGAAACCCAGCCTCTACTAAAAATACAAAAATTAGCCGGGCATGGTGGCACGCGCCTGTAGTCCTAGCTACTCGGGAGGCTGAGGCAGGAGAATCGCTTGAACCCAGGAGGCGGAGGTTGCAGTGAGCTGAGATCACGCCACTGCACTCCAGCCTGGGTGACAGAGCGAGACTCTGACTCAAAACAAAAAAAAAAAACTGCACAGACATCCTCCCCTGCCCTGCATCCGGCTAGCCCCAACTTACCCATCCAGCCCCAAATCCCTCCTCGTCCTACCTAATTCTCTGGCCATTAGATACACTGAACCAGGAAGACAGCCCCTTCTTCACTCCCCACTCTCCACCCATTCCCTTGTACATGCTCTTCTCTCCAGTCCAGCGCATCCTTGAAGGCTTGAATACAATTTGTCCCCTTATCTGTGAGGTGTTTCCTGTACCCATCCCACCTCTGAGTTGAATGTATCCCTCCTCCTGCAGCTTTGCATACACTGTATTTCTACAATAGCACTATCACAGTGCTTCATACAGTAGCACCCCCCATCCGCTAAAGATACATTCATACAGGAGTCCCCTCAATCCTCAGGAGATGCATTCCAAAACCCCCAGTGGATGTCTGAAACCTGTTTCTCCTACACATACACACTTGTAATAAAGTTTATAAAGTAGGCACAGAAATAGATTAACAATAATAACACAACAGAATAACAATATACCGTAATAAAAGTTATATGCATGTGGTCTCTCTCTCTCTCAAACTATCTTGTACTGTACTTACCCTTCTTGTGATGAAGGAACAGTGGGAGGGCAAGAGATTTCATCATGCTACTCAGAACAATGCACATCTAAAACTTATGAATTGTTTACTTCTGGAATTTTCTGTTTACTGTCTTTGGGCTGAGGTTGACCATGGGTAACGGAAACCACGGAAAACTAAGCTATGGATAAGTGGCTGTAATTGATATTTTTATCTGTCTTCTCTCCCACCAGAATGTGAACCCAAAGGTCATGCCTCACTGACCTTTTTATCTCCAATATCTGGCACAAAGTAGGGGGTCTGCAAATGTTTGTGAAATGAATGACCTCCTCTAATTCCAGAGCCCTGCCATCTCCATTCTTCCCCCTTTCACTACACACCCCCCTTTCCCACATTAAAATTCTGCTTCAGCAGCAGGCTTCCAGGGCTCTCTTTAGATTAGACATTCTTGCCCACACACATTACCTAGATATCTCTTGGCCTCCCTCCACACACACACAATTTTGGGGGGAAGAACAAAATTCCATTTCTATAAAGCTGGCAAAATCTAATTCATCCTGATGCCAGCCAATTTATGTTTTTGTCTTCTCAAACCAATTTCCCATTCTCCGTGTCTTTTCTATTCTGATCCTGGGGGGGTCCAAGTCTGAAGTCATTCCAAGAAGCCTCAATACAGACCATGGACTCTCTTCGGGGGTTTGCAGTGTCTTCTGTGGTGGTCACACACAATCTGAGTCCAACCTGTTACTCCCCTGCAGGAAGTGATATCTAAGAAGTCACCCACTGCCTTAGGCCTTCAGTCTCCTTACCTCTTAACAAGGGGAAAATATTTTGCCAAGTTTACCAGGCTATTTGAGGTTGAGGCAAGGTCACATAAGTACGAGTGTCTCATTAGCAAAAAGCTCTATAAAAATACTATGAAAGAGCACAGGAGCCAATGTGAAAAGAGCTCCCAACAGCCAAAGCCACAGTAATTTGAGCAACAAAATTAAGTAGTATTGGATTATAAACCAAAGTATAAAATAAATGTCCCTGAGTCTACACTGAAATTAATGATTGAATAAATTAATAAATTGGGGGAAGAGAGAAACAAATCTTCCATGCAGAATAACTGCAAACAATAATATGTAGATACTTGCCCTCAAGAAGGGGGAATATAACTCTTGGCTCCCTAGGTATGGGCTGCACTTAGTGACTTCCTTCTAAAGAGGACAATACACGCAAAGAGTGGAAAAGAGACTAACTGTACAGTGGAGAAACCTGAAAAACACTATCTCACCCAAATCAATATTAAGTCATAAATCATGTTAGTACATGCCCTTGATACGATGGGATGATAATGGCAATCTACCTCTGTGGTCTTCCTCCCAGTTACCCATAAGCCCAGTCTTAGGAGAAAAACATCAAATTCCAATAGAGGGGCATCCTACAACATACACGACCAGTATTCTTCAATGCTGTCAAGGTCATCAAAACAAGTCTGAGAAACTCCCACAGCCAAGAGGAGCATAAGGAGACATGACAACTAAATGTAATGTGGTAACCTCCATGGGATCATGAAACAGAAAAAGTACTGAGGTAAAAACTAAGGAAATCTGAACACACTATGGACTTTGGTCAATAATAATGTATTGATATTGGTTAACTGCAACAAATGTACCACACTGAGGTAAGATGTTAATAACAGGGGATCCGGTTTGGAGCATGTGGGAAGTTTGTACTATCTTCTCAATTCTTCTGTAAATCTAAAAGTGTTGTAAGAAATAAAGTCTACTTAAACAATAAAATTGCAATTTTTGAAACATAAAAAGCCTATTTTTTTTAAAGGTGATTTTTTTGAACTTGGGGAAAAACATGTTAGGGATTATGATTTCAGCTAAGAGTTAAAAACAGGAGGTTAAGGCATGCATAAACGAATGTCATTCTCCCCTCTTTTGAAGTACACACAAATCGTGGGTCAAAATTTGAAATCTACTGGAGATTTGGAAGTGTGTCCCTCCCATTTACTCCACAGAGTTAAATTTACACTTTTTTTCTAAGGCCAAATAGGGAGAAAATCAGTAAGAAAAATGCTAATGAGCTGGAAGGAGTGAAAGCACAGCTCCAAGTATTTGTGGCTAAACCGGTTTACTCCGAACAAAAAAAAAAAAAAAAAAAAGAAAGAGAAAGAAAGCATGACACTTTGGTCAGGGAGCTGGATTAGTCGCCTATCTACCAGGCTCCAAGCAACCGGACGGTCATCCAGGCCCCGCTTACTTCTGGTTCCGCAGACTAGAATGGATGGGAGTCTGAGTAGGATACCAGAAAGCGAGAAAGACCCAAGAGGAGGGGGAGAATGTAAGGACAAGCAAACAGGAGGGATCTGGCTGGCAGGGAGGACGCAGCGAACTTGACCCCCTCCTGAGCCCGCCCGGGGGCCTGGCCCCGTTTTGAACCCGGGCCCGGCGGCTGCGTTGGGTCGCCCCAAACCCGGTGAGCGTACGAGACTGTTGCTTCGCTGTATGTCTCATGTGCACCCCCTACTCACCGGTCCCGAGCTCCGGGCCGCGAATCCCGGCCGGCACCCCTCCTCTCTCACGGCGGTCTGTTCCGGGTCCCGCTCCTGCACGAGCAACCAGCGCGACAGCTCGTCCCCGCCCCGTAATCTCCCGGCTATTCGGGGCCCTTCGCCGAGATTTCTCCCGGACCAGCCCCGGGATTGGCTCCTGCCGAACTTCGCCATCCAATGGGAACCTTAGTCTCTTTTACGTCACTGATCACCGGGCAAATCCCCAGACAGCCGCGGGCGGTGGGGCACCAGGGGCAGCGAAATGGAAACTGAAATCAGGCGGGACCGAGGCTGCGCCAAGAGCCGCAGCCTGAGTTTGGCGCGTAATTGGGGTGGCCTGTTACACGGTCTAAGGGAGTAAATGCTAAGGCTTAGGAGTCACCTACGTAGGACTCTTGAGAGGGCAATAATCCCCTTTCCACCTCTCGAGACCCCTCACTGCCCAACTCTGGCCTTATGCTGGATCAGGGTCCGAGGGCGCTTTGAGGCGAAGGTGGCGCTCGCCAGGTGCTCAACATTAAATACGAAGTCCCCGCCCCTAACGTGGCCTAAATTTGCTTCCAGGACAAAGCAGGATTTTAGCAAGCAAATACTCTCAGAGACCTATTTACGAAAATTATTACTTCCTAGGTAAAATAACGTTCAACCAGACAGCCATTGTCGCCATTCGACGGAAGGAAAAACTGAGGTTCCAGGAGCTTAAGGGTCTGGGCCCAGTTCAGGGGGGTTGTTTTCGCTCCTCGACGCTGAATTTAGAAACCAGAGGCTACAAAGCGGGCCGAGACTTGGGTTCCCCAGGTCCTTGGTGGGGAGGTTTCCAGGAGGCTCGGGCGCGCCCCCGTCCACGGCCCCGGAAGCTGACGTCGCCGAAGCGTACGCCGCTGCCCAGCCTGCGCTCTCTTCCTGCTCTGCCTGCAGCCGCCGCGTCCGGTCCAGCCGCAGGGCCATGCCCTGTGCTGCGGTTGCCGTGTCCCAGGCGCCGCCGCGTCAAGATCCCCGTCTTTCCCGGCCAGCCAGGCGGCAGCGGCATTCAGCTCGTGCACTGGGCTGGCAGCAGGCTGAGAAGAGGCGGCGCAGGTTCTCCGGGTCAGCCAGTGCCCTGCTCCTAAGGGTAGAGATCTAGCTGGGGACACTGGTCGTCCGCCTAGGCAGTGGTGAGAGGGTGGGCTACAGTTGTTTGGGTATTCATGAATGGAGGAGCTCAGGGTCCTAGACCCTAAAACCTGCTGAATCTTCACCCCTCCTCCGCTGGGGGTAGGGAAATTTGCACTGCATTTAAGCAATGTATAGTGAAGTGGGTGGGACATTCAGAAGAAACCACGCCCACATTTAACACCCGCGTCCTTCCCTTCTACCCCAGCCCAGCATTTTGTCTTTTTCCCCTTTGTCCAGCAGTATAACTCACGCTGCCCCTCCGGGCTGAGAGGAGTGTAGACCTCACCTGCTGAGCACAACTCTGGCGGGCCTGTGCTCTGGAGGTGGTCTCAGCACCTACCTAGACCCTCTTGATACCTGCTTTTTTAGTTGGTGGTGTGGGAAGAAAGTGTGTTTAACATGCTCCTTAAATAATGCTCTGCCGCCGAGCGCGGTGGCTCACGCCTGTAATCTCAGCACTTTGGGAGGCCGAGGTGGGCGGATCACGAGGTCAAGAGATCGAGACCATCCTGGCCAACATGGTGAAACCCCGTCTCTACTAAAAATACAAAAATTAGCCGGGCGTGGTGGCGCGCACCTGTAGTCCCAGCTACTCAGGAGGCTGAGGCAAGAGAATCGCTTGAACCCGGGAGGCGGAGGTTGCAGTGAGCCGAGATCGCCCCACTGCACTCCAGCCTGGGGACGGAGCGAGACTCCGTCTCAAAAAATAATAATAAAATAAAAAATAATGCTGTGCCACTAAGCGTTTTCTCCCTGTCCTGAGGTCTTTGGCCTATTCACAGACCATTCTGGGCAGACTCCAGCCACAAATCCACCACCCCACTTAAAATTCTCTATCCTCTCAGCACACTTAGAGGGGCATGGAAGACTCTTGCAGGGGCTGGGGCTCCTGACATGACAGCTCTGCTTAACTCTCTGACCTCCCTCATGCCACTTCTCCCTCGGTCCCTGTGCTTTCACCTTACACCTGGTCTTGAAACTCCCTGCCCCAGCCCCTTGCATGGCTGCCCGCTTCTTGTCAGTCATGTCTACATCTCAGAAAGGTCTTCCTCCCTCACCCAGTTGAAACCAGTTCCCCATCATGCATTATTCTGTTTCCCTTTCTTCATGCATTTGTTGCCATTTGAAAGCACCTTGTTCATTTCTTTGTCAATGTGTTTATTTTCGATCTTCCTCCCCCTCAGTGTACGCCCCAAGAGAGTTGAGACAACACCTGTCTTCCATGCACATGGCTTCCATGTAAATAAATGTTTGTTAAATGAAATGAGCTCAGTGTGGGCATTTCTTTTTCTTTTTGTAAAAAAATTTTATTATTATTACACTTTAAGTTTTAGGGTACATGTTCACAACGTGCAGGTTTGTTATCATTTAGCATTAGGTATATCTCTCCTAAAGCTATCCCTCCCCCCTCCCCCCACCCCACAACAGCCCCTGGTGTGTGATGTTCCCCTTCTTGTGTCCATGTGTTCTCATTGTTCAATTCCCCAGTGTGGGCATTTCTAAAGCTGCCTGGCCCTGCTTGGCTGGGTATCAGTCATGCACTGAGTCCCTCTCCCACCACACTACATCTTGATTGATACAGCTTCTCAAGTCCAAGTAAGGGTAACAGAAATGGATGCTGGGAACACAATTTCTGCTTTGTGTTGGAGGAGACAGCTTTGGAGCAGCTTTGTAGCTTTGTGCCCCTCTACAGCTTCCTGCTTCATTTAAGGTTCTGAAGCAGAGTTGAAATTCCTTCCTCCAGCTCTCCATTTCTGTGGTCATACCAGATGGAGGCCAAGGCAGCATATGGGGCTGGGTAAGAGTTCTGCGTTGAATTCTCCAGTCTGCCACATTCTGTGAGGCTTTGGGGCAGCTGCTCAACCTCTGTGTGCCACAGGTTCTTCTTCTGTAACATGGAAGTAGCTAGATCTGCTTCGTACGGTTATTATGAGGCTTAAATGTAAAGCTTTGAAATAGTGAATCAGTGCTGACTAGGCCAAAGGGTATGGTATAATTATTTGCATTTGAAATAAATATCTTAAATGGAGCAAGAAGATTTAGTAGGTATATTCCTTGAGCAGCTCTGGTTTAACCTCAGGAGGAACTAAAGGCCGCTGTCTAAAAATGAGTTTGTATATGACAGGGTACAGGAAATGCCACCCCAAAATATGGCACCTTGGAAATTGAGAAAATAGCAGAAACAGGAAGGTTTCTCTGACCTCTTGCTCCTTTCTGCCCTGAAGCAGGCCATAGAAACTAGAGTTCCCCTCGCCCCTTCTTCCCTGAAGCAGGCCACAAAATCTAGGAAGGTCACTCTCTGACCTGCTCCCTCCTTCTCCCTCCTTCATCTGAGGCCCCTTATATAACAGGCATCCTCTCCTATGCCCTGAGGGAGGGACTGCCACACAGGTATGCCAAGAAGAAACTGAATAGACAGGCCTTTCCAACTTCTCAGTTTATCACCGTTAGCTCATACACTTTTGTCCTTGCAATCATACATCTGCCTGACTGTCTATACAACTACACAAATGTCCCCATTTCTTTGGGTTTTCGTTTCTGAAAGTTCCCATGTCATGTAAAACTTGGATAAAATAAATGTGCATGCTTTTCTCTTGTTAGTCTGTTTTTTGTTATTGAAGTCTCAGCATAAACCTTGTGATGGGTAAGGAAAATATATTAGTTTTTTTCCCCTAAGTTTAGTATAAACATATTGAGCTAAATCATACCATTCAGAATCTCAGGATTTTAAGAATACTAGAGTGCTTGGAAAGAGGCCTCCAAACAAAAAACAAACAAACAAACAAACAAAAACTTGAAAACATGAAACTCCCATTGGTAAAGATGCAAAGAATCTGTTTGAATCTTTTGTGTGAAGGATACCTTGGTATTAGGGCCAGAATGAATAAATGAATATCTGTAAAGGAAAAGGTAAAAGTTACATCAATGAAACAATTTTAAGCCAACATTTCTGTTTTCTGGTAGAGGCATAAGCTAATAAATAATTCTGTGCTACTAAAATCTGCCTGCTTTTGTGCTAAGAACTGGCTGCAGGATAAAAAATAACAGGTTTAACTGTCCTTTTTAAAAGGAAAAAAAGGCATTTTGAATGCTAATAGCATTAACTACTGGGTTTTGAACAGAAAGCGTAGGCTGAACCAATCTCTTATATGACTTGGGATGTCATTTAAAATACTTTGTATTCCAAATTTGGTGACTTTTAAATGTCTATTAGCTCAAAAGTTAGTGAAAATATATTGTATAATATATAATGACAAATTCAACTTAAAAAAAATTTTTTTTTTTTTTTTGAAACAGGGTCTCACTCTGTCACCCAGGCTAGAGTGCAATGGTGCAATCATGGCTCACTACAGCCTCGACCTCCTGAGCTAATGCAATTCTCCCACCTCAGCCTCCTGAGTAGCTGGGACAGATGTGTGCCACCATGCCCGGCTAATTTTTGTATTTTTTGTACAGACAAGGTCTGGCCATGTTGCCCAGGCTGGTCTCAAACTTCTGGACCCAAGCAATCCTCCTGCCTTGGCCTCCCAAAGTGCTGGGATTACAGGCTTGATACAACGCGCCCGGCCGACACTGTAGCATTTTCTAATAGGCCTACGTAAAAATTATCTAATTCTCTAGGGTAGTTTAACTTTGATTTAGTATTTTAGGGTATTTAGAGTACTCCTTAGGGGTAGACATTAACTTGTAGAAAAGTGATATCAATGGAAATGATTCTTGGTCAATAGCAATGTCAATGAATTTTGTTCAGTGGAGGTATAGAAGATGTATGTCCAGTGTATGTATATTCAATCTTCCAAATTCTCTTTGAACTAGTTCTTTTTTTACTAGTCTCTTGTTAGTACATCTTTGATACATGCTCACTTTTTCTTTGTATAGGATACTGTCATTGACTTTTAAAAATTATATTTTGGCAATACATTGCATTTTATTATTATGTCTCTTAATCTTATTATAACAATCTACCCTTCCCTTATTTTCATTCCATTAATTTGCTGGAGAAGCCAGTTCATTTATCCCATAGAATGTTCCCAGTACTGGATTTGGTTGATTGCTTCCTCATGGTATCAATTAACTTGTTCCTCTATTTCCTGTGTATCTTAGATAAGATTCATAAGATAATAAAGGATGCTATGTAGTCATCTCTCATTCTAAGCAATCAAACATTTTCAATATCTTTCACCATATGTCCCTAACCCAGATACTACTAGTCCGTCTCTCTCTGCTATAGAGGTAAGCATCACTCTGCATTTCTGTGATAATCATTCCTTAGCTTTTATTTTTATTTACTTAAAAGGCTTTATCAGATTTGGGGTTTTTGTTTGTTTGTTTTTGAGATGGAGTCTCGCTGTCATCCAGGCTGGAGTGCAGTGGTGCAATCTCGGGTCACTGCAACCTCTGCCTCCTGGGTTCAAGTGATTCTCCTGCCTCAGTCTCCTGAGTAGCTAAGATTACAGGTGCCCGCCGCTATGCCAGGCTAATTTTTGTATTTTTAGTAGAAACGGGGTTTCACAATGTTGGACCAGGCTGGTCTCAAACTCCTGACCTCAGGTGACTCGCCTGTTTCGGCCTCCCAAAGTGCTGGGATTGCAGGCGTAAGCCACCACTCCCGGCTGGGTTCAATTTTTTAAGGAGAATACTTCAAAAGCAGTGCTGTGTACCTATGGTATCACATTTAGAGGTATATGATCTCATCCCACTATTAGTGATGGTAGATTTGATGGAAGATTCAGGTATTGTCAGCCTGATCCCTCCATTCCCCAGTTTGTGAGTTATGGATTTACTGCCTCTCAGCTCCAAAAATGATCCTGAATCTTTTAATTATGTTTTCTTTGCCATCTGGCCCTGAAGCTTTGTCAGTAGAGGGCACTGGAGAGTCATTGCAGGGAAAAACGATTTTGCTTCCTGGTTCTGGTGTGCTGTTTGCCAGGTTCCTGCAGTGAGTGCATGGTTTAGCAGCACCTGCTCCTGCAGCACCCAAAACTTACCTAGTGTCCAGTTACTTCAGTCACAGTCAGCAACACCCAGCAGTGAGCAGCTTCCTTAGGCACCCCTCCTGAAGGGGTTTTATACTGGAGTGTCTCTGGTATGAACAGCTTTTGCCTGCACCCTAGAGAGTGGGTTTCCAGCAAGTTCTGCCATAGCAGAACCACCTTGATGTCTCTACTCTCCCTGAGAAGGCTAGATCCCATCCTCTCTTGTTTTCTCAAAAATGGACTAACCATCTATAAATATCTACTCTCCTGCTTCAGCAAATTTTTTTTACCGTTTCACTGAATTATTCTCATGAGCATACAAACATGTTATAATATATCGCTTTAAAAACCAAAACAAGACAAACTCCTTGATACCATAAGTTTTTTTGTTTTTGTTTTTGTTTTGTAGAGTTTTGCTCTTGTTACCCAGGCTGGAAAGCAATGGCACGATCTCAGCTCACTGCAACCTCCGCCTCTGGGTTTCAAGTGATTCTCCTGCTTCAGCCTCCCCAGTAGCTGGGATTGCAGGCGCCCCCCACCACCACTCCCGGCTAATTTTGTATTTTTAGTAGAGACGGGGTTTCACCATGTTGGCCAGGCTGGTCTTGAACTCCTGTCCTCAGGTGATCCACCACCCCCCTCCCCGCCCCACCCCGGCCTCCCAAAGTGCTGGGATTACAGGCGTGAGCCACTGCGCCTGGCCAGTAACATAAGTTTTTAAAAGGTTTTTGCTTCAGGTACTCTCCTATTTTCCTGCTCCACATTTACAGCAAAATTAGAAAATATTGTCTGTACCTGCCCTCTGTTTCCTTTTCTCTCCTTCTTTAATCAAAAACTGTGAAATATATATTCAAAAGTGTACATATAATCCATATACACATTTTAAAGTATTGATGAGATAATAAAGGATGTTATGTAATCATCGGTCACTCTAAGCAATCGAATATTTCCAATATCTTTTATTACGTGCTCCTAACCAATAGATCACTCTCCCTCTCTCTTTGCTAGAGCTGCATTTTTTTGTGATAATCATTCCCTAGCTTTTATTTTTATTTTTATTTTTTGAGACAGAATCTCGCTCTGTCACCCAGGCTGGAGTGCAGTGGCGCAATCTCGGCTCACTGCAACCTCCGCCTCCTGGGTTCAAGCGATTCTCCTGCCTCAGCCTCCTGAGTAGCTGGGACTACAGGCACGTGCCACCACTCCCAGCAAATTTTTTTGTATTTTTAGTAGAGACAGGGTTTCACCGTGTTAGCCAGGATGGTCTCAATCTCCTGACTTCGTGATCCGCCCCATCAGCCTCCCAAAGTGCTGGGATTACAGGCGTGAGCCACCGCACCCAGCTTTTATTTTTATTTTTAAGAGATTAGGTTTCAGTCAGTCATCCAGGCTGGAGTGCAGTGGCACAATTATAGCTCACTGCAGCATGTGAACTCCCGAGCCCAAGGGATCTTCCCACCTCAGCTACAGGCTCATACCACCACACCTAGTGAGCTTTTCTTTTCGTTTGGTTTCACTTCTTTTTCTTTCCTTTTTTCTTTTTTTTTTTTTTTTTGAGACAGAATTCCGCTCTTGTCACCCAGGCTGGAGTGCAATGGCGTGATCTCTGCTCACTGTAGCCTCCGTCTTCCAGGTTCAAACAATTCTCCTGCCTCAGCCTCCCAAGGTAGCTGGGATTACAGGTGCCCGCCACCACGCCCAGCTAATATTTTTGTATTTTTAGTTGAGACGGGGTTTCACCATGTTGGCCAGGCTAGTCTTGAACTCCTGACCTCAGGTGATCCACTTACCTCAGCCTCCCAAAGTGCTGGTATTACAGGTGTGAGCCACCGCGCCCGGTCCCAGTGAACTTTTCTTCTTATTATTATTTTTGTAGAGATGGTGTCTAGCTATGTCGCCCAGGCTTGTCTCAAACTCCTGGCCTCAAGCAATCCTACTGCCTCAACCTCCCATAGTTCTAGGATTAAAGACAAGCCACCACACCGGCCATCCTAGCTTTTCTTTTTATTTATTTATTTATTTATTTATTTTTTATTTTTTAGTGTTTATTGATCATTCTTGGGTGTTTCTCGGAAAGGGGGATGTGGCAGGGTCATAGGATAATAGTGGAGAGAAGGTCAGCAGATAAACACGTGAACAAAGGTCTCTGGCTTTCCTAGGCAGAGGTCCCTGCAGCCTTCCACAGTGTTTGTGTCCCTGGGTACTTGAGATTAGGGAGTGGTGATGACTCTTAACGAGCATGCTGCCTTCAAGCATCTGTTTAACAGCACATCTTGCACCGACCTTAATCCATTTAACCCTGAGTGGACACAGCACATGTTTCAGAGAGCGCGGGGCCGGGGGTAAGGTTATAGATTAACAGCATCCCAAGGCAGAAGAATTTTTCTCAGTACAGAACAAAATGGAGTCTCCTGTGTCTACTTCTTTCTACACAGACATAGTAACAATCTGATCTCTCTTTCTTTTCCCCACATTTCCCCCTTTTCTTTTCCACAAAACTGCCATTGTCATCATGGCCCATTCTCGATGGTCGCTGTCTCTTCGGAGCTGTTGGGTACACCTCCCAGACGGGGCAGCCGGGCAGAGGCGCTCCTCACTTCCCAGACGGGGCGGGTGGGCAGAGGTGCTCCTCACATCCCAGACGATGGGCGGCCAGGCAGAGATGCTCCTCACTTCCCAGACGGGGCAGCTGCCAGGCAGAGGCGCTCCTCACTTCTCAGATGGGGCGGCTGGGCAGAGGCGCTCCTCAGTTCCCAGACGGAGTGGCGGCCGGGCAGAGGCGCTCCTCACATCCCAGACGGGGCGGCCGGGCAGAGGAGCTCCCCACTTCCTAGATGGGGTGGCAGCCAGGCAGAGGCTGTAATCTTAGCACTTTCGGAGGCCAAGGCAGGCGGCTGGGAGGTGGAGGTTGTAGCGAGCTGAGATCATGCCACTGCACTCCAGCCTGGGCAACATTGAGCACTGAGTGAGCGAGACTCCGTCTGCAATCCCAGCACCTCGGGAGGCCAAGGCGGGCAGATCACTCGAGGTCAAGAGCTGGAGACCAGCCCGGTCAACACGGTGAAACTCCGTCTCCACCAAAAATACAAAAACCAGTCAGGCATTGCAGCGCATGCCTGCAATCCCAGGCACTCGGCAGGTCAAGGCAGGAGAATCACGGGAGCCCAAGGCAGGGAGGTTGCAGCAAGCTGAGATCATGGCAGTACAGTCCAGCCTCTGCAACAGAGGGAGATCCAAGGGAAAGGGGGAGAGGGAGAGGGAGAGGCCAAGGCCTAGCTTTTCTTTATACTTCCTTGATACATGTATGTATCCCTAAACAGGATATTGTCTAGTTTTGCCTATTTTTAAACTTTGTATACGTGGAATTGTAATGTATGTGTTCTTCTGTGACTTGTCTTTATTTCTGAGATTCACCATCTTGATGCATATAGCTTTGGCTTGTTCATTTTCACTGCTGTGTGGTATTCCAAATTTGAAAGTCCCATGTTTTTTTCTTCTCCATTTTACTATTCTTAGAACTTGGTTTGTCTTCATAGTTTTGCTGTTATGACCAATGATGCTATGAACATTCTCATACATGTACCCTGGCACATACCTGCAAGACTTTTTAGAATATGTAACTAGTAATGAAATTTCTGAGTCTTAGAATGTGGTTGCAGTATATATAGTGTTACTTTGTGAGGGGAGACTATTTCCCAGGGGTTGTATAATCTACATTCCCTTTAGTGGCAGATGAAATTCCCATTAAACCACATCTGCAACTTCACTTGGAATTGTCAGACTTTTGACTTTTTGCCATTTTGATGTGTGTGAAATGTTATCGCATTTGGTTTTAATGTGCATTTTCCTAATTATTAATGAAGCTGAGCATTTTTCTTTTCTTTCTTTTTTCCTTTTTTTTTTTTTGGCCAGTTGTATTTCTCTTTCTGTATAGTGTCTTTTATGTTTTTTATACTTTCTTCTATTGGCTATTTTTAGTTTTCTTTTGGATTTGTTACCAAAATGCCAAGGGTTTGGTCTAGGTTGCTCACTGCACAGTAAGCCAATCACTGAGACAACAAGTATTGTGAGGGAAGAAGGCTTTATTCAGGTGTTGCAACCGAGGAGATTGGAGATCAGTCTTAACTCTGTCTCCTCTTTTCAACAGATTAAAATTAAGGGTTTATAGAGCAGGGAAGAAAGGTAACTACATATGGGAAAACAGGAATTAGGGAGGGGTAAGGAAGAGGAGTTGGTCAACAGGCAGCCTGGGGTCAGTTAGGCAGTCATGAAGGGTGAGGGGTCTGGTGTCTTAGCAGATGCAGTGAAAGGTAAGTTTCAGTTTCCTGATACTACCAGGGAGCCCTGATCATCAATTTCCTGAGAAAGGAACTCAGATAAGACAAATGTAAGTTTCTCAAGTTTTAAGACTTGTAGGGTAAATTTCTATGTTTATTAAAAGAAAAAAAACATAATCAGTCCTATGGGACAAATGGGTTGGTTTCAGATTTATGGGAAATATTTGTTTTTTGTATATTCTGGACACTAATTCCTTGTTGGTTATATGTGTTACAAACATCTTCTTGGAGTTTCTGGCTTGTTGTTTCTCTCTATGTCATCTTTTGAGAAGAGAGAAGCATTTGTTTTTTCATTCTAAAGTAGCTAAACGTATCAATCTTTATGTTTTGGACTCTTGGTCTAGTTTAATAAGTCCTACCTTGTCTTGAGATTACAAAGATAATCTATATTATTGACTAAATATTTTTCAGTTTAGCTGCTATAGACTGAATGCTTGTGTCCCTCCTAAAATTCACATGTTAAAACCTAATCCTCAGTGTGATGGTATTTGGAGGTGGGGCCTTTGGGAGGTGATTAGGTCATGAGATCAGAGCACTACTGAATGGGATTTGTGCCCTTATGACAGAGACCCCAAAGAGCTCCCTTGTCTCTTCCACCATGTGAAGACACAATGAGAAGTTAGCAGTCTGCAACCCAGAAGAGAACATTCATCTGAAACTGACTGTGCACCCTGAGCTCAGACTTCCCCTACCTCTAGAACTATGAGAAATAAGTGGTTGTTATTTAAGCCACCCAGTCTATGGTATTTTTGTCATAGAGGCCTGAACAACTGAGACATTTGCCTTTCATATGTAAATCTTTATATATCTGGAATTAATTTTTGTGTTTAGAGCAAAATATATATTTGTTTCCCCTTTTTTCCATATGGTTAACTAATTATCTCAGTGTGATCTAATGCACAGCCTCTAATTTTCCCCACTGTTTTACACTGCAAGCTCTGTCATATGTTATATATCCATCCATGCCTTCACCAATACTCATTGAGCATCTACTTTATGCTAAGTGCTCTTCTGGGTCCTGGGAATAAAGCAGTGACAAAACAGACAAAAATCCCAGTGGAGCTTGTGTTCTGTTGGAGGAAGGCAAACCACGAACAAAGTAATAAAAAATTTGTAATACTCCGGATGCAGTGGCTCACACTTGTAATCCCAGCACTTTGGGAGGCCGAGGCGGGTGGATCACGAGGTCAGGAGATCAAGACCATCCTGGCTAACATGGTGAAACCCTGTCTCTACTAAAAATACAAAAAATTGGCTGAGCGTGGTGGCACACACTTGTAGTCCCAGGTACTTGGGAGGCTGAGGCAGGAGAATCGCTTGAACCTGGGAGGCAGAGGTTGCAGTGAGCCAAGATCCTGCCACTGCACTCCAGCCTGGGCGACAGAGCAAGATTCAGTCTCAAAAAAAAAAAAAATTTGTAATATTAGATGGTGGTAGGTACTATGAATTAACACAAACCAAGAAGGGGAACAGGGAGTGGGGAGAAAATATTACAATTTTAAATAGGGAGGTTAGAGAAGTCCTTACAGAGAAAGTGATATTTCAGCAAATGCCTGAAAGAGGTTAGAGAGCCAGCTTTGAGAATATCTGAGAGAAATGTGTTCTAGGCAACGGGAAGAGTCTGCACAAAGGCCTTGAGGCAGAAGCATGCCTAGCAAGTATAAGGAGCAGTAGGGATGCCAGTGTGTCTGGACCAGAGTGAAGGAGGGGTGAAGTGCAGGACATGAGGTCATCAGGTGAAGTGCAGGACATTAGCTCAACAGAAGTGAGCGGGTCCAGGCTGGGTAGGACCATGTGGCCCATTCTAAGGACTTTGATTCTACTTTGAGTGAGATGGATGGCACTAAAAGGACAAAGGACTGATAGGCTCTGACTATAGGCTTTAACTCATGTTTTAATTTCTCTGGCTCCTCTGTTGAAAATAGAACCAAGGAAACAAGAATGGAGGTAGCAACATCTGTCAGAAGGCCATTGAAATAAACTAGGCAAGTGATGATGGGGGTTGTGGGAAATAGTCAAGTTCAGAATACATTTGAAGATAGAATTAACACAATTAGGTATGGTGTGATAGGAACAATAGAGACAAGGATTATGCCCAGGTGTTTGGCTTAAGCAACTGGAAGGATGCTGAGATGGGAAAGACTTGATAGAGGGTAGGGGCGTGGGCAGGGACAGACCAGGGGAGAGGATTTGGATCTGATTTTGGATATGCTAATTTTGAGATGTCTATTAGACATGCAAAATGTAGACCAGACTCTCGACTCATTTAAACTACTATTAGTGGCTAGCCTTTTCTCTTACCTTCCAGATTTCTGGGCAACACTCCACTCTTCCTGATGCACACTCTTGCGTTGCAGCCTGGGACTCTACATTTCAAGCAAGATATTCTTACACATAACAAAGCTTGAAAAGCATTGCTTTAAGCTTTCCTTTGTCTCTCCAAGTACCTCCAAATGTGTATTTAATGCTTTTATAATCAGAAAAGTGTTACAAAATCAAATACCCAAAAAAAATTCCCTATTTTCACAGCATACCATACAACTACTTTCTACAGAGTTTCCAACATTTTGCAGTAAAATCATTGTTCACAATTTTTTTGGGTCACAGTTTTTGGCAAATGAAGCATGGTATAGGATGCCTGGGACTGTGGAGTTTCCCAGGACACAGGACTTTCCACGCAAAACCAGAAAGGTTCCGGACAAACCAAGAAGAGTTCTTCACCCCAGACGTGTGAAACCAGTGGCAAAGTGCCTGCTTTAGGGAAGGCAGCATGGGACAGTGAATCAGAGTGGACACTGAACCTGGGTCCATTTGTGGAAGGTGGTCCTGTTACAGGAAAGAGGTCCCAATCCAGACCCCAAGAGAGGGTTCTTGGATCTCGTGCAAGAAAGAATTCAGGGCAAGTCTGCTGGAGTGCACAGCAAAAGCAAGTTCAGTGGTGAAAGAAGAGCTAACCCATAGACAGAGTAGGGCATTCCAGAAAGTAAGAGGAGGAACGCGTCCACCCTAGGTACAATGCTTATATATATATCTTTATATATATATCATATATATATATGATAAAAGAAGATCATGGGAAGATGTGCTCTGCTACAAGAGTTTGTGATAAAGGATTAATTTCCTTAATTACTATGTTTTGCAAGAATCAATATTATTATCTTTAAAGCAAAATTAGAAGTGCCTTTGTTCTCCAGGTGTCAGGATTATCTGGACATTGCTAAATCTGGGTCAGTTTAGTAAACTTTTTTTTTTTTTGAGACAGAGTCTCCCTCTGTTGCCCAGGCCAGAGTGCAATGGCACAATCTTGGCTCACTGCAACCTCCGCCTCCTGGGTTCAAGCGATTCTTCTGCCTCCATTTCCCGAGTAGTCGGGACAGGCACATGTCACCACACCCAGCTAATTTTTGTATTTTTAGTAGAGACGGGTTTCACAATATTGGCCAGGCAGGTCTCGAACTCCTGACCTTGTGATCCACCCACCTCGGCCTCCTGAAGTGCTGGGATTACAGGTGTGAGCCACCTTTCCTGGCCTAGTAAATATTATTAATCTATTCCCTTAACCATAAATGTCTAGAGGCTAGGAATACCTATATTTCTGGAAATGCACCCCGCCAAGTTGCAGCCTCATTTTCCTAGCTCTCACTCAAAATGGCGTCGCTCTGGTTGGAATGCCTCTGACAGTCTTTATGAATGATAAAAGAGTGTAGTCAATCATAAAGCTCTGACTCACTCCCAGTTTGCCCTTTCCTTCCTAGAGAATGTCTTTCAGGCTCTTCCTCCCCTCAGAAGCTTTCAACATCCACTCCATTCCCCTAAACTGGGGACCGAGGACATTGCAGCTTCTTTGGTGCTTCTAGGGACCAGAACATAGCTTCTTTTAGTTATGGATTAGGTTTTTATTGCTGCTGTAACAAATTACCACAAACTTAGCTGTTTAAACAACACGAATGTATTCTCTTACACTTCTGCAATGTCGTTGGTGGGCCAGATTCAGATTCTGGGCCACACAAAAGAATTTGAGAGTGAGTCCAAAATAAGACTAGGCAAAGGAGTTTATTGCAAAGTGAAAGTACACTCTGAGAGGCAGAGTGGGCTGCTCAAAGCTAGCTCAAAGCTAGAGGCAGTAGTTAGTGCCTTAAGGGGAATTTCCTTTGTGGAAACTGTACATACATATTAATAAAATACTGGTGAGATCAAGTAAGCAAAGGCAGACCTGTGGTTAGCACATGAGCTACTTGGTCTAACACGCATCCCATGTATCATTAGCGTATAAAATCCCCACGTGGTGGTGTGTTTTTTGCTATTACAATGAGGAAAAGGTCACCATAAGCTAAACCTTGAGCCTAGCTGTGTATGCAAGACCCTGGAGAATTTCCCAGTCACACCTCCACCCACCCCAACCAAGGCAGGAATTTGTAGCTAATAGCTTCTTGGGCTTTTGGTGCTGATTGGCTGGAGATGGGTAGCTACATCATGAACAAAGGGCTTTCGTTCTCTTTCCCAGGCTGTATAGGGTATCAAGAACTTGTAACCACCTGGCAGAATCCTGCAGGACTGCTTGTCTTGCAAAAGACTTCAGTGCTGATGCAGGAGGGTGCAAGTGAAAAGAATTCACTGTAAAAGGAGCCGTGGGGCTTCACACATGGGACAAGTTAGTATGGCCTCCTAACCTTACTTATCTTGCCTCAGTAGGTCAGAGGTCTGAAACAAGTCTCAATGGGCTAAAATCAAGTTGTCAGTGTGGTTGCATCTCTTTTTGAAGGCTTTAGGGGAAAATTTGTTTCTGTTCATTCTGGTTGCTTGCAGAACTCAATTCCTTGTAGTTGGAGGACTAGGTTCCTGTCTTTTTACTGGCTTTAAACAGAGCTGTTAACAGCTCAAAGGGCTGTAGAATTCCTTGGCTCATAGCCTCTTTTCTCTGTATTCAAATCCAACAACAGTTGGTTATGTCCATCTCATGTCCTATCTCTCTGAGCTACATTCTGCTTCTTCTTCTTTCCACTTTTATTAAAGATTGGTGTGATTAGATTGGACCTCATACGGCCTAATAACCTCCCTTTTTACAAAGTCAACTGATTAGCAACCTTAATTCTCTTTTGCCATATAACATAATATAGTCAGGTTCTAGGGATTAGGACATGGACATCTTGGGGATAGGGACATTCTTCTGCCTTCTACAAGTTATATGGGATATATTGAACCTCTAATATGTGCCAGGTGCTATCATAGGTTCTGGTGATACAGTAATGAACCAAACAAAGGCCCCAACCTTCATGAGTTTATGTCTCAGTGAAATCCCATATGCAATACTATGAATGTATCTCTTTATTTTTTAGTACACCTTAAAAATAGCTTTATTGAGTCCAACTGATATTCAATAAACTGCACATATTTATGTTTTTCGTGCTCTCTCAAGATGTGGAACAAAAAAATAGCACACATATTTTTGTACCTGCCTGGTAAAAATTCCCAAAGCTTTGCTTAATTCTATTCAGGTTGTTGAACAAAATTTACATTAGCAACAAATACCAGGGAATGAAAATAATGCACTTTTGTTGATAAAGTAACAGATTTTGCCTGGTTGTCTTTGGAGCCGTCATGCTCTGTGTGTGTTTCTGCTTCCAGATTTCTTTTTTTTTCTCTCCAACTTTTATTTTAGGTTCAGGGGTACATATGCAGGTTTGTTACATGAATAAATTGTGTGTCACAGGGGTTTGTTGTACAGATTATTTCATCACCCAGGTAATAAGCGTAGTACCTGATGGGTAGTTTTTTGATCCTCACCCTCCTTCCACCCTCCATCCTCAAATAGACCTCAATGTCTATTGTTCCCTTCTTGGTGTCCTTGTATACTCAATGTTTAGCTCCCACTTATAAGTGAGAACATGTGATGTTTGGTTTTCTGTTCCTACATTAATTTACTTAGGATAATGGCCCTCCAGTTCCATCCATATTGCTGCAAAGGACACTATCTCATTCTTTTTTATGGCTGCATAGTATTCCATGGTGTATATGTACTACATTTTCTTTATTCAGTCTACAGTTGATGGGCAGTTAAGTTGGTTCCACGTCTTCACTATCGTAACTAGTAAACTGCATGTATTTAAAGTATATAATCTGATGAGTTTTGACATAGGAATCCACCTGTGAAATCATCACCACAATTAAAATAATGAATATATCTGTCACCCCCCATAGCTTTTCCCTGCTCCTTTGAATTCAACCCATCCTATAATCCATCCCCAGGCAAATACTGGTCTGCTTTCTGTCACTATAGGTTGGCTTCCTTTTTTAGAATTTTACATAAATGAACTCATAATATGTACTCTATTTTTGTCTAGATTCTTTCATCCAGCATAATTATTTTGTGATTAATCTATGTTGTTGAGTGTATAAATAGTCCATTCCTTTTTATTGCCATATAGTAGTTTATTGTATGGATGTACTACAATGTGTCTATTCATTCAAATGTTGATGGAAATTTAGATTGTTTCCAGTGTTGCCTGCTTCTTGTTGCATTTAGCAAAATATTATAAGAAAGTGCAAACTCAGGCAAGAAATGACCAGATTGCAAGCAGAGATTGAAGGAAATAGAGTCCAGAGATGTGAGTCTTTACAAGATTGAGAAATGCTTTTATATTTCAGATAACAGGAAATATGGCTTTAGTTGCTTGTGTTAGGCCAAATAATGACTGTCCCCCCACCAAAATGTCCACATTCTAGTCCCCAGAATCTGTGAATATGTTACCGTACATGGCAAAAGGGACTTTGCAAATGCAATTAAGGACCTTGAGATGAGGAGATCATCCTGAATTATTCCAGTGGGCCCAATTTAATCACATGAGTCATTAAAAGCAGAAGATCTTTCCCAGCTGCAGTAAGAGAGAGACATGTGATGATGGGACAAAGGGTCAGAGAGATGTGTTATATTGCTGATTTTGAAGGTGGAGAAACAGGGCCATAAGCCAAAGAATGCCAGCAACCTCTAGAAGCTGAAAAAGGCAAGAACACAGATTCTCCCTGTGAGCCTCTAGAAGTAATGTGGTCCTACTGATACCTTGATTTTAGCTTAGCGAAACTAGTGTTGGTTTTCTGACTTACAGAACTGTAAGATCATAAATTTCTATTATAAATATATAATATATATTATATTATCATAAATTTATATTTATAGATTATACATTTATATTTAAGCAACTAAGTTTGTGGTAATTTGTTAAATCAGTGATAAAAAACTAATACCTTCCTCTAAGCTTTTCCCAAAGGCCTTGTATTAAGGCAAACAGAAGGACAGACGCCTAAGGAAACAATTAGATTAAAGGAGTTTTCTTCCCACTCAAAGTTGTTACCATTAAATTAAGAGTGACATGAGTCATTCAACAGAGCTTAGAACAAAAGATTTCAGAATCAGACCTAGAAAAGAACTTTGGTTGTGGTCATTGATGCATGAAACAAATAAACAAGAAGCCCTTTTAGTTTTTGAAGAAATTGTATTCCCAAGGAAGCCATAAAGCCTAACATAAAAAAGCCTGTGGTTAAGCTTAAAATAACTCATAGGCCCTCAAATTGCAACCACAGAAGTCAGGCTGCAAAATCTGTACGGGGCAATCCTAAGAAATGAGTACTCCTCACTTCTTCTTATATTGGCTATGGTAGATAATGGAGAAGAAAGAATCTTCCAGAAAGCAAAGCCAGTGGTCAGGATGACAAACAAAGGAGTTCCTCCCACAGAGAGGACCAGTGATAGTCAGATGGACTAAGCTTGGAACTTACTCCATTGAGAGGGCAAGGATAATTTAGGATTCCTACCCAGTAAGATTTAATCATTGCTGTGGGCCAATGATTGTGTGTTTCTGTTTTTTAAATAAGAGTTTCTTTTGCCATTATCCTGTTCTCACTTCACCATTGTATATTATCTGTGTTTACGTGGTAGAGGGTGATAATTTAGATTTTATTACTTTATGGGTCACTGGGCCATGAGGACTCAAGTGTATATCCAATAGAAAACTGCATGTCACCTAAAGATCCTGGATTTTGAGCTGGATGTCATAACTGGATGAGATATTTCCCTAGGGGGTGAGGTGAGTTTTTTCTAAATGTGAAAAGTAGAGTATATGTGGATTATTGGTGACCATTGCTGGTCTGTGTAATGACTTCTAACTGACCACAAAATCCATTTTCCTTCTCTCAAACAAATAAAGTATAGCTGAGACCTGGCCGGACCACATTTCCTAGCCCTCTTTGCAGTTAGATGTAGCCATGTGACTAGGGTCTTGACAAAGGAATATAAGTTGTGATAAATGAAACAGTCACCTCACAGATTAAAGAGACCTTGAACTTCAGCCCTTCTTGAAACCCTTCATCATTGGTTGAAGCAAATTGATCTTGTAATCACATGTTGAAGATAGAAGAACTTCTAATAGCATGCATCCCTAAGTGACTTCATAGAGTACAACCACTCACCATCTTGATAAACCTACCCAGGACTGTTGAGATGGAAATAAACTATTTTGTTTGAGTCATCTCATTTACAGTTTTCTCCATTATTACAGTTTTGTTTTCTACCCTAACATGCAGAATAAAATAGCTATAGGAAGAAGTAAATAGTTTTCATGTATCCAAATCAACATTTAGGTAGAAGATATAACAGAAGAAAAGATACTATTTATAATATCAACAAAAAGATAAAATACTCTGGAATGAACTTACTTTGAAATGTGTGATACCTATATGTAACAAACACTTAAATACTTTAAAAACCTGAAATATTTCTCGAATACATACATTGATCATCATAAAGTTATCATCCCTCCGGGCTAATCTTAATTTAACTTGTAAAAAATAAAAATACCAGAGGTGTTCTTTTTTTTTTTTTGAGACAGAGTTTCACTCTTGTTGCCCAGGCTGGAGAGCAACGGCACAATCTCAGCTCACTGCAACCTCTGTCTCCCGGGCTCAAGCGATTCTCCTGCCTCAGCCTCCTGAGTAGCTGCGATTACAGGCACACACCACCACCCCAGCTATTTTTTGTATTTTAGTAGAGATGGGGTTTCACCATGTTGACCAAGCTGGTCTCGAATTCATGACCTCAGGTGTTCCTCCCTCCTCAGCCTCCCAAAGTGTTGGGATTACAGGCGTGAGCCACCGTGCCCAGCCAGGTGTTCTTTTTAACTAGATAAACTGATTCAAAGATTCATATGAAAAATAAAGAAAGAATACCAACTAAACCTCAGACAAGGGGAGCTTGAGAAAAACTGGCTTTGCCAAATATGAAAACATTCTAAAGCCTCAATAACGAAAAGAATGTGATGTTGGTACATAAACAGACAGATCAATGAAAAATAAAAGGAAATCTAGAAATAGACCCAAGCATACAGTAATTTAGTGGATGATAAAAATGGGATCTCAGATCAGTGGAAAAGATAGATGACCATTCAATAAATGCTTTTGAGATAACTGGATAACTACATGGGAAATAATATTTAAAGTTGGGCACAATTCCAACTGTATAGCATGATAAACTCCAAATGGGTCAAAGTTTTCAATGAAAAAAAGGAAATATTCCTTTCTAACTTTGGAGGAGGGCTATCTAACTGTAACTCCAAATCGTAAAAGCCATAGGACAGAAAATTAATAAACTGAACTACATAAAATAAAAAGCAGTTCCGAGTAGCAGAAAATATCATAAAAAATCAAAAGACAAATGAAAAACTTATAGAAATATTTTCATGCATATCACATCCAAAGAAATGACCTCTTTAGCAATTAAAATGCACCTTAAAATTGAGAAGAAAGAGACTAGCAATCTCTGAAAGAAAAAGTAAAAAGAATTTTAACAGACAATTGTTGTTGAAATTCTGTCTGCTGAAATCCTTTTTCCTTTTTTCTGTCTCGGGAACTGTGAAGAAACTCAGAAAAGGAAACAAAAATAGTTATTAAACACATGAAAAAACACTTAACCTTGCTTTTACCAGAGGAAGAAGAAAAACTACAGGAGATATCATGTCTTTCCTGTCAGATTGGCAAAAAGTTAAAAGTTTGGCAACACCCTCTGTTGACAAGGCTATGGAGAAACAAGCACTTTGATTTATTGGTTATAGGAGTCCAGTTTGGGACAAACCTTTTGGAGGACAATTAGGCAATCAATACCTTTCAAAATTGTTTGTGAATACAGCCTTAAACCTTTCAATTTCATTTTTTGAAACTCATTCTACAGATATAATTATACACATGCAAAAATATTATGTACAAGTTTATTCAATACTGCTTGCCTTAACAAAAGATTGGAAAAATTCATGCACCTATCAATTTGAGACTAACTAAACACTCACACACACACGAACAATGGAATATTATGCAATGAAAATCTAATCACAACGCAGGAGGTCTCTGTGTGCTTTTGGTAAGATCTCCAAGATATATTGTGAAGTGAGAGAATGAGGTGAAGAACGTTGTATAACAGGCTACCTCTGTGTCAAAAAAAGAGGGAATGAAGAGTCATTATTATATTATCATGAAAAAATTGGAAGATACACAGGTAATTAACAAAAGAGATTACCTCTTTGGGGTAAGGTGTAAACTGGACAGATTGTGGACAGGATTCTGAGTGAGATCCTTCACTGTTCAGTCTCCTTTGCATCAGTAAGTGTCTCTTAAAGTAAATGGACAAGTAGAGGAATGGTGTCAGCATAATGTGGAAGCTGCATTGTGTAATATACAATTTCCCCCATATGTTAATGTTCTGCACTGAGTAATAGCAGCTGTACCAAAATAGCAGCCAAGTCCCAAACACGATTTAAGGGAGCAAGCTATGAATACAATGCTGTGCACAATGCCGTTGACTCCTTCTCCACTTTACTCATTTTAGCTACATTCTCTATCCTGAAGTGCTTACTAAGTAGTTCCCCCAATTTTCATGCACTTTTTCTGAACTATTTTGAGAATGGGAATATTAAGATGTTGCCACAGTTCCATAACAACTTGTTGCTGAGATGCCCCTTAAGAGTGGGGAAGAAAAATCCATTAGACTTTAGAATAATTCCACAAGAGCTTTCTTTTTCTACTTTAGGTGTGATTGACATGCATTTGTAGATGTGTTAGTGCAGATTGCACTTCATGGCACAAGGTCCTATTTGGAGCCATAACAGCAGCTTCTTAATGAAAGAAGGAAGGTGGCAATACAGAAAAAAAAAAATCAGGTGTTTTTTTTTAAGCAGGTGCAAAACAAACAAGCAGAAAATAACCATCCAGAGCTACCCATCTTTGTCATCTACATTTTGTGCAAAGCTTCAACTGCTTATCCTCTATAGCTTCTCATGGTGATGTCCCTCCACCTTGTCTCCATAAAGCAGCAGCTTCCATCTTTCCTTATCCCCTTGTATCTTTAGTTCCCCCTTTATTTATTTTATTTTATTTTTTCATTCTTTTAATTGTTATTTTTTTTGAGATGGAGGCTCGCTCTGTCGCCCAGGCTGGAGTGCAGTCGTGCAATCTCGGCTCACTCCAACCTCCGCCTCCCGGGTTCAAGCCATCCTCCTGCCTCAGCCTCCTGGGTAGCTGGGACTACAGGCACGTGCCACCATGCCTGGCTAATTTTTTGTATTTTTAGTAGAGACGGGGTTTTGCCGTCTTAGGCAGGATGGTCTTGATCTCCTGATATCGTGATCCACCCACCTCGGCCTCCCAAAGTGCTGGGATTACAGGCATGAGACACTGCACCTGGCCTCCTTTTTTAAATTTTTTTTGAGATGGAGTCTTGCTCTGTCACCAGGCTGGAGTGCAGTGGTGAGATCTCGGCTCACTGCAACCTCTGCCTCCCAGGTTCAAGCGATTCTCTTGCCTCAGTCTCCCGAGCAGCTGGGACTACCGGCGCGCACCACCATGCCCAGCTAATTTTTGTATTTTTAGTAGAGATGGGGGTTTCACCATCTTGGCCAGGATGGTCTCGATCTCTGGACATAGTGATCTGCCCACCTCGGCCTCCCAAAGTGCTGGGATTACAGGCATGAGCCACCCCTCAGCCTAGCTCCCCCTTTAAAAAGTCTTTCATCTATTTAGAGTTTAACAAGTCTTTTTTTTTTCTCTTTAAAAACTATGCTAGTATTTTTATTCGAATTGTTATTGCTTTGTTAGTGTTATGAGTATGAAGATGAATAGATTTTGAGTTGCCTATCAAAACTCTGTTTTTCCTACAAACACTTGTTTTTTTGTGAACATTTCCATATGAATTCAAGGACCTGCTTTTCCATATCTGTTTAAAAGGCTGTTGAAATTTTGATAGAGATTAATTGAGTCTGTAGATCACTTTGGATATTATTGACAACTTAACAATTTTAAGTCTTTCTACCCATCAACACAAGATGTCTTTCCATTTATTTAGATCTTCAATTTCAGCAATTTTTTATAGTTTTCAGTGTACATTCTCACTTGAGTGTACATCCTCACTTCTCCCTCTCCTTCTCGGTCTCTGGTAACCGCTATTCTCCTCTTCCCTTCTATGAGATCAGCTTTTGCAGTTCCACATATGAGTGAAATCATGTGCCATTTGTTCTTCATTGCTTGGCTTACTTAATATAATGTCCTCTTGGTTCATTCATGTTGTTACAAATGACAGAATTTCATTCTTTTTATGGCTGAAAAGTATTCCATTGTGTACATACGCCACATTTTTAAAAATCTATTCATTCTTTGATGGCCACTTTGGTTAATTTCATATCTTGGCTATTGTGAATAGCGCTGCAGTGAACATGGGAGTGCATGTATCTCTTTGACGTACCAATTTCATTTCCTTTGGATATATATCCATTAGTGAGATTGATGGATCATATAGTAGTTCTACTTTTAATTTTTTGAGAAGCCTCCTTACTGTTGTCTGTAATGGCTTGGATAATGGGGTGGCTATTGGTACGTGTTCCTGAGGAATAGGAAGAATGAGAGAGATAGTGGATTTGGATGTGTGAGTTTAAGGTGCAAGATTCAAGTGGTGGTTCAGTAGGCCTTGGTAGCTCCCCAGAGTTTGCATCTGTAGGTAGAGGTCACTGTTAGTGATAAAGTTGTGGTTTGATTTGTTTTTCAAAATGTAGGTGATACCTACTGTCATGAAACCAATTTTGCAGGTTATAACCAGCATTTTTAAAACGGACTGTAATTTAAAAATCAGAATATATTACAAATAATAAAGAAAAATGGTACCCAACAAAATGTGTGTGTGTGTGTGTCTGTGTGTGCATATGCATGTATATTAGACTGGGACATGAGTGACTTTTTTACTGTGATGTTTCAAAACATGTTTGAAAAAAATTAGTTTAAACCATGATGAAGAGATTTCTCAGGCAGTGTATGAATAACAGACCTGTGGATGAACCTAGTGCATTCTTTTCTTTTCTCTTCTTTTGTGACGGAGTCTGGCTCTGTCGCCCAGGCTGGAGTGCAGTGGCACAATCTCGGCTCACTGCAAGCTCCGCCCCCCGGGTTCACGCCATTCTCCTGCCTCAGCCTCCCGACTACCTGGGACTACAGGCGCCCGCCATCACGCCCGGCTAATTTTTGTATTTTTAGTAGAGACGGGGTTTCACCGTGTTAGCCAGGATGGTCTCGACCTCCTGACTTTGTGATCCGCCCGCCTTGGCCTCCCAAAGTGCTGGGATTACAGGCGTGAGCCACCGCGCCCGGCCAAAACCTAGTGGTTTCTAATATGTAGCTCTCATGTTTTCAGATGAGTTTTAAGATACAGGCCCAAATTTTGTTAGTTCTTATTCTCTACTTTTGAATTATTTACAGGAAATATATTTTACTGAGCTGATCTACTGAGAGGTGGGCACAAATCCTTTAGACTTTATTGAAAAATTAGTTGTCCAAAATCTTCTAGGATACTCCCACTTAATTACATATATGAGGCCGGGCGCGGTGGCTCACACCGGTAATCCCAGCACTTTGGGAGGCCAAGGCGGGCAGATCACGAGATCAGGAGATCGAAACCATCCTGGCTAACACGGTGAAACCCCGTCTCTACTCAAAACACAACAAATTAGCCGGACAAGGTGGCCGGCGCCTGTAGTCCCACCTACCTGGGAGGCTGAGGAAGGAGAATGGCGTGAACCCGGGAGGTGGAGCTTGCAGTGAGCCGAGATAGTGCCACTGCACTCCAGCCTGGGCGACAGAACGAGACTCCGTCTCGGGGAAAAAAAAATTACATATATGAGCACCCTTTGAAATGCTTACAGCAGAGCTAGCTGCCTAAAATTAACATTCATCTAACACTGCAAGCCAGAACGTGTTCTGAGTAGTGCTCTGGAAGGGACTTTGGATTTTGAGAAAAAAGGTTGGGAGCAGTTTGAACATAAAAACTATTTTCTCATGGGTTCCATTTTGATGTTCATTAAACTCACAACTTCTTTGTTTTCTTCATGTCTTCTTAGAAAGTGATTTCTCACTTTGAGAGTGAACTCTTTGCAGGACTTGAGCATAGTGATCACAACTGCTGCCTCCCCTCTGAGAAATCTGGAGGATGAGGTTCTCCATCTGTCTTGACTACTTGAGAGACCCAGTGACCATTGACTGTGGTCATGTCTTTTGCTACCACTGCATCATTCAGGTCTGTGAATCTACTAGGCAACCATTACATTGTTCTCTGTGCAAGCCAGCTTTTAAGAAAAAATATCTGCCATGTGTGGCAGATGGCCAACCTGATGGAGAACATTTGGAGAATGAAGGTAGATGAGGAGAGACAACCCAGAGAGGAAAGACCACCTGAGCAAAAAGCAGAGAAGCTGTGTAGGCGACACCTGGAGAAGCTCCATTAATGCTTCAAAGGATGACCAGCAGATGGTGTATGTGATGCGTTGGAGTCCCGAGAACACAAGCACCATGCTGCTGTTCTCCTAGAAAAGGCTGCACAGCCTCGTCGGGTAAGAATCGTGTTGGACCCCAGCTCTGTTCTTTTAGCCAGAAAGTTCTATGGTACCTTCAGGATAAGGTGCAGGTTTTTTGCATTACTTTATTGAGGTATGATTGACATGTAAAAGCTATACATATTTAATGTATACCAATTAATGAGTTTGTAGATGAGTATACACCTCTGAAACCATCATCACAGCAAAAACACGTCTATCACTTTCCAAACTTTCCACACACCCTCTTTATTGTTATTATTTTGTGTGTGTGATAAGAACACTTAGTCAAAGATCTATTCTTTTAGTAAATTTGAAGTATACAATACAGTGTTTTTAGCTATAGGCATTATGCTATATAGTAGGTCTCTAGAACTTCTTTATCTTGCATAACTGAAACTTTGTAACTTTGACCATCAACCCTCCATTCCCCGTCCCCACCAGTCCCTGGCAACCACCATTCTACTCTGTTTATGTAAGTTTGACTGTTTTAGATTCCACATATAAGTGAGGTCGCACAGTATGTGTCTGGCATATTCACTTAGCATAATGTTCTCAAGGTCCATCCATGTTGTTACCAATGGCAGAATTTCCTTCTCTTTAAGGCTGAATAATATTGCATTGTATGTATATACCACATTTTCTTTATTCATCCATCAGTGAACATTTAGGGTTTTTTAAATCTTGGTTATTGTGAATAGTGCTGCAAAGAACATGGGAAGTATATGGGCTATAAATACCCAGAAGTGAAATTGCTGGATCATATGGTAGTTCTGTTTTTAATTATTTGAGGAGCTTCTTACTGTTTTTATAATGGCTGTACCAGTTTGCATTTCCACCAACAGCGTATCAGGGTTCCCCTTTCTCCACATCCTCACCAACGCTTCTTATCTTTTAAAAAATATAATAGCATTTCTAAGAGGTGTAAGACAGTTCAAATTCTTTAGCATGAAAGATTCTTGGTAAAGTACTACCCTTTGCATTTGGATAATAAAGCTGGTTTGGTTTTATATCTTTTATGGAAGTAAGTCTATCACATTGCCTTGATGGTTTCATCTCTGAGGTTCAGATCAAGTCTTATCAGCTATACAGAATACCAGCACTCCTGATAGCTCTCGTAGTATATAGCTTCAAGTGGTATGTACACAGTTGTTATAAAAATATTTTTGAGGTCTGGTGCGGTGGCTCACGCCTGTAATCCCAGCACTTTTGGAGGCCGAGGCGGGCGGATCACAGGGTCAGGAGATCGAGACCATCCTGGCACACACAGTGAAATCCTGTCTCTACTAAAAATACAAAAAATTAGCCGGGCGTGGTGGCGGGCGCCTGTAGTCCCAGCTACTCGGGAGGCTGAGGCAGGAGAATGGCGTGAACCCGGGAGGCGGAGCTTGCAGTGAGCCGAGATCGCGCCACTGCACTCCAGCCTGGGCGACAGAGCGAGACTCCATTTCAAAAAAAAAAAAAATTTTTTTTCACAATATTTCAGCCTGTATAAAATCTATGTAATTTTTCTTTCAGAATTTAACAAGGAAAATATTATTTCCTCTGGGGTCCTAGTATGTTTCTTCTTGCCTGCTAAAGAAACATCAGGCCAGGCTTGGTGGCTCACATCTGTAATCCTAGCGCTTTGGGAGGCTAAGGCAGGTGAATCACTTGATGTCAGGGACTCAAGACCAGCCTGGCCAACATGGCAAAACCTCATCTCTACCAAAATTCAAAAATTAGCCAGGCATGGTGGCATGCACCTGTAATCCCAGCTACTTGGGAGGCTGAGGCAAGAGAATCGCTTGAACCCAGGAAGCGGAGCTTGCAGTGAGCCAAGATTGTGCCATTGCACTCCAGCCTGGGCAGCAGTGTGAGACTTTGTCTCAAAAAAAAGAAAAAAAAAAAGAAAAGAAAAAAGAAACATCAGGCAGTTCATTGTTTCCCTTTTCTCTTTGCCTGCCAATTTAGTCATCCTCTTAATAATCTGGAGTTGCTGCCAGGTGTGGTGGCTCATGCCTGTAATCCCAACACTTTGGGAAGCCAAGGCAGGAGGATAGCTTGAGAACAGGAGACCAGCCTGGGCTATAGCAAGACCCCATCTCTACAATAATAATAATAATAGTTATTATTATTATTATTTGGAGTTGGCATATATACTTTCCTTGACTTTTTGTGTTAATTTTTTGTTTCTATTTTTTTTTCTTTTTACAAGACAGGGTCTCACTATGTTGCCAAGGTATGCCCTCAAAGACTTGGGCTCAAGAGATACTTCACCCTTATTTTCCCAAATAGCTGGGACTACAGGCACATACCACTGCACCCACCTTCTATTTTTGTTTTATTAATTAATTTTAATTTTAATTGTCTGTATTTTTGGTAGAAAAGGATAGTGTAAATATAAATTAGAAACTATACCATAAGTCTTGTTAGTTATAATGATAATACGATATTATTTTGTCTTACTTCTAAGAAATTGCTCTAGGCCATTGTATCACTCAATGGATCTTCCTTATTAACTAGAATGGAAATTGTTCCACACAACCATTATTAAACTACACATGGTCAAATGCAGTTGGATTTCACTCTGGAATCACTTTGCATCTCCCTTTTTTCATTGAGGTCATTTTCATCTTGATCTTGAGACTATTCAAGTTTATTTTCTTTTTCTTTTTCTTTTTTTTTCTTTTCTTGAGACAGAGTTTTGCTCTTGTTGCCCAGGCTGGAGTGCAGTGGCGCGATCCCGACTCACTGCAACCTCCGCCTCCAAGGTTCAACTGATTCTCCTGCCTCAGCCTCCCAAGTAGTTGGAATTACAGGTGCTCACCACCATGCCCAGCTAATTTTTGTATTTTTTAGTAGAGACAGGGTTTCACCATGTTGGCCAGGCTGGTCTTTAACTCCTGACCTCAGGTAATCCACCTGCCTCGACCTCCCAAAGTACTGGGATTACAGGCATGAGCCACCACGCCCAGCCCGAGACTATCCTTGTTTATTTTCATAGGGCAAAATTCTAAACCATCGGAAGATTCTGAAGGGATACAAGGATAGCATTCAGAATTCTCAATCTATGGGAGAAGATGAGATTCAGGCCCTGGTGGTAAGAGAGGTCTCTAGTAAATGTTCTGTATGAATGTGTGTATGTGTGTAGGGCAGGGGTGTGTGTGTAGGTAGTAGCGGGGCATAGGTTAAGGAGAGGAAGGGGTATGTGTGTGGGGGAAGTATTGAGGAATGGGGAGGGGGAGAGTGATCAAAGAGATTTCTGTTCTGAACTCATCCTCAGAAGATCTCACACATGTTCTGGTGTTCCCTAGCCTCTCAAAAAGGTCACTTTTCTCTTTCTGCATTTACTGTAGACAACATTTCAGAACCACAGGCAAGACATTGTATCAGTGTTTGAATAGGGCCATCGGTTTTTGAGAGAAAGGGAACAGTACCTGTTGGAGCAGCTGGTAGGGCTAGAGCAAGAACTCACCAAAAGGAGGAACAGCCGTGTCATCAAGGGTTCTGAGGAGGTGGTCCAGCTTGGGACCCTGATCACTGAGTTGGAGAAGTCTCGGCAGCCAGCACTTGAACTTTTGAAGGTAAAGGACCAACCAAACTGTATCTGAGTCCTCTTGCTCTATGACTACGGTGTGGCCTATTTGCAAGAGATTTGGACCAAGAGTCAAGAGAGACAAGGTGTTATTCTCATTTACTGAATTCTTTAATAACTGAATTAGCCAACCAATAGGTTTTAAGCCCCAAAGTGCAGTGGGCAGGGGTCTATAATATGCACAGACCATATAATGGAATATTAAGATCTGTACATTTATAATTACAACAAATAATCTGATGTTAAATCTTCCAGTCAGATTGGATGCCACAAGAATTCTGGAAACAGCTAGTGTTTAGTCAGAGAAGCCTTCAAAGAAGAGGCTTTTGATGTTGGCCTTGAAGGAAACGTAAAGATTTATTTTATTTTATATTTATTTATTTATTTGAGATGGCATCTCCCTCTGTCACCCAGGCTGGAGTGCAGTGGCGCGATCTCAACTCACTGCAACCTTCACCTCCTGGGTTCAAGTGATTCTCCTGCCTCAGCCTCCTGAGTAGCTGGGACTACAGGCACCCATCACCACGCCCAGCTAAGTAAGATTTAGATTGTCAGAAAGGAGCTAAACATTCCACTTGGTAGGGGGTGGGGACACACTAGTTACAATTAGATAAATGAATGTAATAATAAACTTGGTATATGTGTTGGCAGGTGGGCATAGGTGCTGGGGAAGATAGGAGTAGGAAGACTGATAAGAAGGGGACATAGAATGAAGGTAGCTACCTTTCTGGAAGAGTCAGATTAAGTGAGGGAGAAGTGAAAAGTATGATGGGGCCAACTGAGTTGAGGCCTTCCAAAGCAGGCTGAAATTTGAGCCTTAACTGAATAGACAATGGGATTCTTAACAGATTTTTATCTGTCTATAAATCAAGAAAGGTTTCTGAAGAGGATAGTCTAGAACTCGAATGAAAGACATGAAGGGGAAGCATTTGTCCTTATAAATTGAAACTGCAGGCCAGGCACAGTGGTTCACACCTGTAATCCCAGCACTTTGGGAGGCCAAGGCAGGCAGATCATGAGGTCAGGAGATCGAGACCATCCTGGCTAACACAGTGAAACCGCGTCTCTACTAAAAAATACAAAAATGAAGCCGGGTGTGGTGGTGGGTGCCTGTAGTCCCAGCTACTCCGGAGGCTGAGTCAGGAGAATGGCGTGAACCCGGGAGGCGGAGTTTGCAGTGAGCCGAGATTGTGCCACTGCACTCCAGCCTGGGCGACAGAGCCAGACTCCATCTCAAAAAAAAAAAGAAAGAAACTGCAGGCTGGGAGTAGTGGCTCATGCCTATAATCCCAGCACTGTGGGAGGCTGAGGCAGGCAGATAACGAGGTCAGGAGTTCGAGACCATCCTGGCCAACATAGTGAAATCCCATCTCTACTAAAAATACAAAAATTAGCCGGACATGGTGGCAGGTGCCTGTAATCTCAGCTACTCTGGAGGCTGAGGCAGGAGAATCGCTTGAACCCGGGAGACAGAGGTTGCAGTGAGCCAAGATCACACCACTGCACTCCAGCCTGGGTGACAGAGTGAGACTCCATCTCAAATGAAAAAAAAAATAAAAAAATAATAAAAAAATAAAAAAAAAAAACAAGAAAAGAAAAGAAAAAAAGAAACTGCAACAGAGGGAGGACAGGTCCGGGTCCATCAGAATAATTCTCTGTTCAGTCCTGGTGTATACCCATTTCTCAATGATCCCACAGTAGAGAATGATGACGGCTCCTGAGAACTATTTTTATGACAATGTCTGTGTTCTGTTTTTTTCCGGGACCCAAGTGACATAATATGCAGGTAAGTGCTGCTTGCTTTTTTTCTTTTAAATTTTAACCACTTATGTCTCCTTATTGTTTTCTCTTTCTATCATCTTACTGAAATTTGACAAGTGCTGGAAAGGGATTGTTTAGAAGGGAGAGAGGTTATTCTGGTTAGTGTATGTTGAAAGGTATTCTATGGAATAGAGGAGGGAGTTCTAGAAAAAAATATTGTCATGGAACTTACGATGGTAATGGGCTGAGAAAAATAAAATGAGAGGAGATTATAGAAAAGTATTGGAGAAAATTTAGAATCCATGTTCATTTCTAAAACTAGTTTCCTTTCATTCTTCCCCTTCCTACATGGTTCCCAGCCTCCACTCCTGGCCACAGTTTCTCCCATATTCTGTAGAGCACATTTCATTATCAGATTGTCCTCTGCCTGATAGTGAGGTTTCCTGCATTCTGGTTGTCCATAGAAAGCAAACACTTCTATGGCTCACAGGGATAATGATTTCTTCCTCATGTCTTTCATTTGAGTTCTAGACTGTCCTCCGCAGGACATTCCTCAGCAGTGGGTCTGAGGAATATGTTAAACATTTAACATTGACAGTTTTCAAAATCATACCCACATGATACAGAGAAGCTTTGAACAGAGAATAAAGTCAGGCATTTTGATAATACACAACTTATCTGCAGAGACACCCAGGACTACTGGCATATACTGAGCATTTCCTGTGGGCAAAACACTGGGTAGAAAGGCGTGTGATGAGATAGGTTACCAGATTATGGCTGGGGATACCAGATAGACACATATGAGAGATGAATAATGATATAAAAAATGAGGTTGACACAGAATGGGTAATACTTCTTGCCTTGAAGTGTTTTGTCCGCTTTAGCAAAATTATTCCAGCTTTATATTGATTAGTGTTCACATGGCATTTCTTTTTCTGTCCTTTAATTCTCAAACTTTCTGTGTTTTTTAAAAATGTCTCTTATAAGCAACATAAATTTTGTTCTGTTTTTAAATAAATCCATTCTGACAATATGCAATGGAATATTTAGTATTTATCCATGGAAAATTACTATTTCATTCACATTTTCAAAATAATTTGCATAGTTGATCAAGATAATGTGCTTAGATTTACTAATTTTTCTTTTTATATCTGAATGTTTTCATTTCTTATTTTGTGTATTTCTACCTTTTTCTTTTTCTTTTGAGCTGGAGTCTCGCACTGTTGCCCTGGCTAGAGTGCAATGGTACAATCTTGGCTCACTGCAACCTCCGCCTCCTGGGTTCAAGAGATTCTCCTGCCTCAGCCTCCCAAGTAGCTGGGATTACAGGTGCCCGCCGCCATGCCCAGCTAATTATTTTTTGTATTTTTAGTAGAAATGGGGTTTCACTATGTTGGCCAGGCTGGTCTCGAACTCCTGACCTTGTGATCTGCTCGCCTCAGCCTCCCAAAGTGCTGGGATTACAGGCATGAGCCACCACGCCCGCCCCCCTCTTTCTTTTCTTTTCTTTTCTTTTTTTTTTTTTAAGAGACAAGGGTCTCCTTATGTTGCCCAGGCCGGACTCCTGGGCTCCTGGGCTCAAGCGATCCTCTCACTTCAGACTCCCAAGTACCTGGGAATACAGGCACATACTGCCACACTCAGCTGTGTAGTTCTATTTTATCTCTTCTATTTGCCTGTCCCTTTTTTCCCTCCTACTTTTATGGATTGTTGAGCCCTGCTTTTACAAAGTACCATAATTTCTAGCATATGGTATTTTTATTACTGTTTTCTAGATATTTTGAAATTTTGAATTTGATTTTCTATTTAACATAAGATTTGTTTAAGAAAGAAGCTATTTGTCAGTGATATGCTGAGTTTTTTTCTAATAGGTCTTTTTGTTTCATAGTTTTCAAGTCTTGTGATAAGAAAAGTTTGCTATGTCTACTTTTTGGACTTTTTTTGAGGCTTTCTAGGTTATATGTTGTAAATTTTTGGACAGTTTCAGACACTTGAAAAGAAGGTGCACTTTTTCTTGGAATAGAATAGGATTTTGTATATCTCTGTAAGGTTGGCCTTAGTAATTCTGTTATCTAGGTATTTTGTACTAATACTTATTTTCTGACTTCTTGATATGTCACGGACTAAAAGAAGTCAGTCACAGATTCCTACTAACAGTGAGTTTTTGCCTATTTTTTCTTTTTTTTCTGAGATGGAGTCTTGCTCTGTTGTCCAGGCTGGAGTGCAGCGGCACGATCTTGGCTCACTGCAACATCCACCTCCCGGGTTCAAGTGATTCTCCTGCCTCAGCCTCCCGAGTAGCTGGGATTATAGGTGTGCACCACCACACCCAGCTAATTTCGGTATTTTTAGTAGAGACAGGGTTTCACCATGTTGGCCAGGCTGGTCTCGAACTCCTGACGTGATCTGCCCGCCTCAGCCTCCCAAAGTGCTGGGATTACAGGCGTGAGCCACCGTGCCCAGCCTATTTTTTCTTATATTGATATAGTTTTTGCTTTTTACATTTTGATGTTCTTTTTCTACATGACTTTTAAGGAAAGTTGTATCTTAATTGTGAATTATAATCTTGTTTTAAAAAACAGAGACAGAGTTTTAAAAAACCGAGACTCGCTCAGTCACCCAGACTAGATGCAATGGTGCAATCATAGTTCACTATAACCTTGAACTCTTGGGCTCAAGCTACCTCTCCGCCTCAGCCTCCCAAGTAGCTGGGACTACAGGTGCATGTCATCACACCTGGCTAATATTAAAATAATTGTTTTAGAGGGGTTCTCACTGTTACTCAGTCTGATCTTGAACTCCTGGCCTCAAGTGATTCTCCTGCCTTGGACTCCCAAAGTACTGGGATTATAGGCATAAGCCATAGCACTTCGCCTATAATCTTTAAGTAACAAAAAATGTTGTTGTCTTATTTAATATTTTTCTCTCCCAAATTCAATTCTGTCCGATAGTAAGATCAAGATATCAGAATTCTTTCATTTTGGATTTAGTTAATACACCTTTGCCTACCATTATCTTAATTTTAAATTTTAAAAAAATGTAAAGCTTTATCTTAATTTTCTTTTTTTAATTTAATTTTTAAAATATATTTTAAGGTATACAACATGATGCTGTGAGTAAAATGGTTATTACAGTGAAGCAAATTAACACCTCCATCACCTCACATAGTTACCTGCTTCCCTTCCCACTCCCAACCCCTCATTGCAAGAGCAGTTATAATTTACTCATTTAGCAAAAATCCTGAATACAATACACCATTTTTATTATTTTTTTAATTTATTTTTTTGAGACAAGGTCTCACTCTGTCACCCAGGCCGGAGTGTAGTGGCGCGATCTTGGCTCACTGCAACCTCCACCTCCCAGGCTCAAGAGATCCTCTCACCTGAGCCTTGCGAGTAGCTGGGACTACAGGCACGGGCACCACATTTGGCTAATTTTTGTAGAGACAGGGTTTCACCATGCTGCTCAGGCTGGTCTCGAACTCCTTGGCCTTAAGTGATCTGCCCACCTCGGCCTCCCAAAGTGCTGGGATAACAGGCGTGAGCCGTCATGCCTGGCCTACAATGCCCTGATATTAGCTATAGTTGGCAGGTTGGGCATTAGATCTCCAGACCTGTTCATCCTACATATTTCCTACTTTGTATCCCTTGAGGTACATCTCCCCATTTCTTCCACCCACCCTACCTCTGGTAATCACTATTTTATTCTCTATTTCTGTATATTTGACTTTTTAAAAAATTCTACATATATGTAAAATAATGCAATAGTTTTCATTTTGTATCTGGCAGGTTTTATCTTAATTTTCATTTAATCTGATATATATCCCCAAATAATTCCTTTAGAGGTTGTAACAGCGAGGAAGGAGCCAAGATGGCCGAATAGGAACAGCTCCGGTCTACAGCTCCCAGCGTGAGCAATGCAGAAGATGGGTGATTTCTGCATTTCCGTCTGAGCTTTGAAGAGAGCAGTGGTTCTCCCAGCACGCAGCTGGAGATCTGAGAACGGGCAGACTGCCTCCTCAAGTGGGTCCCTGACCCCTGACCCCCGAGCAGCCTAACTGGGAGGCACTACCCAGCAGGGGCAGACTGAAACCTCACACGGCCGGGTACTCCAACAGACCTGCAGCTGAGGGTCCTGTCTGTTAGAAGGAAAACTAACAAACAGAAAGGACATCCACACAAAAAACCCATCTGTACATCACCATCATCAAAGACCAAAAGTAGATAAAACCACAAAGATGGGGAAAAAACAGAGCAGAAAAACTGGAAAATCTAAAAAGCAGAGCGCCTCTCCTCCTCCAAAGGAATGCAGTTCCTCACCAGCAACGGAACAAACCTGGACAGAGAATGACTTTGACGAGCTGAGAGAAGAAGGCTTCAGATGATCAAATTATTCCGAGCTACGGGAGGACATTCAAACGAAAGGCAAAGAAGTTGAAAACTTCGAAAAAAATTTAGAAGAATGCATAACTAGAATAACCAATACAGAGAAGTGCTTGAAGGAGCTGATGGAGCTGAAAACCAAGGCTCGAGAACTACGTGAAGAATGCAGAAGCCTCAGGAGCCGATGCGATCAACTGGAAGAAAGGGTATCAGCGATGGAAGATGAAATGAATGAAATGAAGCGAGAAGGGAAGTTTAGAGAAAAAAGAATAAAAAGAAACGAGCAAAGCCTCCAAGAAATATGGGACTATGTGAAAAGACCAAATCTACGTCTGATTGGTGTACCTGAAAGTGACGGGGAGAATGGAAACAAGCTGGAAAACACTCTGCAGGATATTATCCAGGAGAACTTCCCCAGTCTAGCAAGGCAGGCCAACATTCAGATTGAGGAAATACAGAGAACGCCACAAAGATACTCCTCGAGAAGAGCAACTCCAAGACACATAATTGTCAGATTCACCAAAGTTGAAATGAAGGAAAAAATGTTAAGGGCAGCCAGAGAGAAAGGTCGGGTTACCCTCAAAGGGAAGCCGATCAGACTAACAGCGGATCTCTCGGCAGAAACTCTACAAGCCAGAAGAGGGTGGGGGCCAATATTCAACATTCTTAAAGAAAAGAATTTTCAACCCAGAATTTCATATCCAGCCAAACTAAGCTTCATAAGTGAAGGAGAAATAAAATCCTTTAGAGACAAGCAAACGCTGAGAGATTTTGTCACCACCAGGCCTGCCCTAAAAGAGCTCCTGAAGGAAGCACTAAATATGGAAAGGAACAACCAGTACCAGCCGCTGCAAAATCATGCCAAAATGTAAAGACCATCGAGACTAGGAAGAAACTGCATCAACTAACGAGCAAAATAACCAGCTAACATCATAATGACAGGATCAAATTCACACATAACAATATTAACTTTAAATGTAAATGGACTAAATGCTCCAATTAAAAGACACAGACTGGCAAATTGGATCAAGAGTCAAGACTCATCAGTATGCTGTATTCAGGAAACCCATCTCACGGGCAGAGACACACATAGGCTCAAAATAAAAGGATGGAGGAAGATCTACCAAGCCAATGGAAAACAAAAAAAAGCAGGGGTTGCAATCCTAGTCTCTGATAAAACAGACTTTAAACCAACAAAGATCAAAAGAGACAAAGAAGGCCATTACATAATGGTAAAGGGATCAATTCAACAAGAAGAGCTAACTATCCTAAATATATATGCACCCAATACAGGAGCACCCAGATTCATAAAGCAAGTCCTGAGTGACCTACAAAGAGACTTAGACTCCCACACATTAATAATGGGAGACTTTAACACCCCACTGTCAACATTAGACAGATCAACAAGACAGAAAGTCAACAAGGATACCCAGGAATTGAACTCAGCTCTGCACCAAGCGTACCTAATAGACATCTACAGAACTCTCCACCCCAAATCAACAGAATATACATTTTTTTCAGCACCACACCACACCTATTCCAAAATTGACCACATACTTGGAAGTAAAGCTCTCCTCAGCAAATGTAAAAGAACAGAAATTATAACAAACTATCTCTCAGACCACAGTGCAATCAAACTAGAACTCAGGATTAAGAATCTCACTCAGAACCACTCAACTACATGGAAACTGAACAACCTGCTCCTGAATGACTACTTGGTACATAACGAAATGAAGGCAGAAATAAAGATGTTCTTTGAAACCAACGAGAACAAAGACACAACATACCAGAATCTCTGGGACACATTCAAAGCAGTGTGTAGAGGGAAATTTATAGCACTAAATGCCCACAAGAGAAAGCAGGAAAGATCCAAAATTGACACCCTAACATCACAATTAAAGGAACTAGAAAAGCAAGAGCAAACACATTCAAAAGCTAGCAGAAGGCAAGAAATAACTAAAATCAGAGCAGAACTGAAGGAAATAGAGACACAAAAAAACCCTTCAAAAAATTAATGAATCCAGGAGCTGGTTTTTTGAAAGGATCAACAAAATTGATAGACCGCTAGCAAGACTAATAAAGAAAAAAAGAGAGAAGAATCAAATAGACGCAATAAAAAATGATAAAGGGGATATCACCACCGATCCCACAGAAATACAAACTAGTATCAGAGAATACTACAAACACCTCTACGCAAATAAACTAGAAAATCTAGAAGAAATGGATAAATTCCTGGACACATACACTCTCCCAAGACTAAACCAGGAAGAAGTTGAATCTCTGAATAGACCAATAACAGGATCTGAAATTGTGGCAATAATCAATAGCTTACCAACCAAAAGAGTCCAGGACCAGATGGATTCACAGCCGAATTCTACCAGAGGTACAAGGAGGAACTGGTACCATTCCTTCTGAAACTATTCCAATCAATAGAAAAAGAGGGAATCCTCCCTAACTCATTTTATGAGGCCAGTATCATCCTGATACCAAAGCCTGGCAGAGACACAACAAAAAAAAGAATTTTAGACCAATATCCCTGATGAACATCGACACAAAAATCCTCAATAAAATACTGGCAAACCGAATCCAGCAGCACATCAAAAAGCTTATCCACCATGATCAGGTGGGCTTCATCCCTGGGATGCAAGGCTGGCTCAACATACGCGAATCAATAAACATAATCCAGCATATAAACAGAACCAAAGACAAAAACCACATGATTATCTCAATAGATGTAGAAAAGGCCTTTGACAAAATTCAACAGCCCTTCATGCTAAAAACTCTCAATAAATTAGGTATTGATGGGACGTATCTCAAAATAATAAGAGCTATTTATGACAAACCCGCAGCCAATATCATACTGAATGGGCAAAAACTGGAAGCATTCCCTTTGAAAACGGGCACAAGACAGGGATGCCCTCTCTCACCACTCCTATTCAACATAGTGTTGGAAGTTCTGGCCAGGGCAATCAGGCAGGAGAAGGAAATAAAGGGTATTCAATTAGGAAAAGAGGAAGTCAGATTGTCTCTGTTTGCAGATGGCATGATTGTATACCTAGAAAACCCCGTTGTCTCAGCCCAAAATCTCCTTAAGCTGCTAAGCAACTTCGGCAAAGTCTCAGGATACAAAATCAATGTGCAAAAATCACAAGCATTCTCATACACCAATAAAAGACAGAGAGCCAAATCATGAGTGAACTCATTCACAATTGTTTCAAAGAGAAAAAAACACCTAGGAATCCAACTTACAAGGGATGTGAAGGACTTCTTCAAGGAGAACTACAAACCACTGCTCAACGAAATAAAAAAGGATACAAACAAATGGAAGAACATTCCATGCTCATGGGTAGGAAGAATCAATATCGTGAAAATGGCCATACTGCCCAAGCTAATTTATAGATTCAATGCCATCCCCATCAAGCTACCAATGACTTTCTTCATAGAACTGGAAAAAACTACTTTAAAGTTCATATGGAACCAAAAAAGAGCCTGCATCGCCAAGTCAATCCTAAGCCAAAAGAACAAAGCTGGAGGCATCACGCTACCTGACTTCAAACTATGCTACAAGGCTACAGTAACCAAAACAGCATTGTACTGGTACCCAAACAGAGATATAGACCAATGGAACAGAATTGAGCCCTCAGAAATAATACCACACATCTACAACCATCTGATCTTTGACAAACCTGACAAAAACAAGAAATGAGGAAAGGATTCCCTATTTAATAAATGGTGCTGGGAAAACTGGCTAGCCATATGTAGAAAGCTGAAACTGGATCCCTTCCTTACACCTTATACAAAAATTAATTCAAGACGGATTAAAGACTTAAATGTTAGACCTGAAACCATAAAAACCCTAGAAGAAAACCTAGGCAATACCATTCAGGACATTGGCATGGGCAAGGACTTCATGACTAAAACACCAAAAGCAATGGCAACAAAAGCCAAAATTGACAAATGGGATCTAATTAAACTGAAGAGCTTCTGCACAGCAAAAGAAACTACCATCAGAGTGAACAGGCAACCTACAGAATGGGAGAAAATTTTTTCAATCTACTCATCTGACAAAGGGCTAATATCCAGAATCTACAAGGAACTCAAACAAATTTACAAGAAAAAACAAACAACCCCATCAACAAATGGGCAAAGATATGAACAGGCACTTCTCAAAAGAAGACATTTATGCAGCCAACAGACACATGAAAACATGCTCATCATCACTGGCCATCAGAGAAAAGGAAATCAAAACCACAATGAGATACCATCTCACACCAGTTAGAATCATGATCATTAAAAAGTCAGGAAACAACAGGTGCTGGAGAGGATGTGGAGAAATAGGAACACTTACACTGTTGGTGGGACTGTAAACTAGTTCAAACATTGTGGAAGACAGTGTGGCGATTCCTCAGGGATCTAGAACTAGGAATACCATATGACCCAGCCATCCCATTACTGGGTATATACCCAAAGGATTATAAGTCATGCTGCTATAAAGACACATGCACACGTATGTTTATTGTGGCGCTATTCACAATAGCAAAGACTTGGAACCGACCCAAATGTCCATCAATGATAGACTGGATCAAGAAAATGTGGCACATATACACCATGGAATACTACGCAGCCATAAAAAAGGATGAGTTCATGTCCTTTGTAGGGACACAGATGAAGCTGGAAACCATTATTCTCAGCAAACTATCCCAAGGACAAAAAACCAAACAACGCATGGTCTCACTCACAGGTGGGAATTGAACAATGAGAACACCTGGACACAGGAAGGGGAATATCACACACCGGGGCCTGTTGTGGGGTGGGGGGAGGGCGGAGGGATAGCACTAGGAGATATACCTCATGTAAATGACGAGTTAATGTTTGCAGCACACCAACATGGCACATGTATACATATGTAACAAACCTGCACATTGTGCACATGTACCCTAGAACTTAAAGTATAATAAAAATATATAGACATTAAAAAAAATAACTTAAAAAAAAGAAATCTGTAACAATAAGATGATCCTGTGGGACTGAATGCTTTTGTCATCCTTAAACTCATAATTGAAACCTAATCTCTAATGTGATGGTGTTTGGAGGTGGAGCCATTAGGAAGTGATCATGCAATGAAGGCAAAACCCTCATTAATGAAATGAATGCCCTTATAAAAGGGACCCCAGAGAGCTCCTTGCCCCTTCCACCATGTGAGGACACCAAGGAAAAGCAACATCCATGAATCAGGAAGCAGCCCTTACCATACATGGACTCTTCCCAGGCCTTGATCTTTGACTTTCCAGCCTCCAGAATTGTGAGAAATAGATTTCTGTTGTTTGCAAGCCACATAGTCTATGGTATTCTTTTATAACTGCCCAGATTGACTAAGACAGATGATGATGAAAATACTACCAAGTATTGGAAATTAACATCAAAATTCTAAATGACAATTTATTCAAAGAGGAAATCTAGAGAAATTAGAAAGTCTTCTGTATTCTGAAGGATAATGAAACATACATATCAAATGTATGGGATGCAGCTGAAGTAGTACTAGAGAAAAAACCAATACCCTTAAATGCCTATATTAAGAAAGAAGGTAGGTCTCAAATTAGTAAATTAGCTTCTGCTATAAGAAACAAAGAAAAACAAATTAAACCAAAGCATGGAGAAGGAAGAAAATAATAATTAAATGGAAAAAATGAAGCAGAAAGACAGAGAAAATTAATGAACCCAAATATTGGTTCTATGGGGAAAAATCAGTACACTTTATAAATTTCTAGCTAGACTGATCAAGACAAAAAGATGCACATTAACAATGTCAAGAAAAAACGAACATCAGTGCACACTCTCTAGATCTCAAAAAGAAATATTGATAATCTCATGTCAATAAGTTTGACAAGCAAATGAAATGAACAATTTCCTTGAGAGAGAAAACTTATGAAAACTGACCTGAGAAGAGATAGAAAATGTGGCCAGTCATATATTGATTGTAGAAATTGAATGTGTAATCAAAATCCTTCTCATATAGGAAACTCCAGGTCCAGAAGGCTTCATTGATGAAATGTATCTAACAAATAATTTGGAAATAACATCAATTTTACACATACCTTTTAGAAATTAAAGGAGGCAACAACTTTCAATTTAATCTATGCAGCCAGCTTTCACAGTCAGGCGTGAGTATCTGGCTTTTCCAGGTGCACAGTGCAAGCTGTTGGTCAATCTACCATTCTGAGATTTGGAGCACCGTGGCCCTCTTCTCACAGCTCCACTGGGCAGTGCCCTAATAGGAACTCTGTGTGGGGGCTCCAGCCCCCTATTTCCCCTCCACACTGCCCTAGCAGAGGTTCTCCGTGAGGGCCCTGCCCCTGCAGCAAACTTTTGCCTGGGCATCTTAGCATTTCCATACATCTTCTGAAATCTAGATGGAGGTTCCCAAACCTCCATTCTTGACTTCTGTGCACCTGCAGGCTCAAAACCATGTGGAAGCTGTCAAGGCTTAAAGCTTGCACCCTCTGGAGCCATGGGCCAAGCTGTACCAAGCTTGGCCCCTTTTAGCAGCCGTGGGAGCAGTTGGGACCCAGGGCACCAAGTCCCTAAGCTGCACACAGCATGGGAACCCTGGGCCTGGACCAGGAGACCATTTTTTCCTCCTGTGCTTCTGGGTCTGTGATGGGAGGGGCTGCCATGAAGACCTATGGCATGCCCTGGAGACATTTTCCCCATTGTCTTGGGGGATCAACATTTGGCTCTTTGTTACTTACGCAAATTTCTGCAGCCAGCTTGAGTTTCTCCTCAAAAAAATTGGTTTTTCTTTCTATTGCATCGTCAGGCTGTAAATTTTCTGAACTTTTATCCTCTGTTTCCCTTTTAAAATGGAATGCTTTTAACAGCACCCAAGTCACATTTTAAATGCTTTGCTGCTTAGAAATTTTATCTGCCAGATACCCTAAATCATCTCTCTCAAGTTCAGAGTGCCACAGATCTCTAGGGCAGGGGCAAAATGCCACCAGTCTCTTTGCTAAAACGTAACAAGAGTCACCTTTGCTCCAGTTCCCAACAAGTTCCTCATCTCCATCTGAGACCACCTCAGCCTGGACCTTATTGTTCATATCACCATCAGCATTTTTGTCAAAGGCATTCAACAAGTCTTTAGGAGGTTCCAAACTTTCCCACATTTTTCTGTCTTGTTCTGAGCCCTCCAAACTGTTCCAACCTCTGCCTAATACCCAGTTCCAAAGTCAATTCCACATTTTCGGGTGTCTTTTCAGTAGCACCCACTCTACTGGTACTAATTTACTGTATTAGTGCGTTTTCATGCTGCTCATAAAGAAATACCCAAGACTGAGATGAAAAAGAGGTTTAACTGGACTTAGAATTCCACATGGTTGGGGAGGCCTCAGAATCATGGCGGGAGGTGAAAGGCACTTCTTACATGGCGGTAACAAGAGAAAATGAGGAAGATGCAAAAGCAGAAACCCCTGATAAAACCATCAGATCTCATGAGACTTATTCACTACCACGAGAACAGTATGGGGGAAACCAACCCCATGATTCAAATTATCTCCCACTGGGTCCCCTGGGTCCCTCCCACAACACATGGGAATTATGGGAGTACAATTCAAGATAATATTTGGGTGGGGACATAGAGCCAAACCATATCACCAGCATTACCCAAATAAAAATCCCAGACAAGAACATCACAAGAAAAAGAATCAAGAACAAATATTCCTCTTGAACACAGACTCACAATTCAATACAAAACGTTATCCAATTAAGATATACATAAAATGAATAATATGCCATGCCATATTGGTTTTTTTAAAGGGAAAGTAAGGTTGGTTTAACATCTGAAAATTAAACAATACAATTCACCCAATTAATAGAACAAAGAACAAATGTTGCACAATTATTATAGTCAATGCAGAAAAAGCACTTGCAAAATCAAGACCATTTCATGACAAAATAGCTCAGCAAACAAAATCGAAAGGAATATCTTCAATGTGGTTAAGGACACCCACGAAAAGTTTACAGCTACCCTCATATTCAATTATGAAAGGCCAGATGCTTACTTCCTAAGATTAGCAACAAAGCAAAGATGTGGCTCTCCTCATTTTTGTTTAAAACACCTTACGAGCATCCTAACTAGTGCAATATGGCAAGAAAATGAAATAAAAGACCAATAAAAGGGCCAAGTGTGGTGCCTCATGCCTGTAATCTCAGCACTTTGGGAGGCCAAGGTGGGAGGATCACTTTAGTTCAAGAGTTTGAGACTAGCTTGAGCAACATAGTTAGACCCCTGTCTTTACTAAATATAAATAATTTTTAAAAGAAAAAAAACAATAGATAGGAAAGGAAGAAATAAAATCTTTCTTTCTCAGCTTAATTACATATGTAGAAAACAATAAGGAATTCTGAAAAAGTCTCTGGAAGTAATAATTAAATTTGCAAAATTGTTCACAAAAGATATGTAATAAGTCTCTTAGACAAACATGACAAGATAGCAACAATACTAGTCATCAAAGAAGTGCAAGTTAAAACCACAATGAGAAACCATCACACATCACCTAGAATAAGTAAAGTTCAAAAGACATATGATAATTCTAAATACTGGTATGAATATGGAAAAAATAAAAATCTCTTATATTGTTGGTAGGAACGCAAAAAAAAGTTGCAGTCAGTTTGTAAAATAATATGGCAATTTCTTAAACAGCTACCTATCCATTTACCATATCACCCAACAATTCCACAAATATTTATTTATCCAAAGGAAATGAAAATTTAAGGCCATGCAAAGACTTGTAGTCAGTTATTTATAGTGGTTTCATTAATTACAGACCCTAACCGGAAATAACCCACGTTTATCAGCTGGAGAATAGAGAAACCAACGAATAAACTGGAATTCCAACAATACTCAGCAGCTACTCAGTGACAAAAATGAATGAAATATTATTACTCTTAACTACATGGAAAAATCTCAAATATTGTTATGACAAGTGAGAGACCAAAGGACTACATAACATATGATTGCATGTCCATGAAATTCTAGAAATTTCATTATTACAGTAACAGAAAGCACAGCAGTGGTTGAGTGAAGAGAAGGGGGTGAGGGTGGGAGGCAAGGATTAAATAGAAAAGGGGCATAAGGAAAGTTTTTAGGGAAAAGAAACTGTCCTCTATCTGGGCAATGTGGTAGTTACATGACTATAAATAATTACCAATATTCATAAAACATTGTAGCTAAAACTGGTGAGTTTTATTATACACAAACGCCCCAATTAGGAAAAAAAAAGGTGGGGGAAGAAGGCAAAAATGAAGACACTTTTACATAATCCAAATCAGAAAATTCATTTCCTAGGGATCTTGTACTACGTATAATTTTGAAGGAAGTTCTTCAGGCTGAAGGGAAATGATACTAGATGGTGACCTAGATATATAGAAAGGGATAATTAACAACAGAAATTATGCACATACACAGATCACATACACACTCATTTTCTTAATGACAATATGAATGCTTAAAACAAAAAGTATTACTGTATTATTGAGTTTATAAAGTATATTGATGTAATATATACAACAAGAATAGCACAATGGTAGGTTACATGAAACTACACTCTTACAAGTGTCCTTTATTTTGCTGGATGCAGCTTAATATTACCTGAACTTCACCATGAAAAGTCAAGGAATCGGGTTTCAATTCTTACAACAATAAAAAATTAGTGTAAAGAAATATACCTAAAAGCCACTAGAATTAAAACCATAAACTAAAAAATGTTTACTTAACACATAAGAAAGTAGGAAAGGAGGAATAGAAACAAAAAGATACGAGACAAATTGAAAACATACAGCAAAATGGTAGACCAAAACCCAACCATTGTAAGTGAAGAAATGACACGACCTGAGTCACATTAGCAGAACTGCTGAGCACTGTGGGGAGAACAGACATGGGCAGGAAGTGAGGGACAGTGTTAGTGCCACAATTCAGGGGTGAGAGGGTGGCAGGGACTAAGGGGAGGGGAGGGTGTGAGGGATGAGAGGGGCAGAGAGAAGGGCTGGAGAGACAGGAAGTGAGGAAAAGGAGCAAGGGAAAGGACTCTAAAGCAGTGGAGGAGCCTAGCAGGGGGTTCTTGACATGCATTCGGTATTTAATACATTTTGTGGGACTGCCAAAAACTAATGGCCTCCTCATGATTAAAAACATAAGAGTAAAAAAATACCAAGTATGCAAATAAAATGTGCACACTGCTTAGATGTGCATAATTCATAAAAACAAGCAGTGCTTAAGCATTGATGATAGGCATTTTGACTTCAGTGCAATTTTGAGGCTCCTTGTTACAATATACAGTAACAAATCCTGCTTCTTTGTATTGAGATGTCCTGGACTCACACAGGGAAACTCGGGCTATGGAATGAAGATAATTTTAAATGCAACAACCCAGAGTCATGGATCCACAGTCTGGGAAAGTAAACTTAGAAGCTTTGTGACTCGAATTGCAATGCTGTTTGGATACACTTATATATGAAGCAGGCAAAATCAGGTCTTTTACAGATTAGAATCCTGATCATTCAGGGGTTAGATTGTGCTAACCACTGTATTAATAAACAAACAAACAAAAAAACCTGGTCACTATGAGAATCTCTATCTTGTGCCTTCAGCCACAACTTCACCAGGTTTAAAGAGAAAACCCCTTTCTCTACACCGCCATTCCCAAGGCGAGCTCACTCTCTGGCATCAAAGTTCCCTGGGGTGAGTTTTCTTCTAGGATAGTCCAAGGGGAGAGGTAAGGAGTCGGAAGTCCAGTTCAGGGACGAGGATTCCAGGATGAGCGTGAATGGGAAGGGGCTGGGCCCAGCCTGGGGGTTCTCTCCCTAGTTTCCACAGACAGATCCTTGACCAGGACTCAGGCAGTCAGTGTGACAAAGAGGCTGGCGTAGGAAAAGAGAGGTCAGGACAAAGTCCCAGGCCCCAGGCGTGGCTCTCTGGGTCTCAGGCCCCAAGAGCGATGACTGCACTGGGGAGTCACAGGGTTGGGGATTGCCCACTCCCCTGAGTTTTGGTTCTCCCAACCTTCTTCCTGGATACTTGTGACATAATCCCACTTCTCACTCCCATTGGGTGCCGGGTTTTTAGAGAAGCCAATCAGCTTCGCCGCGATCCCGGCACTAAGATCCCGGCACTACAGTCCCGGCGCAACCACCCGCACTCAGATTCTCCCCAAACGCCAAGGATGGGGGTCATGGCTCCCCGAACCCTCCTCCTGCTGCTCTTGGGGGCCCTGGCCCTGACCGAGACCTGGGCCGGTGAGTGCGGGGTCGGGAGGGAAAGGGCCTCTGCGGGGAGAAGCGAGTGGCCCGCCCGGCCCGGGGAGCCGCGCCGGGAGGAGGGTCGGGCGGGTCTCAGCCTCTCCTCGCCTCCAGGCTCCCACTCCTTGAGGTATTTCAGCACCGCAGTGTCCCAGCCCGGCCGCGGGGAGCCCCGGTTCATCGCCGTGGGCTACGTGGACGACACAGAGTTCGTGCGGTTCGACAGCGACTCCGTGAGTCCGAGGATGGAGCGGCGGGCGCCGTGGGTGGAGCAGGAGGGGCTGGAGTATTGGGACCAGGAGACACGGAACGCCAAGGGCCACGCGCAGATTTACCGAGTGAACCTGCGGACCCTGCTCCGCTATTACAACCAGAGCGAGGCCGGTGAGTGACCCTGGCCCGGGGCGCAGGTCACGATCCCTCCCCATCCCCCACGGACAGCCCAGGTCCCGGGTCTGAGTCTCCGGTCTGAGATCCACCCCGAGGCTGCGGGACCTGCCCAGACCCTCGACCAGGGAAGAAACTCGGGCGCCTTTACCCGGTTTAATTTCAGTTTAGGCCAAAATCCCCGCGGGTTGGTCGGGGCGGGAGCGGGGCTCGGTGTTCGGGGCTGACGGCGGGGGCGAGGCCATGGTTCTCACACCATCCAGAGGAAGCATGGCTGCGACGTGGGCCCGACAGGCGCCTCCTCCGCAGGTATGAACAGTTCGCCTACGATGGCAAGGATTACATCGCCCTGAACGAGGACCTGCACTCCTGGACCGCCGCGAACACAGCGGCTCAGATCTCCCAGCACAAGTGGGAAGCGGACAAATACTCAGAGCAGGTCAGGGCCTACCTGAGGGCAAGTGCATGGAGTGGCTCCGCAGACACCTGGAGAACGGGAAGGAGACGCTGCAGCACGCGGGTACCAGGGGCCACGGGGGCGCCTCCCTCATTTCCTGTAGATTTCCCGGGCTGGCCTCCCACCAGGAGAGTAGGAAAATGGGACCAATGCTAGAATATCGCCCTCCCACTGGTCCTGAATGGGAAGAATCCTGGGTTTCCAGATCCTGTACCAGAGAGTAACTCTGAGAGCCCACCCTGCTCTCTGGGACAATTAAGGGATGAAGTCCCTGAGGAAATGGAGGAGAAGACAGTCCCTGGAATACTGATCCGTGGTCCCCTTTGACCCCTGCAGCAGCCTGGGGCACCAGGAATTTTCCTCTCAGGCCTTGTTCTCTCCCTCACACTCAGTGTGTCCGTGGCTCCGATTCCAGCTCTTCTGAGTGCCTTGGCCTCCACTCAGGTCAGGACCAGAAGTCCCTGCTCCCCCATCAGAGACTCGAACTTTCCAAGGAATAGGAGATTATCCCAGATTCCTGTGTCCAGGCTGGTGTCTGGGTTCTGTGCTCCCTTCCCCATCCCAGGTGTCCTGTCCATTCTCAGGATGGTCACATGTATGCTGCTGGAGTGTCCTATGAGGAATGCAAAGTGCCTGAATTTTCTGACTCTTCCCCTCAGATCCCCCAAAGGCACATGTGACCCAGCACCCCATCTCTGACCATGAGGCCACCCTGAGGTGCTGGGCCCTGGGCCTCTACCCTGCGGAGATCACACTGACCTGGCAGCAGGATGGGGAGGACCAGACCCAGGACACGGAGCTTGTGGAGACCAGGCCTGCAGGGGACGGAACCTTCCAGAAGTGGGTGGCTGTAGTGGTGCCTTCCGGAGAGGAGCAGAGATACATGTGCCATGTGCAGCATGAGGGGCTGCCAGAGCCCCTCACCCTGAGATGGGGTAAGGAGGGGTGTAAGTTGTCTCCTCTCAGGGAAAGCAGGAGACCTTCAGCAGGGCAGGGCTGAGGCCTGGGGGTCAGAACCCCTCACCTCCCTCTCCTTTCCCAGAGCCGTCTTCTCAGCCCACCATCCCCATCGTGGGCATCGTTGCTGGCCTGTTTCTCCTTGGAGCTGTGGTCACTGGAGCTGTGGTTGCTGCTGCGATGTGGAGGAAGAAAAGCTCAGGTAGGGAAGGGGTGAGAGGTGGGGTCTGGGTTTTCTTGTTCCACTGTGGGTTTCAAGCCACAGGTAGAATTGTGACTTGCTTCATCACTGGGAAGCACCGTCGACACACAGGCCGACCTAGCCTGGGGCCCTGTGTGCCAACACTTGCTCTTTTGTGAAGCACATGTGAAAACGAAGGACAAATTTATCACCTTGATGATTGTGGTGATGGGGACCTCCCAGCAGTCACAGGTCACAAGGGAAGATCCCTACTGAGGACAGACCTCAGGAGGGCAGTTGGTCCAGTCACCACACCTGCTTTCCTCATGTTTCCTGATCCTGCCCTGGGTCTGCAGTCACAGTTCTGGAAATTTTCCTGGGGTCCAGGATTTGCTGTTTCCTTAAGGACCTCATGCCCCATGTCCTCCCTGACCTCTCACAGGTTGTTTTTTTCTCACAGATAGAACAAGGAGGAGCTATGCTCGGGCTGCCTGTTAGTATGGGGGATTAGAGGGCTGCTCCCTGAGATCGTTGGGACAGTGTAGACAAGATTCCTCCTTTAGCCACATCTCCTGTGGGCTCTGACCAGTTCCTATTTTTGTTCTACCCCAGGCAGCAATTGTGCTCAGTACTCTGATGCATCTCATGATACTTGTAAAGGTGAGACATGGGGGGGCCTGAAGTGGGTGGGGGTGAGGCAGAGGGGACATGATTCTGTTGAGGGGTTCTCTGGATTTAGACATCTTGACCATGTGGTAGGCTGTTCAGAGTGTCACCAGGTACAGTGACTGCCCTGGATTTGTTTATGATTATTTTCTCCTGTAGCTTGAGACAACTGCCTTGAGTGGGACTGAGAGATACAAAATTTCTTCAGGTCCTTCCTCTGACACACACCATTGTAATTTCAAGAGCTCCTGACTTCTATATCTGCACTTGACACGTGAATATATCTATGTGTCTGTGTTCCAGTTAGCATAATGTGAGGAAATGGGCTACTGGTCCACCACTGCCACCAGGACCACCACCCCACACTAACCTGTCCTCTCTTCCCCGGTCAAGTTTTTTTTCAACAGAGGTGAGGCTGGGACATTTCTATTCATGTCTTAACTTTTAAGTTTCACTGAGCTGCCACTTACTCCACTATTCAAAATAAGAACCTGGATATGAATTTTTCAAATTCTTGCCATGAGGTTGGGTTGATTGTTCAATGAAAGGAGAGCAAGACTCTTAAAACTTGAGAGAGGAAGTAAAACCTGAGAGCCTTCCAGAATCCATTTTTGCTGTGCTGGGCCTGTTGTAGGTGGAGACAGGAGAGAGAGGGCTGTGAGGAGCTGAGTGTGGACAGCCTATGCTCAGTTCATCATGGAATTTGACGTGGTCATTCATTGGGTTGGTCATCTTCACTGCTCCATTGTTTGTGTCCCTTCAGTAGAACCTTGTTTCACCAGGACCTGTGATCACAGGCACACAAACATTGCCTGGGCCTTGTCCTGTCTCTAGGACCGTGGACAGCAAGGGCTTCATGGGCTGGGTCAGTCTATGGTCTGGCCCTAATATTTTGTATCATTATTTTTGGTTTCTTTGTTTCTGTAGAGGACTATGCCTGTTCCTGTTCTGGTGTCTGCGTTCTGATCTCTTTCTCCCCTGGGTGTCCCTCATCTCTGACAGCAGCAGGAGTCATTTTTCCTGTCATTAACCCCACAAGGTGGAAGGCAGCCCCTGCACACAGAAGTCTGTGGTATTAAGAGATGAATTTTCAAGCCCGTGCAGCTTTTACCCTATTTCCAGGGCTCTTTCTTGGATTGTATTTTCTATCTTTTCCCCAACCTTTTTAAAGGAACTAGATTCTGAAATTAGCAGAGAAGAGGGATGCCACAAGTTCTCATCTTAGGTAACTTTCTAGTGGAACTCCTCTTCTGCTCAGCTCTCCTACCCACTCTCCCTTCCCTGAGTTGTAGTAATCCTAGCACTGGCTCTAATGCAAACTCATGGATCTATAAAGCAAAGTCTAACTTAGATTTATATTTGTTTGGAAATTGGGATTCATAGTCAAAGATTGTTCTTTCCTAAGAGGGAAATATAATTGCATGCTGCAGTGTGCAGAGGGTTGGTGTGAAGGAGGGATGCAGGGAGGAAGGGAGGGAGGACACACAAGCAGCACTGCTGGGAAAAGCACAGGCGGCCTGGATGTCAGTGTGAGGGGACCTTGTGCTGTCGTTGCTGCAAAACCGCATTTGGCCTGAGGCTATGTTAATAAAGATACTGCCTTTAGAATAGGAGGTGCTCTACAGTGATGATTCATTCAGCCGACATTTGCTGTCTGCCAGACATATGACAGAATGTTTTTGCATCTGGGGAAAGTCATTGAAGTAAAATCAGAAAAATCTCTAGCCTTGTGGAGCATGTGTTCCAGTGGGAAGAGGCAGACGGTACATACACTCTAATATATGCAGAGTAAATGAGGAAAGTGTTAGAAGGTGATAAGTGCTGTGGAACAGGTGATCAGAGTATGGGTTGTGGGACAGAGAAGGTAGCTATTGTGCCGGGGTTGTCAGCGTGGGCCTTGTTGGGAAGGTGACCTTTGATGAAATATTTGAAGGACATAAAGGAATTTGTCATGAGGGTATCTGGAAGAAGTTTTTTCTAGGGAGTAGGAACCTTCAGTGTCAGTGTACCAGGGCAGGATCATGTCTGTGTGTTCTGGGAAGAACACGGGATCGGGTATGGCTAGAGCAGAGAGTCACTGAGATAAGGTCAGGGGTTTGGTCAGATCATGTGGGCATAGGGCTCAAGTATGTGGGAAGGATTTTGATTTTGAATGAGATAGTTTTAAGCAGAATAAAGACATGCCACAACTTCTCTTTTAAAAGGATCACTGTAGCTGCTCTGCTGAGAACAGAATCCAAAGGCCGGCGATGAGCAAGGCAGGTGGGAAAACTGTAGGAAATGAGTGCAGTATTTCAGGCTGGAGATGTCGGTTACTTCAACTGGGGTGTGAGCAGTGGAAATAGTGGGACGTGATTGGATTCCTACTATTTCCAATCACTTTATACCGCATTTTCTAATGGACTAAATCTGGGGTATGAGAAAGAAGAGTAAAGGATACCAAAAATGTCAGACTGTGACTAAAAAGAGTTGCCATCAGCTGAGAATGAGAAGACTAGCAGGAGCATATGAGAGGAGGGGACGTCGCAGGCAGTCACTATGGGAGACGTGGGATCTGAGATGCCGCTGAGAAATACCAGTGAGGTAGTCGGGTTGGCAGTTGGACAGATGAATCTGGAGACATTTAGGAGAAATAGACTTGGGAGGTGATGTCATATAACAGTTATTTAAAGCCTTGAGTCTGAATGACGTCTCCAAGGGAGTGATTGGCTGTAGAAGAGAACAGGAACAAGGACTGAACACTAGGCCTCTGTTGCTAAAGGATCTGATCAGACAACACACCTAGATCAGACTGCACAGTCCTGACCCCACATCTAGAAGGTACATAGACCAGGGAGTTCTAGACTTTCCTGTGGACAGGAATCACCTGGACATCACCTTAAGTCTAAGCTGATCTGGAATCGAGAATGAGATTTCCTACTTATATAATGTTGCTGTTGGCGCTGATGCTGCTGGTCTTCAGATCCCACTTTTGGTAGCAAGAACACAGACCAGGATTCCTAGGCTATGCATCAGCCTCGCCTGTGAGGCTTGTTAATAAGCAATTCCTGCACTCCATGCGCAACATTCTGACACAGGGGCATCTGTGGAGAGGCCTGAGTATTCTACAACAAGCCCACAGCAAACCTGGTGCTCAGCCAGATTTGATATCACTGAGATCAGTAGTTGGAGAATGCCCAGGATGGGGAGGGGTCTCAGACCCACATTTAAGTGTTGCTTTATTCTGGGTTTTTTATTTATTTATTTATTTATTTTTAAGGAGGATGTGTTTCTTTAATTATAAGACAGGATGCTGAGAGATAAATGTCATTTTCTCTATCATGGGGTATAGCCAGATGGAAGATTGAGAAGTGGCTCACAGCTCAGCAGAATGAAAAAATATCTGAATGCTGCTTTCTGAAACTACTCTCCAGAATGATTTCACACTCACTCCTTGGAGCAAACAATGACTTGCAAATTTTTCTAATTTAAACATAAAGGAGTGTACATATTGGTATTAGTATTCATTTTATTTTGGGGAAGGGCACTGTATTAGTCCATAGTCCGTTTTCACACTGCCGATAAAGACATACCCAACATTGGGAAGAAAAAGAGGTTTAATTGGACTTACAGTTCCATTTGGCTGGGGAGGCCTCAGAATCATGGTGGGAGGCGAAAGGCACTTCTTACATGGTGGTGGCAAGAGAAAATGAGGAAGAAGCAAATGCCAAAACCCCTGATAAACACATTGGATCTCAGGAGACTTATTCATTATCATGAGAATAGCATGGGAAAGACTGGCCCCCATGATTCAATTACCTCCCCCTGGGTCCCTCCCACAACATGTGGGAATTCTGGGAGATACAATTCAAGTTGAGATTTGGGTGGGGACACAGCCAAACCACATTGGACACAGAACCAGGTTTGAAGCTACACAGCCAGGAACATAATCCACAGCCACCCTAATTCAGATCTCTCATAGGAACCACTGTCCCTGCTCCTGAGCACAGATGCTACTGCATATACCTCTGATACCCTGATGGCCGACACTGGGCCCTGTGGCAAAGACTGCTATCACTGCTGCTCCTGAGAACTGCTCCACTACTGCTCCTCAGCCATCTTTACCAAAATGCAGTATTTACTGTCCCAGCCTCTCTGTGTCATCTCATCCTGATTAGAAGCCCACATGTGGTTATCTAAATTGTGCAGCCAAAGCCTCTTGCAGTGTTTAACTGCAATAATGTTGGGGAAAGTGAATTTTTCTCCTTTGTAGAAGGAGGTAGTCCCTGCCTTCTAATAAGACTCTTCAACATAGGAAGAGAATTCAGTTGCTGGAGGTAGAGGGGTGAGGGATGGAAAAAGAATGACAAATTTCAATTCCTAGAATCATGTTCTGAGACTAGAACTTTATCTAGTACATTGCAGGCACCTGGGTTTGGTTGAGTGTATAATAAATGACATAGTTCAACTTATTCCCTTGACAGTTTGTTTTGGGGTCCAGCTTTTGTCTACCCCAGTTTTCACACACAGATACGTGGAGAAGCATTGTGTGATGGTAAAATGTTTACTTGAAAGCCTTTTTCCCTATCTTTGTCTCTTGCTAGGATTAAAAACCCGTATCTGTAAGACATCAGAGGATCCATGTATACACTGACATTTTATATAAATTTTTAATATTTTGTTCTATCTGCACATGCTCCTAGGGAGAGTTATCTATACATTCACCAGTTTTAATGTGACTGCTCACAGAAGCCTAAAAAACCATCCTAATTTAGATGCCATTTTACTCAAACTATTGTATGAACAGCTGATAACCATACTGTTTTTAGAAGACCCAGTGACATGGTATAAATGCTCATCTTTTGCTTGACTGTTACTAGTCTGGGATGAGATAAAGTAGAGGTTTACTTGCATAGTTCACTCACAATTTCTATATGTATAGTATTGTGGGCTGCTAACAAACAGTCCACAGACCAGTGCTAGCCCACAGACTGCACTTTGAGAGTAGCATTGGTCTAGATGTACTTGTATTCCAGCATCTACCTCGGTGTCAGATTAATGGCAGGAATTAATCAGTAGCGAATGGGGATTCCATTTCCGGTAATAGGGTGAACTAGGTTTTAAAGCTGCCTCTTCTACCAAAAACAACTAAAAAAGAGATGAAATGTGAAAATCACCCAAAAGTATAGAAATATAAAAAAGGGAATAATCTTTTTGGTCAAAATATAAATGTGGGCAGGATTTAGAAAAAGGGAAGTTGCTTTTATCTTGAGGGCGTTTGCCAAATCTGGAAAAATCTTAGCTTTGGTTTTCTCAGCTTCATATGGTATAGTGCAAAGGAGGTAATTCTCAGAACTTGTTTGTATAGGGAGTATAAGAGGAGACACTTTTGTGTACCCCATGAAATATGGGAAACAAAAGATGTGTTTCCTCAGAGTAAGAAAAGAAAATCTGTTTCATCCCCCAGCACAAGAGTATTCTAAAGAAATTTGCCTTTGAGTCAGCAAAACCTGTTTTTGAGAATTTACAACCACCAGCCAGCACTCCTGCAGATTTGTTGCCCAAACTAGCTTTACCGTTTTGGGCCAAAATAACCTCAAAGCATGATTTTGATTAATAATTGTCCTGGATTAGCGATGATCCAAAAATTGGAAGAAGGAAACAAAAATCTTTATAGGAATGCATATTTAACCCATATGTCAAAGAATTTGCCCAAATAATTCTACAAGGAAAAAGCTGCTCAGAGCATGAACTGTATAAAGTACAAGTGGAGAAAAGTCAGTCTGATTGAGAACCAGTGGAAACAATAGATAAGAGGCTCATAAAGCTTCAATATTTGAATTATGAAACAAAATAACGTAACTAGTATTACATTTAAAATAATTATGAGCTGGGCACGGTGGCTCATGCCTGTTATCCCAGCACTTTGGGAGGCTGAGGCAGGCGGATCACCTGAGGCTGGGAGTTTGAGACCAGCCTGACCAACATAGAAAAACCCCGTCTCTACTAAAAATAGAAAATTAGCTGGGCGTGGTGGCACATGCCTGTAATCCCCGCTACATGGGAGGCTGAGGCAGGTGAATCACTTGAAACTGGGAAGTGGGCATTGTGGTAAGCCGAGATTGTGCCACTGCACTCCAGCCTGGGCAACAAGATCAAAACTCTGTATCAAAATAATAATAATAATAATAATAATAATAATAATAATAATAATGACAAGCTTGAAAATGCCTACAGAATGTATTAACCTAAAAATGACCTGTTTTTCAAAAGAACTAAAGTTAGTTTTTAGGAAGTAAAATTAACTTTGATTTTAAAATTTTTAACTTAGTTGAATTAAAAATTGAAAAGTCATGATCTATTGACTTTTGCTTTGGATTATGATGGAATAACAAGGACCAGATTTACTCTCATGCCTTAAGCACAACAAACTCAAAATAATATATGAAAAAATAGCTATGTACTCAGATACTAGACAGCAGGTATCCCAGAGACTGTGATCTCTGGGAGAAGGGGAATGGAAAAGGTAAGGTCTACAGTTGTCCAGCTTCCTTCCTGGACAGAGTTTCCAAGGCAGAGTGCAGAGAGGCAGAGCCCTAACCAGGAGGTTCACTGAGGTGAGGGGACAGAGTTGTGAACTTGGAGATTCCAGGACATCCAGAATATGCAAAGATGAAGGCACATAGAAAAGACAGCTGATGATAAAAAGCACTGTAAGTCTGCAGGAGGTACCCCTCAAATTTTCAGTTAATCAGCATATTATATAAGGGAACTACCCAAAGACAGGGAAAGAATTATCCGAAAGGACTTCAGAGAATAGTACCCAGTGATATACAGGGCTGGAAATAATGCCTGTTCCCACTAGCCAGACTGGAAAACCTCATAATTTGCTGAGCATTGGATAGAGTATTCTGAAGGGTCTTATGTCAGCAGTGGTAAATAATTAGCCCTGGACTAAACACTTTTTGTTTTTTTGCTAAAAGATATTAAAAGACTTAAAATGATCAAACAGCTCCTGAATAACTTAATTTGTCCCAGTAAAAATAAAAAGCTCAGCCGGGCACGGTGGCTCATGCCTGTAATCCTAGCACTTTGGGAGGCCAAGGTGGGCAGATCACCTGAGGTTGGGAGTTCGAGACCAGCCTGACCAACATGGAGAAATCCCGTCTCTACTAAAAATACAAAATTAGCTGGGCATGGTGGCGCATGCCTATAATCCCAGCTACTCGGGAGGCTGAGACAGGAGAATTGCTTGAACCCAGGAGGCAGAGGTTGCAGTGAGCCAAGTTCTCACCATTGCACTCCAGGCAACAAGAGGGAAACTCTGTCTCAAAATAATAATAATAATAATAAAGCTCATGAATACTTATAGAATGCAAAAATATCTGGCACCTAACCTGGTAAAGTCATGTCTGGCATTAAATAAAAACAATCACCAGGCATATAATAAAAACAAGAAAATACAACTCAGAAGGCAGAGAAAACCATCAGTCTAAAGTTACCTAGAACTGACATAGATGTCAGAATTAGCAGGCAATAACATAAAACGGTTATTGTAAATGTATTCCATATGTTCAAAAAGTTACACAGAGACATGAAAGATACATAAAACATCAAAATCAAACTTCCAAAGATGAAAATGTCAGACATAAAATACACTGGATGTGAGGTGAGATTAATGGTAAACTTTATGCTGTAGATTAAACAGTGACTTTGAAGACATAGAAATAGAAACTTTCTGGGCCAGGTGCGGTGGCTCAAGCCTATAATCCTAGCACTTTGGGAGGCTTAGATATAGAAGGAATGTATCTTACCAGGATAAAGGCTATGACAAACTCACAACTAACATCATACTCAATGGCGAAAGTTGCATACTTTTCCTGTAAGATCAGGAACAAGACAATGATGCCCACTCTGGCCACATCTATTCAACATTGTACTGATAATTCTAGGCAGAGTAATTAGGGAAGAAAAAGAAAAGGGATCTAAACTGGAAAAAAAGAAGTCAAATTGCCTCTGTTTGTAGATCACAAGATCTTATATATGGAAACCCCAAACACTCCACCAAAATACTACTGGCACTGAAAAAAAAAATCAGTGAAGTTGCAGCATACAAAATCAGCATACAAAAATTAGTGGTACTTTTATATACTTACCAAAAACTGTCTGAAAAAGAAATCAAGAAAATAATCTCAGTTATAACAGTATCAAAAAGAATAAATTAGGAATAAATTTGATCAAGGAGCTGAAAGATCTGCACACTGAAAGCCATAACAGTGACAAAAAAAATTGAAGAAGCCACAAATAATTGGAAAGATATCCTTGTTCTTGGATCAGAAGAATCATATTGCGAAAATGTCCATACTACCCAAAGCAATCAACAGATTTAATGTAACCCCTATCAAAATTCCAATGGGATTTTTAACTGAATTAGACAATCTCAAAAGTCGTATGGAACCACAAAAGAACTGCAATAGCTAAAGCAATCTTCAACAAGAACAAAGCTGGAGGCATCACACTTCCTGATTTAACATGATACTACAAAGCTATATTAATGAAAACAGTATGGTACTGGCATAAAAACAGCACATAGAATAATGGAATAGAACAGAAAGCTCAGAAATAAATCCATGCATATACAATTAACTAATCTTTGAAAAGGTGTCAATAATATATAATAGGGAAAGGATACTCTCCTACATATATAGTGATGGAAAAACTGGATATCCACATGGAAAAAAATAAAACTGCATCCCGATCTTACACCATATGCAAAATCAACTCCGAATAGATTAAAGATGTAAATGTAAGACCTGAAACCACAAAACTTGGAGAAGAAAGCAGGTGAAAAGCTCCGAGACATTGGCCTTGGCAATGATTTTTTTGGGGGTATTACCTCAAAAACATATGCCAAAAAAGCAAAATTAAACAAGTGAGACTACATTAAAGTTTTTGCACAGCAACACAACAATAAACAAAATGAAAAGGCAAACCACAGAATGAGAGAAAATATTTGCAAACCTTATATTCACTAATGGGTTAATATGTAAAGTCTATAGACTCCATAGAACTTAATAGCAAAAAACAGATAACCCAGTTCAAATATGGGCAAAAGACCCGAATAGACATTTTTCAAAAAAGACATACAAATGACCAAGAAGTATATGAAAAGGTGCTCAACATCATTAATCATCAGAGAGCTGCAAATCAAAACTGCATTGACATATCACCTTACATCAGTAAGAATAGCCATTAACAAAAAGACAAGAGATAATCAGTGTTGGTAAACTGTAGAGAAAGGGAACCCTTATACATGGTTGGTAGGAATGTGAATTGGTAAAAGCATAATGGAATACAATATAGATGTTCTTCAAAAAATTAAAAACATAACTACCATATGATACAGTAATCCTACTTCTGGGCATATATAAAAAATGAAATCAGTAAAGAAATTTCTGTACCCCCATATTAATTGCAGCACTATTCACAATGGCCAAGATATAGAAACAAAGTAAGTGTTTATTGATTAATGGATGAATAAAGACATTGTGATACACACACATACACACACACACGAATATTATTCAGACATGAAAAGGAAGGAAATACTGCCATTTGTAACAACATGGATAAATCTGAAGGACATTATGCTAAGTGAAATAAGACAAACACAGAAATAAAAATACTGTATGATCTCATTTATATGTGTAATCTATAAAGTGGAATTCAGAGAAACAGAGGTAGAAACAGTCAGTTGAATTAACTTAACTTTGACCTGAGGCTGCCTGTGTACCTAAGTAAGTAGGTAAACAAATCAAAACCTAAGTTAGGAGTATAACTGTTAGCTGGGGTTCACCCAATCACAAGCAGCCAGCTCATCACACCATGCCCAAATAAGGCAAATGCCTAGCTGTAGCCAATCAGGTGATTTTTCTTCTTCTGTGTCTGGCACATAAAGGCTTGCTGTGCACACTCCTGGGTGGAGCTTTCTGACCCTCTCCTGGTTCTGAGTGCTGCCAAATTTGTAAATTATTTTTTGCTTAAATAAACTCTTCTAAATTTAGTTTGTCTAAAGTTGATGGAATTTTTTTTTTTTTTTTTTTTTTTTTTTTTTTTTTTAGGGGTTACTAGGAGTCATGGTTAGGGGAAATGGGGAGATGTTGGTAAAAGTTTACCAACTTGCAGTTATAGGGTGAATAAGTTCTGGAAACCTAATGTACAGTGTGAAAGGAAAAATAATCTCAGGTCCCCAAAATCACTAAGCCAAAGTGATTTGGGCTTACAACAGGATGGCAACTATTGGTATACTTGAAATTTACTAAGAGAATAGATCTTAAGTATTCTCACCACACACAAAAATATTAACTATGTGTCATAGATATGTTAATTAGCTTGATTGTGGTAATCATTTCACAATATATATGCATTTTAAAAATCATGTTGTACAACTTGAATGTATATAATTCTTGTTTGTCAATTATGCTTCAATAAAGCTAGGGAAAAATAAAATACTTAGAAATAAATGTAATAAAAGAAGTACGAAATTTATACTACAAAAAAACCGACAATATTTTTACAGAAATCAAAGAACTAAATAAATAAAAAGATGTTCTATTTTTATGGATCAGAAGACAATATTATTAAGATGGCAGTATATCAAAATTGGTCTACAAATTCAATGCAGTTCTATCAAAATCCCAGCTGACTGCTTTGCAGAAACTGACAAGATGATATTAAAATTTATATGGAAATTCAGTGAACTACAAAAGTTACAAAACTTTTGACAAAGAACAGAGTTTGAGGAACTATACTTGCTCATGGCAAAAGTTACTACAAAGCTGCAATAATCAATACAGAGTGATACTGACATAAGGATAGACATACAGATCAATAGAATAGAGAGGCTAGAAATAAAAGTTTATAATTATGGTCAATTAAATTTCAAAAATACTGCCAAGGCAATTCAGTGGGGGAAAGAAAAATCTTTTCGAGAAATTATACACAACTCAATAGCAATAAAACAAATAACCTAATTCAAAAATGGACAAAGGACCTGAATAGACATCTTTCCAAAGAAGACATACAAATGACCAACAGGTATATGAGATGGTGCTGAACGTAACTAATCAGAAAAATGCAAATCAAAATTGCAATGAAGTGTTACCTCACACCTGTCAGAATAGTTATTATCAAAAAGATAAGAGGTAATAAGTGTTAATGAGGGTGTAGAGGAAAGGGAATCCTTATACATGGTTGGTGGGAATGTAAATTGGTATAAGCATTATGGAAAACAGTATGGTTTTTCCTCAAAAAATTAAAACGATCTTTCCTTAAAAAAATTAAAAACAGAACTACCAGTATATGATCCAGCAGTTTTACTTCTGGGCATGTATCCAAGGAAAATGAAATCAGTATCTCAAAGAAATATTTGCACCCATATGTTTATCACAGCATTATTTCCTGGAAATAACCTGAATGTCTGTCAACTGATGAATGGATTAAACATATGTTTTACTCTATTTTATGCTGCTATAACACAATATCACAGACTGGGTAATCTATAACAAATAGAAATGTATTTTCTCTCGGTTCAGGAGGCTATGAATCCAAGATCAAGGCACTGGCTAATGGTGAGAGCCATCTTGCTGCATCATCACATGGCTGAAGGTAGAAGGGCAAGTAAAGTACAGAGAACACACTCCTGGAAGCCCTTTTATAAAGGCATTAAAACCACCCCCAAGGGTGGAACCCTCATGGTCCAATCACCTCTCAAAAGTCTCACCTCCTAATAATGTTACAATAGCAATTAAATTTCAATATGCAGCTGGGTGCAGTGGCTCACTCCTGTAATCCCAGCACTTTGGGAGGCTGAGGTGGGAGGACTGCTTGAGTCCAGGAGTTCAAGACCAGCCTGGGCAACATAGTGAGACCCCATCTCTACAAATATATATATACTTCAACCCATGTTGAAATATAAATGGGTTGAAACAACATGGGTTTTGGAGGGGACAAAAATTCAAACCATAGCAATATGGTGTGTATGTATACACACACACACAAAATGGAATAATAGCCACAGAAAAAGGAAGTACTGACATTTGCAACAACATGGATGAACCTGGAGGATATTATATTAAATGAAATAAGCCAGACACAGAAAGACAAATATTATATAACCTCATATTTGCAATCTAAAACAAGTGAAACTCCTAGAAACAGAGGTAGAACGGTGGTTACCAGGGGCTTGAGTGGGAGAAATGGGGAGATGTTGGTCAAAGGGTGCAAATTCTCAGTTATATAATGAACAAGTTCTAGAAATCTAATGTTCAGTATGGGCAGTAATGGATTTGTTAATTTGGTTGCAATAATAATCATACAATGTATATGTGTATTAAATTATCATGATGTATGCCATGCACAACTTTGTCAATTAAATGTTTTTTAAATATGAAATGGCCAATGGTTAAAAAAAATTGTGCTGATGTAACTGTATATCCACCTGCAAAAGAATGAAGTTTGACCCTACCTCATATCATATACATAAATGACTTAACATGGACCAAAGACCTAAATGTTAGTGCTAAAACTATAAAACTTACAAACAAAAATGTATGCAAAAACCTTCATGACCTCGGATTAAGCAGTGTTTTTTAAATATGACACCAAAACACAAGTAACAATAAACCAAACAGATAAATTCTATCTCAACAAAGTTTAAAACTCTGTGTTCCAAAGAATACAATCAAAAAAGTAAAAATACCACCCTCAGGCTAGGAGAAAGTATATATAAATCTTATATGTGAGAAAGAATTAGTATATAGAACACACAAACTCTTACAAGTCAAAAATTAAAAGACAAATAATACAAGTAAAAAATGAACAAAGGGCTGAATAGATACTTCTCCACAGGAGATAGAAAGATGGCTAATAAGAATATGAAAAGATGCTTGGCACTATTAATCATCAGGGAAATGCAAATTAAAAGCACAGTGATATACCCCTGCACGGTCACTGGAATAGCTAGAATAAATAAGACAGATATCAATAAGCAGTGGTGAGGATGTGGAGAAATTGGAATTCTTGCACACTGCTGGTAAGAATGTAAAATGGTGCAGCCTCTTAAAGAATAGTCTGGCAGTTCCTCAAAGTTTGAATGTAGAATGAGTATTTGACCCAGCAATTCCATTCCCAGGTATATACCCAAGAGAAATGAAAACATGTCCATGCAAAAATTTGTACATAATGGTCAAGCAGCATTATTCTCAATGGCTGAAGAGTGGAAACAATACAGATGCCCAGGAACAAATGAATGAATAAGATATGGTCAATCTATGGAACGGAATATTTGGCCATAAAAAGAAATGCAGTACTAATAAATGCTGCAATGTGGATGAACCTTGAAAACATTATGCTATGTGAAAGACGCCAGTCACAAAAGACCATCCATTATATTATTTCATTTATATGAAATGTCTATAAGAAATAAATTTGTAGAGAGAAAGTAGATTAGTGGTTGCCTAGGACTGAGGAAATGTTGGAGGGAAAAATGGGGATGACTGCCTGAGAATAAATATACATGGGTGATGAAAATGTTCTAAAAATAGTTTTGGAGTGATGAACATGTTCTACAATTGATTGTGGTGATGGTTGCACTATAAATATGCTAAAAACCATTGAGTTTAAATGGTTGAATAATATATGAATTTTATCTTAATGAAACTGTTCTAATGAAAAATGATGGCTCACATGAAATAAAATCGATGTGCCAGAGCTGCCATGGCAGATTGTGGAGAAAGAGACCAAAAGGCTCAGAGCAGTGAGCATGCTGGCATAGATAGATACACTCTATAAAACTGGATCATGCACTGGGTGACTGTTTATTTGGAAGGGCCCAAAGGAAACTCTGTTTATCAGGCAGCAAGTCATGGGCAGGTGAACGGGGTATTAACCTAATTTTGTCCTTTGTGGGCTGGAGCTGACTCTATGAGATGATATTGGAGAACTTGGTGCCCTAGCAACAATAGGACAGTAGGATTCCAGAAAGCTAGAGGCCAGCTGGCAGCAAGGCAGAATCAAAATGGACAAAATCCCCAAAATAGTGAGTAATGTTAGAATGGAAGCCAGGAAATCCTGACTGCAAGGGATTTAGGGAAATTATTAAGACTATGGTGTTTCTAGTTGGGCAGCCTATAAGACTGTTGTTTAATATTAGAATCAATAGATGAAAAATAGATGAGCTGAAGTCTGAGATTAATTTCTCCAATAGAAGTTTAAAATCCCTTGCCCAGTTTCCAGACCTGAGCCAGTGCTTAGATCCAGAATCCATTCATTGAAGGAGAGTCACGTCCCCTGATGAAGTATCTGCAACACCATAAGTGTGTACAGTAGACACTTTCTACACCCTTCCCTAAAGGGATCAATGGCCATTTACTCAGGTATCAAGACACTGATAAAGGGGAATGTCCAGATATTTTCAGGTCTATTGGATACAGGGTCCAATTTCACACTGATACCTGGGGAACCAAAGCACCCTCATGGACTTCTATTAGAGGAGAGCCACACAGGGAACTGAAAATAATTTCCTGTCTCAGGTCCACCCGTATCTCCGTGGATTCTCTGTGTCCACACATCTGCTTGGTGGTTATTTTTCTGGTTTCCAAATATGTAATTGATGGATTTATTTTGTACATTAGTTATTTCACTCACACTTTAGTCATTTCACCTGTGGAATAAAGGATTTGTAGTAAGAAAGGCCAAGTGGATGCCCCTAAGAGAGCTTCTAATATCGACCAAGATAGAAATTTTAAAACAATGTAGTATTTGAGGGGCAATGAAATAAACTGTCACTCAAAGACATAAAAGATGCAGGGGTTGTGGTTTCATCATCAACTATTGAATTTACCACTCCAGTTCTAGCAAAAATTGGATGGATGATAACAGATGACAGTGGATTAATGAAAATGTAACCTATAATTAGCCCCAACTTCAGCAGCTGTGCTGAATGTGATATGTTTAAAAAAAAAAGATTTATTGTTTTTGTATATTATATAATGCCATTGATCTGCCTAAATGCATTCTTTTAAATACCTATAAAAAGGAGGGCCAGAAGCGAGTTTTATTCACAGAGGACAAATAATAATACATTTTAAAAAATATTTTATTTTTGATTTTCAATTTTTGTGGGTACATAATAGCTGCATATATTTATGGGGTACATGAGATGTTTTGATACAGGTATGCAATGTGAAATAAGCACATCATGGAGAATGGGGTATCCATTCCCTCAAGCATTTATCCTTTGAGTTACAAACCATTCAATTACACTATTTTTAAATGTGCATTATTGACTATAGTCCCCCTATTGTGCTATCAAATAGTAGGTCTTATTCTTCTAAATTTTTTTTTACCGATTAAACATCCCCACCTTCCCTTCAGCCCCCCACTACCATTCCTAGCCTCTGGTAACCATTCTTCTACTCTTTATGTCCATTAGTTCAATTGTTTTGAATTTAGGTCCCACAAATAAGTGAGAACATGCCATGTTTGCCTTTCTGTGCCTGGCTTATTTCATTTAACATAATGATCTCCACTTCCATCCATGCTGTTGCAAATGACTGGATCTCATTCCTTTTTATGGCTGAATAGTACTTCATTGTGTATACATACCAAATTTTCCTTATCCATTCATCTGCTGTTAGACATTTAGGTTGCTTCCAAATCTTAGCTATTGTAAACAGTGTTGTAAAAAACATAGGAGTGCAGATATCTCTTCCATATACTGATTTTCTTTTTTGAGACAGGGTCACACTTTGTCACCCAGGCTGGAGTGCAGTGGCATGATCTTGGCTCACTGCAACCTCCACCTCCTAGGTTCAAGTGATCCTACCTCAGCCTCCACAGTAGCTAGGACTATAGGTGTGAACCACTACAACTGCCTAATTTTTTTTTTGTATTTTGTAGAAATCAGGTTTTGCCATGTTGCTCGGGCTGGTCTTGAACTTCTGGGCTCAAGTGATCTGCCCTCCTCGGCCTCCCATAGTGCTGGGATTACAGGTGTGAGCCACCATGCAAAACGCTGGTTTTGTCTTTTGTGGGGTATATACCCAGCAGTAGGATTGTTGCATCATATCGCAACTCAATTTTTAGTTTTCTGAGGAACCTCTAAACTGTTATCCATAGTGGTTGTACTAATTTACATTCCCATCAACAGTGTACGAGGGTTCCCTTTTATCCACATCCTCACCAGCATTTGTTATTGCCTGTCTTTTGGATATAAGCCATTTTAACTGGGGTGAGATTATATCTCATTGCAGTTTTGATTTGCATTTCTCTGAGGATCAATAATCATCAGCACCTTTTCATATGCCTGTTTGTCATTTTTATGTCCTTTCTTTTTTTTCTTTTTCTTTTTTTTGAGACAATGTCTCTCACTCTGTCGCCCAGGCTGGAGTGCATTGGTGCAATTATGATTCACTGCAGGCTCAAGTGATCCTCCCATCTCAGCTTCCTAAGTAGCTGGGACTACAGGTGTGCACCACCACTCCCAGCTATTTTTTATTTTTGTATTTTGCAGAATTGGGGTTTGACCATATTGCTCAGTCTGGTCTCAAACTTCTGGGCTCAATTCCATCTGCCTTGGCCTCCTAAAGTGCTAGGATTAGAGGCATAAGCCACTGTACCTGGCTTTGTATGTCTTCTTCCTTTTTCTTTTTTTTTTTTTTTTTTTTTTTTTTGTGAGACGGAGTCTCACTTTGTTGCCCAGGCTGGAGTGCAGTGGTGTGATCTCGGCTTACTGCAACCTCTGTCTCCCAGGTTTAAGCGATTCTCCTGCCTCAGCCTCCTGAGTAGCTGGGATTACAGGTGTGCGCCACCATGCCTGGCTTATTTTTGTATTTTTAGTAGAGACGGAGTTTCACAATGTTGGTCAGGCTGGTCTCGAACTCCTGACCTCAAGTGATCCACCCGCCTGGGCCTCCCAAAGTGCTGGGATTACAGGCATGAGCCACCACGCATGGCCTGTATGTCTTCTTTTGAGAAATGTCTATTCAAATCTTTTGCCCATTTTTTTACTTAGACTTTTAGAATTTTTTTTTTTTTTTTTTTTACTATAGAGTTGTTTGAGCTTCTTATATACTCTGGTTATTATTTCTTTGTCAGATGGGTAGTTTGCAAATATTTTCTCCCATTCTGTGGGTTGTCTCTTTATTGATTGTATCCTTTGCTTTGTAGAAGCTTTTAAACTTGATGTGATACTATTTGTCCAGTTTTATTTTGGTTGCCTGTGCTTGTGGGGTATTGCTCAAGAAATTTTTGGCCAGACTACTGTCCTGGAGGTTTTCCCCAATGTTTTCTTATAGTAGTTTCATGTTTGAGGTCTTAGATTTAAGTCTTTATTACATTTTGAATTTATTTTTTATTTTTTGAGATGGAGTCTTGCTCTGTCGCCAGGCTGGAGTGCAGTGGCACAATCTCAGCTCACTGCAACCTCCACCTCCTGGGTTCAAGCGATTCTCCTGCCCCAGCCTCCTGAGTAGCTAGGACTGCAGGCACATGCCATCACGCCCAGCTAATTTTTGTATTTTTAGTGGGTGGGGGGGGGTGAGTTTCACCATGTTGGTCAGGATGGTCTCAATCTCTTCACCTCGTGATACGCCTGCCTCAGCCTCCCAAAGTGCTGAGATTACAGGTGTAAGCCACCATGCCTAGCCTTGATTTGACTTTTGTCTACAGTGAGAGGTAGGGGTCTAGTTTCATTCTTCTGCATATGGATATCCAGTTTTCCCAGCACCATTTCATTGAAGAGACTGTCTTTTCTTTTCTCCAGTATAAGTACTTGGCAACTCTGTCAAAAATGAGTTCCCTGTGAGTGTGTGGATTTGTTTCTAGGTTCTCTATTCTGTTCTGTTGGACTATGTGTCTGTTTTTATGTCAGTACCATGCTGTTTTGGTGATTATAGCTCTGTAGCATAATTTGAAGTCAGGTAATGTGATTCCTCCAGTTTTGATCTTTTTGCTTAATATAATTTTGGCTATTCTGGGCATTCTGTGTTTTCATATAAATTTTGGGATTTTTTTTTCTATTTCTCTGAAGACTATTATTGGTATTTTGATAGGGATTGCATTAAATCTGTAGATTGCTTTGGGTAGTATGGACATTTTAACAATATTGATTCTTCCAATCCATAAAGATGGAATTTTTTCCATTTTTTTTGTGTCCTCTTCAATTTCTTTCATCAATGTTTTATAATTCTCCTCATAGATATCTTGCACATTTTTGGTTAATTCCTAGGTATTTAATTTTATGTGTGGCTACTGTAAATGAAATTACCTTCTTAAATTTAAAATTTTTCAAATTGTTCACTGTTGACATATAGAAATGCTACTGGTTTTTATATGTTGATTTTGTGTCCTGCAACTTTACTGAATTTATTGATTCTAATAGTTTTCCTGTGGAGCCTTTAGGTTTTTTCCAAATATAAGTTCATATCATCTGCAAACTAGGGTAATTTAACTTCTCCCTTTCCAGTTTGGATGGCCTTTATATCTTCTCTTGTCTGATCGCTCTAGCTAGAACATCCAGTACTTTGTTGAATAACAGTGGTGACAGTGAACATCCCTGTTGTGTTCCAGATCTTATAGGAAAGTCTTTCACTTTTTCCCCATTCAGTATGATACTAGCTGTGGGTCTGTCATATCTGGCTATTACGTTGAGGTATATTTCTTTTATACAGTTTTTTGAGGGTTTTTATCATGAAGGGATGTTGGATTTTATAAACTACTTTTTCAGCATCAATAGAAATAATCATATGGTTTTAATCATTCTTTTTGATATGATGTATTACATTGATTGATTTGCATGTGTTGAACCATCCTTGCATTCCAGGGATAAATCCCACTTGGTCATGATAAATGATTTTTTTTTTAATGGAGTCTCACTCTGTCACCAAGGCTGGAGTGCAGTGCCACAATCTCAGCTCACTGCAACCTCCACCTCCTGGGTTCAAGTGATTCTCCTGCCTCAGTCTCCTGAGTAGCTGGGATTACAGGCATGCACCACCACACTCGGCTAATTTTGTATTTTCAGTAGAGACGAGGTTTCACCATGTTGGTCAGGCTGGTCTTGAACTCCTGACCTCAGGTGATCTGCCCACCTCGGCCTCCCAAAGTGCTGGGATTAGAGGCTTAAGCCACTGCACCCGACCCTGATGAATGATCTTTTTAATGTATTGTTGAATTTAGTTTGCTAATATTTTGCTGAGGATTCTGGCATCAATATTCATCAGAGAAATTGGCCAGCAGTTTTCTTTTTTTGATGTGTCTTTGTCTGGTTTTGGTATCAGGGTGATACTGGTCTCCTAGAATGACTTTGGAAATATTCTCTCCTCCTCTATTTTTCAATAGCTTGAGTGGGATTGGTATTAGTTCTTCTTTAAATGTTTGGTAGAATTCAACAGTGAAGCCATCGGGTCCTTGGTTTTCTTTAGTGGGAGACTTTTTATTATGGCTTCAACCTTGTTACTTGTTATTAGTCTGTTCAGGTTTTGGATTTCTTCCTGGTCCAGTCTCAGTAGGTTGTATGTGTCTAGGAATTGTCAATTTCTTCTAGATTTTCCAATTTATTGGCATAGAGTTGCTCATAGTAGCCCCTAATGATCCTTTGAATTTCTGCAGTGTCAGTTGTAATGTCTTTTTCATTTCTGATTTGTATCTTGTCTCTTTTTTCTCAGTCTTGCTAAAGGCTTGTCAGTTTTGTTTAACTTTTGAAAAAAAGCAACTTTTTGTTTCATTGTTCTTTTGCATTGATTTTTATTTCAATTTTATTTATTTATGCTCTAATTTTTATTATTTGTTTTCTTCTAATTTTGTGTTTGTTTTGCTCTTGCTTTTCTGGTTAAGGTTCATTGTTAAATTGCTTATTTGAAGTTTTTCCTCTTTTTTCATGTAGGCACTTATAGCTATCAATTTGCCTCTTAGTACTGCTTTTGCCGTATCCCATAGGTTTTGGTATGTTGTGTTTCCTTTATCATTTGTTTCAAGAAATTGTTCAATTTCCTTCTTAATTTCTTCATTGACTCAATGGTCATTCAGGAGCATATTGTTTAATTTTCATGTATTTGTAGTTTCAAAAATTCCTCTTGTTATTAGTTTCTAGTTGTATTCCACTGTGGTCAGAGAAGATGCTTGATGGTATTCAACTTTTTTAATGTTTTAAGACTTGTGACCTAACATATGGTCTATCCTTGAGAATGATACATGTGCTAAAAAAGAATGTGTATTCTGCAGCCATTGGATAAAATGTTCTGCAAGTATGTATTAGATCCATTTGATCTACAGTGCAGATTAAGTCTGATGTTTCTTTTTTATTTTCTGTCTGGAAGATCTGTCCAGTGCTGAAAATGTGGTGTTGAAGTCTCCAGCTATTATTGTATTGGGGTCACTCTCTCTCTTTAGCTCTAATCGTATTTGCTTTATATATCTGGGTGCTGCAGTGTTGAGTGCATATATATTTATATTTGTTATATCCTCTTGCTGAATTGAACCCTGTATTAGTCTATTCTTGCACTGCTATAAAGAAATACCCGAGACTGGGTAATATATAGAGAAAAGAGGTTTAATTGGCTCACAGTTCTGCAGGCTGTACAGGAAGCATGGCTGGGGAGGCCTCAGAACACTTACAATCATGACAAAAGGTGAAGGGGAGGCAAGCCTGTCTTACATGGCTGGAGCAGGAGGAAAGTGGGAGGAGGTGGCACACACTTTTAAACAATCAGATCTCACAATAACTCACTCACTGTCATGAGAACAGCACCCAGGGGGATGGTGTTAAACCATGAGAAACCACCCCCATTATCCAATCCTCTTCCACCAGGCTCAACCTCCAAAATTTAGGATTACAATTGAACATGAGATTTTGGTGGGGATGCAGATCCAAATCATATTATTCCACCTCTGGTGTCTCCCAAATCTCATGTCCTTCTCATACTGCAAAATACAGTTATATCTTCCCAACAGTCCCTCAAAGTCTTAACTCATTCCAGCATTAATTCAAAAGTCCAAAGTCCAGAGTCTCAACCTGAGACAAGGCAAGTCTCTCCCACCTGTGAGCTTACAAAATAAAAAAACAGTTAGTTACTTCCAACATACAGTGGGGGTACAGGAATTGGGTAAACACTCCCATTCCAAAAGTGAGAAATTGGCCAAAAGAAAGGGGCTACTGGACCCATGCAAGTCTGAAACCCAGCAGGTAGTCATTAAATCTTAAAGCTCCAAAATACTCTCCTTTGACTCCATATCTCACATCCAGGGCACACTGGTGCAAGGGGTGGGCTCCCAAGGCCTTGGGCAGCTCAGCCCCTGGGACTTTGCAGGGTAAGCCACTGTCACTGCTTTCACGGGCTGGCATTGACTGCCTGTGGCTTTTCCAGTTGTACAGTGCAAGCTGTCATTGGCAGATCTATCATCCTGGAATCTGGAGGACAGTGGCTGTCTTCTCACAGCTCCACTAGGCAGTACACCAGAGGGGAAGCTGTGTGGGAACTCCAACCCCAAATTTCCCCTCCACACTACCCTAGTAGAGGTTCTCCATGAGGGCTCTGTCCCTGCAGCTGGCTTCTGCCTGGACATCCAGGCTTTCCCACACATACTCTGAAATCTAGTTGGAGGCTCCCAAGCCTCAATTCTTGCACTCTGTGCACCTACAGGCTTAATTTAACACCACACGGGAGCCACTAAGGCTTATAACTTGCATCCTATGGAGCAGCAGCCTGAGCTATACCTGGGGCCCTTTGAGCTGAAGCTGGAGCTGGAGCAGCTGGGATTTGGAGAGCAGTTTCCTGAGGTTGTGCAGGGCAGCAGGACCCTGAGCCTGGCCCAGGAAACCATCCTTCCCTCCTAGGCCTTTGGGCCTGTGATGGGAGAGGCTGCCCCCAAGGTATCTGAAATGCCTTCAAGGTGTTTTTCCCACTATCTTGGCTATCAACATTTTGCTCCTTGTTACTTGCAATTTTCTGCAGCTAGCTTGAATTCCTCTCCAGAAAATGGTTTTTTTCTTTTCTACAACATGGCCAGGCTGCAAATTCTCCAAACTTTTACACTCTGCTTCCTTTTTAAATATAAGTTCCAGTTTCTTGTCATGTCTTTGCTCACAAATATGAGCACAGACTACCAGAAGCAGCCAGGCCACGTCTTGAACGCTTTGCTGCTTAGAAATTTCTTCTGCCAGATACCCTAAATCTTCGCTCTCAAGTTCAAAGTTCCACAGATTCCTAGGGCAGGGGCACAATGTCTCCAACCACAATGTCCTAACAAAAGTGACCTTCACTCCAGGTCCCAATAAGTCCCTCATCTCCATCTGAGACCTCCTCAGCCTGGACTTCATTGTCCATATCACTATCAGTATTTTGGTCAAAACAATTTAACAAATCTCTAAGAAATTCCAAACTTCCCCTCATCTTCCTATCTTCGGAGCCCTCCACACTCTTCCAACCTCTGTCTATTTCCCAGTTCCACTGCTGTTTCCACATTTTCAGGTATCTTTCTAGCAATGCCTCACTCCTCTTTACCAATTTTCTGTATTATTCTGTTCTCACACTGCTATAAAGAAATACCCAAGACTTGTTAATTTATGAAGAAAAGAGGTTGAATTGGCTCATAGTTCCACAGGCTGTTCAGGAAGCATAGCGGCATCTGATTCTGGGAAGGCCTGAGGGAGCTTTTACTCATGGAATAATGCAAAGTGGGAGCAAGCATCTACATAGCAGGAGTAGACCAAGGCAAGCGGGTGGTGTGGAGAGGTGCTACACACTTTTAAGCAACCAGATTTCAGAAGAACTCACTATCATGAGAACAGCACTAAGAAGATGGTGCTGAATTAGTCATGAAAGATCCACCCCCATGATCTAATCACGTCCCACCAGGCCCCACCTCCAACATTGAGGATTACAATAGAACACGAAATTTGGGTGGGGCACAAATGGAAACCATATTAACCCCTTTATCATTGTATAGTGACTTTATTTGTCTCATAGTTTTTGTATCAAAATCAATACTCCTTCTCTTTTTCCTGGTTTCCATTGGCATGGAATAACTCTTTCCAACTCTTTACTTTCAGCCTATGTGTGTCTTTATAGTTTAAGTGTGTTTCTTGTAGGCAACAGATCAATGGGTCTTGTTTTCTCCATTCATTCAGCCAGTCTATGTCTTTTGATTGGAGAGTTTAGTCCATATTTCCATTCAATGTATTATCGATAAGTAAAGACTTACTCCTGCCTTGTTATTTATTTGTTTTCTGGTTGTTTTGTGGTCTTCTTCTTTCTTTTCTTCCTGTCTTCCTTTAGGGAAGGTAGTTTGCTCTGGTGATATGATTTAGGTTTTTGCTTTTTATTTTTTATGTATCCAGTGTATGTTTTTAGGTTTGAGGTTACCATAAGGATTACAAATACTATTTTGTAACCCATTATTTTAACCTGGTAACACTGTTTGCATTAACAAACAAAAAACTAATAAAAACTCTACATCTTAACTTCATCCCCCCACTTTTTAACTTTTTGTTGTTTCTAATTTTATCTTATTTTTCTGACTGGTCTTGAAAAGTTGTAGTTACTATTTTTGATTGGTTTATCATTTATTCTTTCTACTTACACACCACAGTTACAATGTTATCACACTTTGGGTTTTTCTGTGTACTTACTCTTAACAGTGAGTTTTTTACCTTTAGATGATTCTTTGTTGCTCATTAATGTCTGTTTCTTTCTGACCAAAGTACTCCCTTAAGCGTTTCTTATGGGACCAGTCTAGTGTTGATGAAATCCCTCAGCTTTTGTTTGTCTGGGGAAGTCTTTGTTTATTCTTCATGTTTGAAGGATATTTTTGCTGGATATACTATTCTAGGGTAAAAGGTTTTTTCCCTTCAGCACTTTAACATATGTCATGTCACTCTCTCCTGGCTTGTAAGGTTTCCACTGAAAAATATACTGCCAGATGTATTGGAGCTCCATTGTATGTTATCTGTTTCTTTTCTCTTGCTGCTTTTAGGATCCTTTCTTTACCCTTGTCCTGTGGGAGTTTGATTATTAAATGCCTTGAGGTAATCTTTGGGTTAAATTGGCCTGGTGTTCTATAACCTTCTTGTACTTGGATATAAATATCTTTCTGTAGGTTTAGGAAGTTCTATGTTATTATCCCTTTCAACAAACTTTCTATTCCTATCTCTTTCTCTATCTCTTCTTTAAGGCCAATAACTCCTAGATTTGCCCTTAAGAAGTTATTTTCTAGATCCTGTGGGCATGCATCATTGTTTTTTATTTTTTGTCTCCTCTGAATGTGTATTTTTCTTTCTTTCTTTTTTTTTTTTTTTTTTTTTGAGATGGAGTCTTGCTCCTTCACCAGGCTAGAGTGCAATGGTGTGATCTCGGCTCACTGCAACCTCTGCCTCCTGGGTTCAAGCAATTCTCCTGCCTTGGCCTCCCAAGTAGCTGGGATTACAGGCATGAGCCACCACACCTGGCTAATTTTGTATTTTTAGTAGAGATGGGGTCTCTCCATGTTGGTCAGGCTGGTCTCAAACTGCCGACCTCAGGTGATCCGCCTACCTCAGCCTCCCAAAGTGCTGGGATTACAGTCGTGAGGTGAGCCACTGTGCCCAGCTTTGTTACTGTTAATAGTGCTGCAATGAACATACACTTGCATGTGTCTTTATGGTGGAATGATTTATATTCCTTTAGGTAAATATCCAGTAATGGGATTGGTGAGTCAAATGGTAGTTCTGTTTTTAGCTCTCTGAGGAATCACCACACTGCTGTCCACAGTGATTGAACTAATTTACACTCCTAACAAGTGTATAAGTTCCTTTTCTCCATAACCTCACCAACATCTATTATTTTTTTACTTTTTTGTAGCCATCCTGACTGGCAGATGATATCTCATCATGGTTTTGATTTTGCATTTCTCTAATGATCAGTGATAATTGAGGTTTTCTTTAACACGCTAGTTGGCTGTATGTATGTCTTTTTTGAAAAGTGTCTGTTCATGTCCTTTGCCCATTTTTTAATGGAGTGGGTTTTTTTTTTCCTGTAACTGTGTTTAAATTCCTTATAGATGCTAGATATTAGCCCCTTGTCAGATGCATAGTTTGCAAAAATTTTCTGTCATTTGGTAGATTGTCTGCCCTGTTGTTTATTTTGCTATGAAAAAGCTCTTAAATCCAATTTGTCCATTTTTGCTTTTGTTACAATTGCTTTTGGTGTCTTCATCATGAAATATTTGCCAGTTCCTATGTCCAGAATGGTATTGCCTAAGTTATCTTCAGGATTTTTATAATTTTGGGTTTTAACTCTTTAAACCATCTTAATTTTTGTACATAGTAAAAGGGGTCCAGTTACGATCTTCTGCATATGGCCAGCCAGTTATCCCAGCACCATTTATTGAATAGGGAGACCTTTCCCCATTGCTTGTTTTTGTCAACTTTGTTGAAGATCAGATGGCTGTAGGTTTGTGGCCTTATTTTTGGGCTCTCTATTCTGTCCCACTGGTCTGTGTGTCTGCTTTTGTACCAGTACCATGCTGTTTTGGTCATGGTAGCCCTGTAGTTTGAAGTTAGGTAATGTGATGCCTCCACCTTTGTTCTTTTTGTTTAGGATTGCCTTGACTACTCAGGCTTTTTGGTTCCATATGAATTTTAAGTTTTTTCTAGTTCTGTGAAAAATGTAATTGATAGTTTGATAGGAATAGCATTGAATCTATAAATTGCTTTGGGTAGTATGGCCACTTTAATGATATTGATTCTTCCTAGCCATGAGCATGGAAAGTTTTTCCATTTGTTTGTGTCATCTCTGATTTCTTTGAGCAGCGTTTGTGATTCTCATTGTAGAGATCCTTTACTTCCTTGGTTAGCTGCATTCCTGGGTATTTTATTCTTTTTTGTGGCAATTATGAATGGGATTGTGCTCCTGATTTGGCTCTTGGCTTGGCGACTGTGTATAGGAATGTTAGTGATTTTTGTACACTGATTTTGTCTCCTGAAACTTTGCTGAAATTATCAGATGAAGGACCTTTTGGGCTGAGGCTATGGGGTTTTCTAGATATAGAATCATACTGTCTGCAAACAAGGATAGTTTGACTTCCTCTCTTCCTATTTGGATGCCCTTTATTATTTCTGTTGCCTGACTGCTGTGATCAGGACTTTCAACACTATATTGAATAGGAGTGGTGAGAAAGGGCTTCCTTATCCTGTGCCACTTTTCAAGGGGAATGCCTGCAGCTTTTGCCCATTCAGTATGATGTTGGCTGTGGGTTTGTTATAGTTGGCTCTTATTATTCTGAGTTATGTTCCTTCAACACAAGATGGGAAGCTCCCCAAATCCACATCTCTTGCTTGTGGGGGAGCCATCCTCAGCACATCGGCCCTACCCAACCCACAGTAGATACCAACATCCCTATGATGGATGAGCTATGGTGGAGTCCCCCCAACCCCAGAGTGAGAATTGGCCCCCGATGGGGACTTAGGGAGGGCTGAGTTGGCGAGCTGTGGGAGGTCATCATCAGTGGGGCTCAAGCTCTCCCCTCCAAGCTCCAAGGATCTCTGCAGCCACAGGACGCATTCCTTCTCCACTTAGATCTTGTCTGTGAAGTATCCAATTGCCTTCCATTTCTACTTGGTGTAGAATGTAGGGGGCAATGAATGAAACTGCCGCATATTGCAGAGGGTCCATGTCCAAGCACAGGCAGTTGTAACGGTAGTAGCCACACCACCAGTACCTGTGGTTCCTGCTAGCCCCTCCACTGCCCAGGCCAGACAGTGTCAGTCTGGCAGATGTACCCCCAAGGACTCTCTCTCATGGTGTCTGCTCCTCTGCCCCACCCTTCTGATCTCACAGCTTCTCCTTAGGTGACATTCACACTTTAGACAAAGTTGTTTGGTCCCCTGATTATGATCTCCTTTACTTGCTGTCAGCTCTGCCTGGGAAGAGGTCTATGCTCAGTTCCAGGATACATGGAAAAGGCAGTGGATGGGCAGGTACAGTCTTGGGCTTTACCATGAACTGTGTTGTTTAGTCAAGTTGTTTAACCTCCACTCTGTTCATCTTGTATATATGGGTGGGGGGTGAAGACTATGAGCCCACAGGTCTGCTTCTGTGCTCACTGTAACAGATTCCTAAGTGCAAGTCCCTGAAACAGGATCACAGTACACAACATTAACATAAGAGGGTACATTATGCACGGTACAGCTTTCCTTGAGGTTCTAGAGAATGCAAACCTTAACATTAACAAGTACCAAACCTCTGCTGAAAAATCCTCTAATGAATTTCAAGGTTAAATATAAATAAACTGTGGGATTGTTCTGCCTAGAGTAGCCACACCCTCCTCGGGGGTCCCACAGTCCACAGGCTCAAACTCCTCATCCAACAGTTACATGCTCCACCAACTTTCAGACTGTCTCTCCCAGTAGGCAGTGAGCCCCTAGAAGGCAGGGACTATGTAACGGTGACCTGGCAACTTTGTTGAACAGCTGCTCCTATCAGGATCAGTTCGTAAAAAGCCAAGCACTGCTCAGCCTTTTATTATGCCTCTTACTGATTTATGCCTTCATTTGGCATTCAAGAACTTGCTCCAATAGTGCCAAACAGTTGGGAGATATTTACTACAAATTATTAAAACTGCAGTCTATCCTCTGAACCAACTGTGCTCAATCCCACCACACATCTTGCTGCTCCCTAACTTCTAGCTGCTTGGAAAGTCTCATATTCTTCATCTACTCAAATCATACACATCCCTCGGGTTCCATGCAAAGTTCCATCTCATTCATGAAACTCCCTGACCACTGGGATATCTGGCCCATGAACTTGAGCAAACTATTTCTTCTGCATCTCATTTGGCATTTGAGGAGGGACTGTTCTCTGACGTCTCCTGGTATGCCTCACAGAGTCAGTAAAGTGTTTCCAGACCTATAGGTACCACCCCATATTGTTAGCTCTTTGAGGATACACACTAGGTTATACTTTTCTGGTTCTCCACCCTAAGCACCCAAAAGGCAGATGGTAGGTACATCTCAGCTCCAAAGAGACTGCTGAAGACTGAATGAATTAATGACACACAGAGAAACTGACCCTGGTGACCAGCCTGGGCCAGTTCACTCACGTGACTGTGGGGGCTGGCAAGTACATAATTTTCAGGTTAGACTGGCAGGCTGGAGACCCAGGGAAGAGCTGACACTGCAGCCTGAGGCCACAGGTAGCAGTGTTGCTGGGTTGCTGCATTCTTTACTGTGAGATTTAGAAAAACTGTCATTATCATTATCCTAATATTGTCAAAACTTGTAGGCAGCCTATTTGCTGTTTTTGGTTCTTATTGTTAGTGTGTTGTTATTCCTGTGGAAATCATAATTGTGCAGCGTTTTGATATCTATGAATTCAAAAACTTAAACAGAATATTAAGAACAAACTAATAATAAAGTGACAAACTTTGGATACCTTTTTAACATTGTTTCTAAATATTGTAAACATGAATCTTCTGGACCTCAGAGGGAACAAGGAAGCAATGATATTAATAATGAATCATAATCTGGAACACCTGATATTGTACACAAACTATAACAACTGGAAATGCCTTTGCAACTGCATAAGAGTTAGTTCAAAGAAACAATAATTTGCATTTCTAAAATTTAAAAAATCCCCAATAACTTTTGACAAAACTCACAGATGGCTTATTATTGCTAGCAATGTAAATATTGGATGCAAATCATGCTCAAAAGCTGTGTGAATAGCCAAAAGTGCTAAGCACATTCTGTCAGTGCTCATAATTCAAGGAAAACATTAGCAAAATTCAAAGAAAAAAACTTGAAAAATATTAAGAACAGCTTTGTACAATAAAGTATTTGAAAAAAGCAACAAACAGTGGAAAAATGCCATCAGATGTTAGTATACAGTTTACCCAAATGTGTAATTAAATAGAGCATTTTACATCATTAAGTAGAGGCTTTTAAACAATTATACATAGTGCATATCATTGCAGTATAGATTAATGGTTCTGCTGGTTGCAAACCATATTCTACATAAGACAACTTTTGGAAAATTTATTAATCCAAGCAATAAATCATTATCAGTGAAGTGTCAACCATTTCACAAAATGTATTTAAGTTTTAGTTCCTTAAATACTAAATGTAAGACTTACAGGAAAATGGGTTTTTGTTGATCTGAGGAACTTATACCAACCTTACTCATCAGTGCCCAAGAAAAATAGCTTTAATGTGAGACAGTTGTATGATGGTACAGATAGTGCCAGTATATGCAACGAAGAAAGTTCAGGTTTCACCAAAATTTTGCAAAATTTCGGGGTTTAAAAATCTGTTTATCGCAGAAGTCACATTGACTGTCTCACATTTACTCTTCCTCGTGTCCTGATCCTGCTGACTTGTCCACATGGGCAACTACGAAGCTGGCACAACTATACTTCTTTGTTCACTTTGGTCACCACCATTTGTTCTGCTGTTGGGCTGCCCATGTGTAGGCAGGTTTCACGAAAATATCAGGTTCCCTAAGCAACATGAACTGGGAGGCTCAGAGAGGGATTTCCCTAGTCACTGACTTACTGAGGGATTGACTCAAGATTCCCAGGCACTAGACAGAAGCAGTCGGGAAAGGAATCATTTCCTGATTGCCTGTGGGGGAAAAAGAAACTTTTTTGGATAGAACAGTCTGGATGGACTCTAACACAGTAAAAAGTGAAGGCAGTGCATTCTTCAGAAGGGCGGCAGATGGGGCACCACGCATCCCCACAGAGGGGCTGTCCTGCGGTCCTTGCAGGAGTTGCCAGGCTCCCAAAATCTCCTCCTGCTGCTATCCCCACCCTGCCTGAAAAGAGGTGAGGAGGATGATGGGGAGGGAGTCAAACAGACTTGGGATAGGAGGAGTGAGTGCGCTGGTAAAACCAATTACTTAGCTAAACCTTTGGCTAAAACTCTAGGAAGGGAGGCACAAAATGGGAAAGTGTGGGTTTTTTTTTTTTGCTTCTCTAGGTGAAGGTTTAAATTAACTTCAGCATGGGTAAAACTATTCTTTCCTTCTTTTTTCTCTCCCAGAGTTCTCACCACCTCCTCCCAGGCTAAATCCTTCATGTTGCAGGAGACAGAGAATCCCAGGTGAGACCCGGACTTTTTCTCCTCCCTCCCTTCCTTTTTTCACCGTGTTCAGGATAAATTATCTTGGTTTTGTTTCTGGAGGGAAAAGGGCAGAGAGGCCCTGACTTGAATCTCAATCACATTTCTGCACACAGTACCTGAGGAGACAGAATAGCAGAGGGGTGGGAACAATTAACATTGCTTTATGGGCTTTAGAATGGAGAAAAAATAATTCCCACTCTTTTTTCTTTTACCCAAATCCAACTTCAGTTTTCTCTCCAACTCTCTAAAACCACCACCAATACTATTATCACATCATGTGTAGCTACTTGGGGGGTGGTGAAAGGCTGAGTACGCATCATGTTCAGGTAGTAGGGTGTTAAACGAAATAGTTCCTCACAGCAATGCCCAAAGTCATCCTTGGTCACAATAAAGGAGAATAAAGGGAAAAAAGTATGATTATTGTATTAGATTGTGGGGTTGCAGGTGAGTTTTTTTTTTCCATTTTAAAAATTATTTTGTGGTTATAATGATGATGTCAATTTTTAAAAAAATAAAAGAATGGAAAAAGTTGACTTGGGATTTCATAATGCAAAGAAAAAAGCAAAACAAAAAAGAACAACAAAAAGCAAACAAAACAGATTTACATGTAATACCTAATTTAATCCCTTCATAACTCTGTGAAGTGGGTCAGTATTGACGGGTCAGCTTAACTAACAGATATTAGGAATGAGATCCAAAACAACCAGCCATGGTCGCACAGCTTGTGGAACCCAGGTTCTTTGACACTCAGCCCAGTGTTCCACCTGCAATGGCAACCTAAGTGAGGAGGGGGCCTCAGAGATGAGGTGGTCGACCCTTACAATGTTGATATTCTCCATGCTTTCTCAGAGCAAGTGGCTGAATCTCTTTCGTGACAGAGAACTCACCACCTACCAAGGCAGCCCATTTTATTAAGTCTAACTTTTAAAAAAGATACTTATGATGAGCACAATTCTGTCTCTCTCATACTCTATGGAAACGACCAATTTCTGACCTCTATGTCACAAAGAGTAAGTTTAGTTCTTCACATAATAGCCCTCCAAATATTTGAAATCTCTAGTCATAGCCAGATATATTGCATCAAAATAAATGGCTATTTTCTGCAGGAGGGTTGGTCCAAATGTCCTAGCCTACCATTACCTGAAGCAAGAAGTCCTCCCTATTTTTTGAAGAACTATATTTATTTGCTCAAATCATATTTATTAGGGGCCTGCTATCTGCCAGGCAGTGGGGATGCAGCGATACACAGGTCAAATAGGCATTTGGAGTGTGGAAGTGGGTGCCCACCCTAGTCGGGGAGCATCTCAGGATGTCCTCCTCAAGGAGATGACATGTCAACTGAGCCCAGAGGACAACAGGAGTTGACAGGGAAGAGTATTTCCTAGAGCGAGAAACTGGAGGCAGCTGTAGTGAGGTGCTGATGGGTTCTGGCCACCACCTGGACCACCTAGATTTGATGTTTCTCCACCCCCACTTAGTTGTGTGACCCTGGACAAGTTCCTCACCCACTACGTGCTTTAGAACCCTCACTGTGAAATGGGAGATGTGATAGGAATGTTGTGAGGATTGTTTGAGTGAATACATGCAAAGGACTTAGGACAAGCCTGGCACATAGTTAATGCTCAATCAATGTTTTCTCTCGCAACTGGAGGGAAACAAGGTAGTGGGCAGGAAGGGGGAGTGCGCAGACAGTTCCTGCTAAGCCTTGTAAGTTACCATGGCCCAGCACTGTAACCAGAGAAGTGAGGATGAGACTTCCACTTTGAGAAAGGCCTCTCTGGCCGCAGCATGTAAAGGAATGGGAGGGGATTAGAATGTGTGTGCACGGACTAGGTGGGAGCTAACTGCAGGGCCAGCATCTGTGGCACAGATTATCTCTCTTCATCCTGAACCCCTCCCTCTTCCCGTCTCGAATCCTTTTCCCACTCCTGACCACATCCTCCACCTGTCAGAAAGTCACAGTTAAGGAAGAGATTTCCGAGCACACCTTGGACAGAAGTCATGATGATGGGGCCCATGACTGGCAACCTGCTGGGAGAGGTGGCCTGCAGTGTGTCTGGAGTACATGGGGGACCCCGGGAGCATCTTCTGTGTCTGTGGCCCCTGGCAGGCCTGCATCACTTGGTGCTATGCCACTATCAGATCCACCACAGGAGCCATGTGCTATTCATTCCACAAGGAGCCCTTTCAACAGGGAGACATCAGGCCCAACTGGATTCTAGCCACCTTGGTCTCCAGTCTCCTACTCTCAAGCCCATGAGTGACAATTCAGCACAGGAAATTTGGTTCTGTGAGCAGCATCTATTGGCAGGATGACCAGCAATTCTTGTGTGTGGTTTGCAAAGATCTTAACGGAGAACAAATGTTACTTAGTGCTGCAGAAGGAGAACAATGCTAGGTTCCACAAGGTAGTCTGTCCTTTTGCTGTCTTGTCTACACCAGAGAACCTTTGGTTGACTTGCTTTAATATTGGCTTCAGTCCTATTACAAAACAACAACAAATTATTGTATTCTAAACACAGTTCTAAATGCAACAATAGTTTATCTTTTAATCCTGGATTATACAGTTTACAATTACTTGCAAATGCATAGTACCTCACTCCAAAAAACCTCAGGCATCCAGGCATCACAATTTCTCTATCTGCATGACACAGAAACTTCCATGTCACTAGAGGATTTCACAATCCATATATGAATCCCCTGAAGACTTCTTGGTGTGAAGGAAACATCACTGGACACAACACTGAAAATGGCAATAGTCCAGGCATGGTGGTTCATGCCTGTAATCCCAGCACTTTGGGAGGCTTACGCGGGTAGATCACCTGAGGTCAGGAGTTTGAGACTAGCCTGGCCAACACAGTGAAACCCCATTTCTACTAAAAATACAAAAATTAGCCAGGTGTGGTGGTGCATGCCTGTAGTCCCAGCTACCAGCGAGGCTGAGGCAGGAGAATCACTTGAATCCCGTAGGCTGAGGTTCTGGTGAGCTGAGATCACGCCACTGCACTCCAGCCTGGGCAACAGAACGAGACTCCGTCTCAAAAAAAAAAAAAAAGGCAACAAAAGCCCTGGATAGATAGGGTTTTTTTAGGTGAGCTATAACATCTGGGCAAATAAAAACACTATGTTATTCCTAGAAAAATTATAGAAATCTAACTTAACCTTGTCAACATGGGGATTCATTATCTTATTTAGCAAACTAAAGGAACAATAATGTAACTGCACCTCAGGTACAACTGGAACCAGGGATTTGAATGCAACTAAGACTTCCCATCTTTTATTTTCTCTTCTCTAGATTAGCTCAATTTTTTGCAACACATTTCCTGTATGAACTATAACTATAGCCATTTCTAGATTAATACCTCTTGTCAGCAAAGCAAGACAGAGGTATTCTCTGGTCATGAAGAAAATTCCAGAAAAGAGCTCTGAATCAAAGGCCAAAATCCTGGCATATCTGGTGCTGTGCAGAGCTGAGAGACTGGCTGAAGAGTGTGCCAGCAGTAAGCTATCCTAGGCATAGGGCCTGACTAGAAATCAAAGACCCTAATGTAGCAGTATTGCATCATCTATAGCCTAGATTATGCTGCAATGATATACAACTCCCGTATCTCACTGGTATAAACCAAAAAGATTTCTTTTACATGCTACCTGTTCATCAGGAGTTGCTGAGGGGGTCACTTGGAGATCCAGGCTCGCCAAGCAGCCACTGTCTTCAGCACCAGCTAATGCCCTGCTAGTGGGCAAAGAGGGAGCTCTGGAAGAACATAAACCAGCAGTTAAATTCCCAGTCCAGAAGAAATACATATCACCCCTACTAACACCTCATTACAGGGCACAGATGATGACAATAATGACCTCTCAGGCTTAAGGACCCTTCAACTCTGAGAGAGGGTATCTAGTGGTCACCTAGCTACTATCCTGTCTTTCCCTCAGGCAGAAGTGGGTGTGGTTTCCAACACCCCCAGCTGTGTCCCGGTCCGTGACAACAAAATCTTTGTAATCTAAAGTTTGAAGCATTTCAGAGGTCAGAAGGGTGTTTGCTGTTACGACTCTTGCTCTCACTTCTACCTGACAAGAGAGAAGAATTTGTATAGACTGTTAGACATGTTACTATTTTTTGAAAGCACTAGGTATTTGGGACAAGGTCAACATGTTTCCCTATCAGAAATCACTCATAGATATGTTCTTTGAGGTCAGGAATTCTATGAAATAAAAATAAAGAAAATTATTGAGCCTCTCTTGGATGCCAGCACCATGCTCAGTGCTTTCATTTTTTTCAGTATACTCACATTACTGATTATCCTTCATTTTACTTATGATCAAAGCAAGAGTTGAAGGAATGTCCTTGGTTCAAGGCTACACCCTAGGAGACACAGTCAGAATTTAAATCCAGCTTTCTTTCATTTGAAAGACTGTGCTCTGTGCTGGACCACACTGTACAGTTTTTAAAGTGATCTAACAACGACAGCATCCATCAGTGAACTCTGAGTCTACCAAACAGAAATTGCTCTTAATGGGTTCATCTAATGGCAGGGCCGGCTCAAGGCAAAATTTTTTGCCCCCATCCCTCTTTTTCATTCGACACGATTTTGCTGTATCATCCAGGCTGGACTGCAGTGGCGTGGTCACAGCTCACTGCAGCCTCAAACTCCTGGCTCAAATGATCCTCCCTCCTTATCTTCCTGAGTAGCTGGGACTATGGGCGCATGCCACCATACCTGCTAATGTTTAAAATTTTTGTAAAGATGGGGTCTCACTATGTTCCCTAAGATGGTCTCAAATTCCTGGCCTCAAGCAATCCTCCTGCCGCAAATCTCCTGAAGTGCTGGGATTATAGGTAGAAGCCACAATGCCCAGTCCCCTTCTCCCTGATTAAAAATATATTTTTTTATTTTTTTTCACTATTCAACTTCCATTTTAGGTTCAAGGGGTACATGTGTAGGTTCGTTATATGGGTAAATTACAATGTTGTGGGGGTTGTGTATACAGATAATTTTGTCGCCCAGGTAATCAGCATAATACCCAAAAGGTAGTTTTTAAGTCTTCACCCTCCTTTCACCCTCCACCCTCAAGTAGGTCCTGGTGTCTGTTGCTCCCTTGTGTCCATGTGTACTCGATGTTTAGCTCCCATTTAAAAGTGACAACATACAGTATTTGGTTTTCTGTTCCTGCATTAATTGTCTTAAGGAATGGCCTCCAGCTCCATCCATGCTGCTGCAAAGGACATTATGTCATTCTTCGTGGTTGTGTAGTATTCTATTCCACGGTGTATATGTACATTTTCTTTTTTTTTTTTTTTTGAGACAGTCTCGCCTTGTCACCTAGGCTGGAGTGCAATGGCGCGATCTCGGCTCACTGCAACCTCTGCTTCCCAGGTTCAAACGATTCTCCTGCCTTGAGTAGCTGGGATTACAGGCACCTGCCACCATGTCCAGCTAATTTTTGTATTTTTAGTAGAGACAAGGTTTCACCATGTTGGCCAGGCTGGTCTCAAACTCCTGACCTCGCCGAACTCCACCCGAATCGGTCTCCCAAAGTGCTAGGATTACAGGCGTGAGCCACCGAACCTGGGCATCTAGGTTGATTCCGTATCTTTGCCATTGCGAATAGTGCCGCAGTGAACATACATGTGCGTGTGTCTTTAGGTAGAACTATTTATATTCCTTTGGGGATATACCCAGTAAAGGGATTGCTGGGTTAAACGGTAGTTTTAAGTTCTCTGAGAAATTTCCAGACTGCTTTCCACAATGGCTGAACTAATTTACATTCCCATTTGCAGTGTATAAGCATTCTCTTTTTTCTGCAACCTCATCAGCATCAGTTAGTTTTTGACTTTTTTAATAATAGCCTTTCTGACTGGTGTAAGATGGTATCTCATTGTGGTTTTGATTTGCATTCCCCTAATTAGGGATATTAAGCATTTTTTTTCTTATGTTTCTTTTGAAAAGTGTTCATGTCCTTTGCCCATTTTTTAATGGGGTTCTTTTTTGCTTACTAAGTTCCTTATAGATTCTGGTTATTAAACCTTTGTCAGATGCACAGTTTGCAGATGTTTTCTCCCATTCTGTAGGCTGTTTACTCTGTTGACAGTTCCATTTTCTGTGCAGGAGTTCTTTAGTTTAATTAAGGCTTATTTGGCAATTTTTGGTTTTGTTGCAGTTGCTTTTGGAGTCTTCATCATGAAGTCTTTGCCAGGGCTGATGCTCAAAATGGTATTTCCTAGGTTTTCTTCTAGTATTTTCATAGTTTTAGGTTTTACATTTAAGTCTTTAATCCACTTTGAGTTGATTTTTATATATGGCGAAAGATAGGGGTTCAGTGTCATTCTTCTGCCTATGGCTATCCAGTTATCCCAGCACCATTTATTGAATAGGGAGTTCTTTCCCCATTGCTTGTTATTGTCAATTTTGTCAAAGATCAGATGGTTTTAGGTATGTGGCTTTATTTCTGAGTTCTCTAATCTGCTCCATTAGTCTATGTGTCTGTTTTTGTACCAGTGCCATGCTGTCTTAGTTACTGTAACCTCATAATTTGAAGACAGGTAGTGTGATGCCTCCAGCTTTGTTCTTTTTGCTCAGGATTGCTTTGGCTATTTGGGCTCCTTCTTGGTTCCATATGAATTTTTGAATTTTTTTTCCTAACTCTGTGAAAAATGTCATTGGTAGTTTGACACTGAATCTGTAAATTGCTTTGACTAGTATGGCAGTTTTAACAACAATATTAATTCTTCCTATCCAGGAGCATGGAATGTTTTCCCATTGGTGTAATCTGATTTCTTTGGGCAGTGTCTTGTAAAATTCTCATTGCAGAGATTGTTTACCTCTTTGGCTAGCTGTATTCCTAGGTATTTTATTCTTCTTGAGGCTACTGTGAATGAAACTGCATTCTTCACTTGGTTCTCGGTTTAGATGTTATTGGTGTATAGAAATGCTACTGATTTTTGTAAACTTATTTTGTATCCTGAAACTCTGCTGAAGTTCTTTTTCAGATCTAGAAGCCCTCAGGAAGAGACCATGGAGTTTTCTAGGTATAGAATCATTATCTATGAAGAGAGATAATTTGACTTCCTCTCTTCCTATTTGGATGCCTTTTATTTCTTTCTCTCACTTGACTGCTCCAAATAGAACTTCCAGTACTATGTTGAATAGGAGTAGTGAGAGTGGGCATCCTTGTCTTGTTCCAGTTCCTAAAGAGAATACTTCTAGCTTTTGCCAATTCAGTATTATGTTGGCTTTGGGTTTGTCAGAGATAGCTTTTATTATTTTGAGGACTATAACTTCAAACCTAGTTTGTTGAGGGTTTTTAACATGAATGAATGTTTAATTTTACCAAAAGCCTTTTCTGCATCTATTAAGGTATCATGTGGTTTTTGTTTTTAGTTCTCTTTATGTGATGAATCACATTTATTGATTTGGGTAAGTTGAGCCAACTCTGCACTCCAGGGATAAAGCCTACTTGATCACAATGGATTAGCTTTTTGGTGTGTTGCTGGATTTCATTTGGTAGTATTTTGTGGAGGATTTTTGCATATATGTTCATCAGGGATATTGGCCTGAAGTTCTTTTTTTCTGTTGTGTCTCTGCCAGGTTCTGGTATCAGAATGATGCTGGTCTCACAGACTGAGTTAGGGAGGTGTCCCTCTTTCTCAATTTTTTGGAATAGTTTCGGTAGGAATGATACCAGTTCTTCTTTATATGTCTGGTAGAATTTGGCTGTGAATCCATCTGGTCCAGGACTTTTTCTGGTTAGTAGGCTTTTTATTACTGATTCAATTTTGGAACTTGTTATTGGTCTGTTTGGGGTTTCAATTTCTGGTTCAATCTTGGGAGGTTGTATGTTCCCAGGAATTTATCCATTCTTCTAGGTTTTCTAGTTTGTGTGCAGAGGTGTTCATAATAGTCTCCAAGCGGTTTTTGTATTTTTGTGTGGTCAGTGACAACGTCCCCTTTGTCATTCCTGATTGTGTTTATTTAGATTATCTCCCCCCTCCTTTTTTTATTAGTCTAGTTAGTGCCTATCAACCTTATTTATTCTTTCAAAGAACCAACTTTTGCTTTCTTTGATTTTTTGTACGGTTTTTCTCATCTCCATTTTGTTCAGTTCAGCTCTGATTTTGGGTATTCTCTTCTGCTAGCTTTGGGGTTGGTTTGCTCTTGTTTATTTAGTTCCTCTAGATGTGATGTTAGGTTGAGATCTATCTTTTTGATGTGGGCATTTAGCACTATAGTTTTCCCTTAACACTGCTTTAGCTGTGTCCCAGATTCTGGTATGTTTTTATCTTTGTTTTCATTAGTTGTAAACAATTTCTTGATTTCTGCCTTAATTTCTCTTTGTTTACCCAAGTCATTCAGGAGTAGATTAATTTCCACTTAATTATATGGTTTTGAGAGATCTTCTTGGTATTTATTTTTATGGCACTGTGGTCCAAGAGTGTGGTTGGTATTTCAGGGTTTTTTTGTTTTTTTGAGATGAGTCTCACTCTGTCAACCAGACTGGAGTGCAATGGCGTGATCTCAGCTCACTGCAACCTCCTCCTCCCAGGTTCAAGCAATTCTCGTGACTCAACCTCCAAAGTAGCTGGGATTACAGGCGCATGCCACCATGCACGGCTAATTTTTATATTTTTTAGAAGAGATGGGTTTTTGCCATGTTGGCCAGGCTGGTCTCAAACTCTTGACCTCAAGTGATTTGCCCACCTCAGCCTTCCAAAGTGTTGGGATTACAGGTGTGAGCCACTACACCTGGCCGGTATTTCAGGTTTCTTGAATTTGTTGAGAATTGCTTTCTGGCCAATAAAGCAATTGTGGTCGATTTTAAGAGTATGTACCATGTGCAGCTGAAAAGAATGTATATTCTGTTTTTGTTGGACAGAGAGTGCTGTTTTTTGTTTTCCATTTGCTTGATAGATCTTTCTCCATCCCTTACTTTGAGGCTATTGGTGTCCCTGCATATGAGATGGGTCTCTTGAAGACATACAGTTGGGTCTTGCTTCTCTGTCCAACTTGCCACTCTCTGCCTATTAATTGAGGCATTTAGCTCATTTACATTCAAGGTTAATATTGATATGTGCAGATTTGATCCTATCATCATGTTGTTATTTGGCTGTTATGTAGACTTCATTGTTTACTTGCTTTATAGTGTCAATGGTCTATGTACTCGAGTATATTTTTGTGATGGCCAGTATTGGTCTGTACATCTCAGGGTGGCTTAAAGCACTAGGAGAAAGCATGCAAAACAGCCCAAGGTGAAGCTCACTTGGCAGCTGAGAGTGAGTTCACACCATGTACTCTAAAATGAGGAGGTGCTCTTTTCTTCTCACTCTAATTAAAGAAGACTGAGAAGCCCTTCAGCACTTCACTGTGCCCCCTGCTGCCCTGCACCTCCCGGCTACTTTGTGGTAGATTCCTGGCACTTGAACTCTCTACAGGCCCAGGAGAGAACAGCTTTCTTGAGGTCCTAAGGATACCTGAGAATCATTCTCAGAGTTAATGGAATCTTCTATATTTTCTGTGGATTTTGATTATCTACTTTTTTTCTAACTTCTGTGAGATTAGAGAATTGAAAGCCTGTCATATCACTGGAACTCAGTTAAAATGTGGTGTCTTCTCCAATATTGTCCAACTAGAAGATGTGGGAATCCCAACTGATATAAGAACTAAGAAATATGACTACAAACTAAAGGGAAAATAAGAGAAGAACTTAAAGAATATTTGGGAGTTTTAGGGAGGTCATAACTGTAATGAGCTAATGTCATCCATATGTCCAAGGGAAAGTGAATCTGAATTTACAGGGCAACTTCCGTGGGCCAGGTTCCTTCACACATAATTTCAAGTCATGCTAAAATGAATGCATCCAAGGAAAATTTTATCATACATAACTTATGATAAGGAAACTTATGCTTAGGAAGATTAATTAGGAGGTTAAGGTCACCAAGCCTCTAGACTGTTTCGCCAGGACCCAACCCAGGTCTGGCTTCTGTTTGGTTTTGGAGTATGTGTTATCCCCACTCCATCATGCTGCCTCTCCAACCTGCAGCCCAGTGCCCAGGGCACAGGGGTCAGGCCAAGATCAGAAGGGACACTAACACCAACAGGCCTGGCGAGGTGGGAAGTACAGGGAAGGGGTGACTCCAGCTTACTCTTCTCTCCCTCCCAGAGGGACCATCAGGGCCATTGGCACTGTTGGGTGATAGAAGTTGTAAATACGGGGTAAGGTACATGGATGACACCATCTCCATATGTGTATGTGATAGAGTGGCAGGCCAGAAGTTAATAGCCACATCCAGGGAGCCAAGGATATAGTTCCCAGTAACGGCGCTTGCGTTCTGCTCTCAGGGCTGATGAAAGAGGATGGAAGTTGTACTCTGTTCCTCTACTTCAATAGAAAGTAAGCTAAAAGGAGAAATTGGGAGACAGAGGTTTACAAAAGGAAATTTATAATGGGGTCATATCAAGATAATTCAAGAGGGAAAATAAGACAAGGTGGCTCCTTCCCTGAATTGGTGACACAACACTAATCACTGTCCCCACAGAGTGGCTGGGCCTGACCCCAACTACAGGAGCTCAGCTGTCTCTACCCTCTGAGGGTAGACAGGAAGCAGTGGTCATGCTACTGCAGCCTAATGACTTGAGATTAGAATTGGCCATTGCCCCACTGCAGGGTGTGTGCCCAGCACACTTTGACAGCTTCCCTCTCTGTTCAGTCTTGAGAAAAAAATAACACTAAATAAGGAAGGTGAAGCTACAGAAAGTCCTGACTATCAAAAAATGTTAACATTCAGGGCGAGGAAAGACTTTAGAAATCATTCCAAATTTCATGAGGGTAAATCAATTGTAAGGGCCATTAAGGTTGGCAAGTGGCAGAATATGGATGCAAACCTAGGGCCCTTCACTCCTCCTCCAGTGCACTTTCCACCATGCCAGGAGGAAGGGCGAAGAGTAAAGGTGCCAGGGGAAGGGCTGAGGCTTGTCTCCTTCCACTTCTTTACCTCACAGAAAATGAAGGATACAAATGGAGCCGAAAATTTAGGCCTCTGGAAGCTACAGGTCTGTTTCAGATGGATCTATTCTTTTTCCTGGGTTCAGTGAAGTTATTTGGCCATAAAGCCCTAAGCCATGTATGATCATAACATTTTAAGAAATAGAAGCCAGGTATTAGAAGGTTCCGTTTTCTCTATAAATAGTTCAAAGTATCTCAATGAAGTTTAGGTATCCAAAAAAAAAAATACCCCAACTTTAGGAGCATTAAGTATTATGAGTAATAAAATAAATACTTATAGCAATGGGGGTTTCAGGACAATTTACCTCTTGAACATAAGTAGATATGCTCAAGAAAGCTATCCCAAGGACAGGGTTGCATGCACGAAGAGACGAGACCAAGTTAAGTTCCACAGTCAAAACAGACATCCCTATTTCCTTCCTAGTAGCATCTGTACAGCATAAATAGGTATTTGTGAATGAAGTCATGAAAAGATCCTCAAAGGTCTGTGTTAGAGCAACTGTGGTTAAAATACGAGAGTAGGAAAAGTGAGATTCTCCAGTTAAGTTACTAATAATTCAGACTTAAGACTTTTTAGAAAGATGATCATCTTTTATTTCTTTCAGGAGCCATGGCTATCAACCTGGAGAGAGGCCAAAAGACACCTAGGCTTTTTGTAAACCAAAGATTGAGGTATCCACATCAGTCAGCAGTGGCTTCTGCAGCAGCAGCCACAGAAAGTGAGTAATGGAAACAAAAGGATAGAGATATACAGGAAGTCCTCTTTCCTCACCTGGAGAAGAAAGAAGACAGCAAAAAAAATTAGGTCAACCCCACAATCAAGGTAGAGCTGCTCTAAAATCTGAGGTAGCCAATGACCAACACAAACCACCTCACCTTTCTGAGACTCGGCTCTCCTGTAAAGGAGAAACCACACTGACCCTGGATCAAAATCCCCAGACAGTAGACGTGACCTTGGATTTCAAGAAGGAGCAAATTACCTCTGCTAATGCAGATAAAGACGCCACCATTTTTGGTTTTCAGGATTTCACAGGGAAAATAGTCCCATTATTTGGCCTCTATTAGCCAGAGGCCCAGATGACCCTGTGTCCCTGAGATAGGACATGGCTTTCCCATGGCCTCTTATGAGAACCTGCCCAGCAATAAGTGTTTTTGTTGTTGTTGTTGTTGTTTGTTTTTTAGACAGTTTCACTCTTGTTGCCCAGGCTGGAGTGCAATGATGCGATCTCAGCTTACTGCAACCTCCACCTCCTGGGTTCAAGTGTTTCTCCTGTCTTAGCCTCCTGAGTAGCTGGAATTATAGGCAACCCCACCACGCCCAGCTAATTTTGTATTTTTAGTAGAGATGGGGTTTCACCATGTTGGCCAGGCTGGTCTTGAACTCCTGACCTCAGGTGATCTGCCCACCTTTGCCTCCCAAAGTGCTGGGATTTCAGGCGTGAGCCACTGTGCCCGGCCACAATAAGTTTTTAATTACCAGAGTCAGTGGTTCCTGTCATTGATTGAGCTTACTGACTGGACAATGAGAGGGTCATATGTGGCTGTCTCCAGCCATTACATTAAGGTGACACTTGAGCATGACACGAGGTCTGCATTCTCTACAATCAACTGGATCTGTCCCACTGCTTCCCACCAGGAGCAGAAGCATGCTTGTGCCAGTTCCTAAACATCATCATTTCATTTTCAGCCCACAGCCCTCCCCTGCTCAGATTTCCCACCATCTAAGGCAGCAATCCTCAAATGCTAGTGTGCACAAGGATCTAAGGCACTTGCCGAAAATGTAGATTCCTGCACCAACCCCAGAGAACCAGAAGCAATCCCTCTAGGGTAGAGCTTGAGAATTTGCTTTGAAAAAAGATCTTACATGTTTTTGGATAACACTTAAAGATGGTCCTAGAACAGTGCTTCTGGAAATTTTAATACGTAAGCAAATTAAGAGCAGCTTGTTAAAATGCAGACGTTTAAAAACTTGGTGCAGGCCTGAAATTCTGCACTCATATGTTCTCCCAGAGAAGCTAAAGCTGCTGGTCCTTTTGGCCACACTTTGAGTCACCAGAACCCAAAGGATTTCCGGCCTGTATCTGGGCCCAAGAGAGCAAAAGTGTCACAAACACACACAGTTTTAACCTTCCCTGATTCTCTGTGGAGTAGAATCTTCTCCCTTACTTCCAGTCAGACAGGTCCCCATGGATAAGGGGGTACTGCTCTGCCTTGTGTGCCCTCAGTTTCCCTTTATGGAACTCTGTTCTGATCTCAAGCTTCCACTAGACCTGCTATTAGAAGTGCTGAACACTGATTTTCTGTGAGTATAAAGTAGTTAAAAGAAAAAAGAAATATATGTAAGGCTGTAGAGTTTCCATCTGTAGATATCAAGAAATGAGTATGAACTGTTAGGCATTCCCCAAGATTGTTGTTCAAAGATCCTCCCAAGTTTGAGACCTCAAATTCTTTCAGGTGATATTCATATCATTTACTCTTTTTTTTTTTAAACTTAGAAAGTGAGTTGCAGCAAATTTTCTCCTGAAAGAATTGCAAAGATGAACCGTGGCCTCTTTCTATATTCATAATTTTTGTCTTAGGGTTAAAAAGACTCCCCCAAGGACAGAAAATTGTACCTAATGATACAGCCTAGAGCGCATGTTGTTCCTTTTGTCTACAGTACCTTCTACCTCTGGCTCAAATGCACTCTGGTCACTGATGCACCTCCAGTTCTCACAGCTTAGTAAATTATGGTGTAGTGATCACGTCTATGTCCCTACTTCCCCAACCAAATTTTCTGAGCTATGCCAGGGTGAGGATGTGGCCCTTTTCATCTTGTAATTCCCAAAAGTCTGTGGTGGAGTGCAGAGATGACCACTAAATGAAAGAATCACTCGTACTGGTTGAAACAATACCAATAAATACCTTAGGTTCTGTGGTGAACACAGATCAGTAAATAAATGTTGGGCAATCTTCCAGTCTCTCAGTGTCCCACGGTATATCTGTTCCCCCATAGGGAGCACAGCTAGAGCTCCTTTACCTACGCTGCGGGGACACTGATTTGCATGGGGAGGCCTGGTGCAAGGCCTCTGCTGGGTATGAGCAGCAGTACAAGCCTTTGAAGGCTGTGTGCTGTTCAGAACTTGGAGCTGGTTGGGGGCCTCCGATGCCCTGTGCTGACAAGCTGGCCTGGGGCTTCTCCCCACTAGAGTCTTCTCTATATCTCAAGGTATGCACATCTCTTCCTGGGCACACAGGCAATGGGCTAGACAAGCATCTCTCTCCTCTAAGGCTTGTCACCAAGCATTCCTTCCTTCCAGGGGGTGGGGTTTGGAAATTCCCACTTAATATAGCCCACCTTCTGTCATTTGACATTTTCTAACACTGGAGTGGTGGTTCCCAATCTCTTCACCATCAAGGAGGCTTAATTTCTTCCCTCTCTATTTTAATACGGTTTTAACTACCAAACAGGATCCTCTAAGTGATCATTTGTTTTCTTATACTGTTCATCAGAGAGATGTTTAAGATCAACATGAAGATGACAAAGTTACATCATTTGCTATTCAATATTGGAAAATACATCTCACCCCATATTGAGATCCTAGTCTGGGCTAGCTGAGTTACGGGGGCTGCTAAAACTCTAGTAATAGCAACAGCTGTCTGCCTTCCATTCTCCTGCTATGGCACACACTTCTTTCCTTCAGAATCACACCCCCGAGATATATGATTCATAACCTTATGGCTAGAAAAAAGAGGACATGATCATTCTACAGGTCCCTTGCTCCCTTGAATTACCTCTCCTGGGCCCATTAAGAACAGGCACATGAAGAAAGAAACCCAGGGTTGTGCCACAATCGCACAAAAATCTGTCCACAGATAACACCTCAAGGAGGTAGGGCCTGCCCACCTGAATCACTGTTGTCTACATAATGCAACTTAACCATCCTGTTCTGCGTTTAGCTATTCAAGACTTTTGTAACCAGTCCCTGTGGTATGGGTTGTTTTCCCAATTGTACCCTGACTGAATCACTGGGTATCATGTCAGAGGAGGGGGACCTATTTAACCTCTTTTCCCTGGTGTCCTGGAGCCCAGGGGCTCCTACGTGGCAATGGGTGCCAGATACCCTTCCTCAGCTAGGATATAGGGGTCCAGATTTCCATAATATCTATAGATTGATTTACTTAAAACTTATTTGTTGTCAAAATACAAATACCCTGGGCTTAGGAAGAAATTAATACTTATCAAGACTATGTCAAATAAAAACAACTACCACTAACTGAAACCACTTAGTTATCAGATATATTATACATATCACTCCATGTAATCCTCCCAACAAAATGATGTCATCTAAGAGATGAGAAACTGGGACCCAGACCAGTGAAGCCCCATGGCATAAGTCACACAGGCAAGAAATGGTAAAGCAAAAATTCACACCTACGTCTTCCTGGGCTTTGCCATAACGCACACTGGCTTCTTCACTGTGGCTATTGCCTGACAGAATGAGACTCAAGTAATTACAAGGATTCATCAGAAGGGAAAAGCTGACATGACCAGAACTAGAACACAGCCCAGGGAATGCAAGTCTGGGTAGATCATGGTACTCGAAGCCCAAGGATCATTTGAAAGAGGTTTAAAAAAATAAAAAAAGGAGTAAAATGCACAAGTGAAATGGAGGTGAAACTTAACTATAGCTTAATTTTTACTTCAAAGACTGCTCAGCTCATTTTGGGAATGTGAGGGGAATTAAGAAGATTCTGGATAGGTTTGTAGGAGAGGCAAGGTGTGTAGGGTATATGTGGGGACAAAGGGAGCAATTGTATCCTAGACTGTATCCAATAATTTTCTGGGACAAAAGAGAGCAAATGTAGACGTGGGGAAGTAGTAGCTTGAGTGGTATCAGGTGCCAGAAAGAAGACCAAGGGAAAAACCTCTGATGACCATGGGGATAGTGTAAATTGAGTAGCAAGAGGAAGGAGGACTGCAGAAGTTCAAGAATGATGAGAACTGAGGAAACGAAGATAAACACAGAGATAAACACAGACAACTTCACTGCAGCGAAAGAGAAGATGGTGTTACACAGGTAAGCAGGATCAAGAAATGGCTTTTTTGTTGTTGCTGTTGTTTGTTTTTTTTTTTTTTTTTGATTCGGAGTCTCGCTCTGTAGCCAGGCTGGAGTGCAGTGGCGTGATCTCGGTTCACTGCAACCCCCGACTCCCTGGTTCAAGTCTCCTGCCTCAGCCTCCCGAGTAGCTGGGATTACATGCACGCGCCACCATGCCTGGCTAATTTTTGTATTTTTAGTAGAGATGGGGTTTTGCCACCTTGGCTAGGATGGTCTCGATCTCCTGACCTCGTGATCTGCCCGCCTCAGCCTCCCAAAGTGCTGGGATTACAGGCATGAGCTACCGCACCTGGCCTGGCTTTTTTTTTTTTTTTTTAATGGAGTGTAGCTCTATTGCTCAGGCTGGAGTACAGCGATGCGATCTCGGCTCACTGCAGTCTCTGCCTCCCAGGTTCAAGCAATTCTCCTGCCTCAGCCTCCTGAGTAGCTGGGACTACAGGCATACACCACCGCACCAGCTAATTTTTGTATATTTAGTAGAGATGGGGGTTTCGCCATGTTGGCCAGGATGGTATCGAACTCCTGACCTCAGGTGATCCACCCGCCTTGGCTTCCCAAAGTGCTGGGATTACAGACATAAGCCATCGTGCCAGGCCAAGAAATGGCTTTTAAAAATGCTGATTTGAAAGCAAAAGAGAAGGAAGTAGAGGAGAGATTTATGATTTTAAGAAAAAGGAGGAATATGAAGGATCAACTTTGCTCTTTTCACCAGCCAAAGGGCATATTCTAGAAAGATGGTTTTAAACCTTCTCTTCCTGCATTTGTAAGTGTGCAAAGATGCCATGCCTTTATTTCTCTAGAACTGGTTTTTCTTCCTCACAAGTCTCTCATCCATAACCTTAGTCCAGCCCAATGGACAAAACCATGAGGAACCTCAAACACCCTTCCAAAAAGATTTAGATTTTACTCAAGAGGTGAAGGAGAATCATTAAAGATGACTGAGTAGGGGAATACTATAGTCAGAGTTTTTTGTTAGAAATATCACTGAGGCCATACAGGGGAAAGACTGGGAGTGTGGCAAGAGAGTGAGACCAAATGCTCAGATAAAGGTAGGGAGGCAATTGTTATAGTCCAGAACTGAAATAGGACAGTGGAAGTGGAAATGGAGGGAGGGGACAACAAAGACATGTTTAGAGATATCAGAAATTGACCATTAAAATAGGCATACAGGAAGGGAAAATGTATCTCATTAATTAAGAAAGCAATGGCATACTGGATACCAACAGCAAATAGCAAAGAAATGGTTGTGTGGGTGTGTGTGTTTTTTTTTAAGGGAAAAAAATGAGGATAAAGGGAAGAGAAAGTGATGTTACTAACCCTCCATGTAATGATAATCTCCAAATAGCTCTTCCCAGCAGTTCCATACTTAAGGGTCAGGATCTCCATTCAGGGATCTTTCTGTGGTGCTCTAAAGGGGCAGACTGAGGACTTTAAGGGCTATCACTTTCAGGTGGCTTTCTAAGCAGCAGAATTCGTGGGATGAGGAGGACATGCTTGTTCTTTACAGATTCACTGAAGTGAATCTGGGGGCTGATCGATGATAACACTGTGTTGATCCCAGAGATGACAAAGGGGCTGAGTGTGAGATAATGGAGTTCCTGAAACCCCTACGATGAATATGTCCACCCTTCCTTTTCATCAGCTGCTAGTCCCTATCTCATCCTTCTCCTGTCCCAACCCCATTATTCCTAAATCTGAGCTCAGGCTTGCCAGCACCTCTAGGAGTAAATTACAAGACTGAGACCAGAGCAACAAGAAAAGCAGAGACAAATGACTCAACAAGACAGCCACAGGAGGCAGGGCAAGGTGGCTCACGCTTGTAATCCCAGCACTTTGGAAGGCCGAGGCAGGCAGATCACGAGGTCGAGATTGAGACCATCCTGGCCAACGTGGTGAAACCCTGTCTCTACTAAAAATACAAAAATTAGCTGGGCATGGTGGCATGTGCCTGTAGTCCCAGCTACTGGGAGGCTGAGGCAGAAGAATCACTTGAACCTATGATGCGGAGGTTGCAGTGAGCCGAGATCATGCCACTGCACTCCAGCCTGGCGATAGAGCAAGACAATGTCAAAAAAAAAAAAAAAAAAAAAAAAAAAAAGACAGCCAAAGGAAAGGGACTAGAAGAGAGAGGAATGCAAAAGAATAGAAAATCTGGGCCAGGTGTAGTGGCTCATGCCTGTAATCCTAGCACTTTGGAAGGCCGAGGCAGGCAGATTGCCTGAACTCAGGAGTTCGAGACCAGCCCAGGCAACATGGCAAAACCCCATACAAATACAAATACAAAACGTTAGCTGGGCATGTTGGTGCATGCCTATAGTCCTAGCTACTTGGGAGGCTGAGGCATTAGAATTACTTGAACGCGGGAGGCGGCAGAGATTGCAGTGAGCTGAGAATTCACCACTGCACCACTGCATTCGAGTCTGGGCAACAGAACAAGGCTCTGTCTCAAAAAAAAAAAAAAAAAAAAAAAAGAACAGAAAATCAAACTCTAACACCATCACCTGGGTAGTTCCCTCCATTCTCCTATGACTTCCAATAAGTCATTAGCAGATCACCTATCATCTCTTTAATTTCTTCAAAAACAAATAAAATCTCAAACTTGCATTTGGGAAACTGAGAAACTTTCAGGAAACACAGAAACACATCTTCAGGACCTTGGACAGCAGAAAAAGGACCATCCCGCACACACCCCGACCCCACCCCGGCCTCCCCACAACACATGACACCCACGCCAGCAAGACTGCTGAGGAAATGTGACACCTCAACATGCTGATGAGGGAAAGGATAAATAAAGGGCTATATAGTCATCAATGGAGAGTGTTCAGGGAAGGTATGAAGACTCAGGCTACAATAGTCAAGAGGAGCCCTGGGCCCTACAGAATGCCTAGTCCAACTTCCTAATACTCTGAGCCAGAGAAGGACATTCTCTACACCTACATTACAACTTCCCTCTTCAGACATTGATTTTTAAAAGAATATATAGAATAGAATATTGATATTGAGACTTTTTCCAATTCCTTGGGGAAAAATGCATAAAAATATAACTTGCAGTTCACGGATCTAGAAATAGCCTTACAAATGATAAAGAAAATTTCACAAAGGTAAAATATCTCATCAAGGTAGAGTAACACAAGAGCTGTTGACCCAGTATTAGTCCTTGGACATCCTGACTTCTGTGCAGTGTTTTTCTCTTTGTAGTTGGTAAGTGGCTAAAGATCTGGATTCTTCTTCTAGCTCTGCCATACACCAGATGTGTGACCTTTGGCAAATTACTCAATCATGCTGAGCCTTGGGTTCCTTCTTTGAACTGAGCCCCCACCCCCACCCCACACGTCAGGCACTATTAGGGAATGAAAAACAAAACCAATCTCCATGCTAAAGTAGCTCTCCAGTGTAGCACAGTTCAGATATGAAAATATCAATAATCCAACAATACTAGTTAAACATATAAAAGTAGTACAGAGAAAAACATTAATAACCTGACATTTAGAGCAAGATTAGGAGGGCTTCACAATATAAGCAAAGGGAAATCCAGGAAGAAGAAACAGTAAAAGCATCAAGCGGTGCAACAAGACATTAGATTTAGGAAACCATCAATAATTTAGTTTTGATGGATGGCAATGGTGGTGGGGAGAGACATGGGGTAATGAAACCTATCATATACTGATGTTGTGGAAGTCCAATGAGTCACTATAGATAATCATTAGCTACTATTATGCCAACAGCTATCCCTATGAGAAAAAAATTCCTTAATTTAACATTTATAGAAAACCTCTGTTTGCTCCCTATACTAGGGGCAGCTCCTTTTGGTCCCTTCCTAAAGAAATAGAGCCAGTTTGAGAAACAGGAAAATCAAGTTCCATACTTTCCTAGCCTATGAAATACCAGTCAAGAGGTAAAAGTGCTTCCTCTGTCAATATCCTGATTCTTCCACTGAAATGTCACTTAGCAGAGCACATCTTTTACTTGTGCGATTTGAAAACAAGGCTTTGCCTAAAGACCAGGGTATGCAAGGGATCACCTCTGGGACGATCTCATGGCACTGAGCACTCAAGCAAGGTGGTAACATAAGAGTCAGACTTGATAAAAGTCCATTTCCCAGGACCACTTGACAATAAGGGCACAGAAAAGTGCTCTGAGGAATAATCTTCATGCTATTACCATTTTCAACCTCTTGTACTTAATACTAATTTTCTTAGCTTCCTATAATTAGATATGTACATATGAGCTAGTAGCAGCCACAGTCCTACAATCTGACTAGTTCATGCCCAACTGCATGCCTGCATCAGGGACATCTGGCTATTGTAGTGTCATGGAAACTCTCCTCTCTGGTGAAGAGTATCTAGAGACACCCATGAGTTTTATTATCTATACCCTGTACTGGTTTGAACAGTGTCCCCCAAACTCATGTCCACCCAGAACCTCAGAATGTAATCTTATTTGGAAATAGGGTCTTTGAAAATATAATCAAGTTAAGATGAGGTCATACTGAATTAAGGGTGGACCCTTAATTCAATGACTAGTTTCCTTGTAAGAGGGACACTTGGATGCAAAGAGACCCACCCATAGAGAATGTGATGTGATGATGGAGGGAGAGATTGTAGTGACAAGCCTACAAGCCAAAGAATGCCAAAGATTGCCGGCAAATGCCAAAAGCTAGGAGAGAGGCATGAAATAGATGCTCCCTTAGACCCTCCAGGAGGAACCAACCTGGCTGACACTTGGATTTCAGACTTCTGGCCTCCAGAATTTTGACCAAATCAATTTCTGTTGTTTTAAACCACCCAGTTTTTGGTAGCTTGTTAAAGCAGCCCTAGGAAATAAATGCATACCACCACCACTCCATCTATTTTCCTTCTATGTGCCCAACATTTATCTTCTCAGAGGATGATTATAAACCCTAGTTATTGTATCAACACACGGGAAGGGACACTGAGCAGAACAGCAGGAGAATGAACAATTAGTATCAGATTAGCAACTTCACAGGTAAGGTAAAGGGCATGGGAATTTACTTCTCAAGGCTCTATAATATGAGACTCTTTAAAAACCCTGTGGTGTTTTTATATACATCTACAAGTTCTGTGATATGCTTCCTTTGAAAAAGGCAGAGCCTAATTCCCCTCCCTTTGAGTGTGGTCAGTGCTCGATGACTTGCTTTTAACAAACAGAAGTGACAGATGTGACTTCTGAAATTAGGCCATTAAAAACAATGTAGCTTTCTCCCTGCTCTCGCTCTCAAATCACTTGCTCTGGGGGATGCTAGCAGCCATGCCATGAAGACACTCTAAAAGGAGACTTATGTGACAGGAAACACACCTTCTGCCTCAGGCACACCCAGCACACCCTGCCAGGCACATGAGTGAGCTACCTTGGAAGAGGATCCTCCAGCCCTGCTCACACTTTCAGAACTGCAGCCCCAGCTGATATCGACTGGAACCACATTAGACTCTGAGCCAGAGCCACTCAGCTATGCCATTTCCAGATTCCTAACCACGCAAACTGTGAGACAATACAAGTTTATTGTTTTCAACCATTAATCTTTGGAGAAAAACAGGGCAATAGATAATTAACATAAGAACCTTTAACATAGTCTTCAAGTCCTAGTAAGTACTCTTCCTGCCTACAAGACACCCGCTATGTGATTTCTTCCTGCCTCTAACATACCTCTGAAACAAGTGCAATTCCAAATCCCTTAACCCAAGCTAGAGCATAGAATTCACAGGACCGCTGCCTTTGTCCTCCTCCAGCTCAGAGACTGATGTCTATATCATGAATGCGCTAAGAAAGGGAGAATCACGAGTGGAATCCAGTATCAGTAGCTGGGAGCAAAAGACACTTGCGGTAAGGGTCCTCGGGTTTTTCACTGCAAGACTTTTACCTGTCAAAAAAATTAAAATGGAAAAGAAAATTTAATCATTTGAAACAAACATTCATTGAGTACCTTCAATGGCAAGCATAGTACCAGACAGCAGGCATAAAAATGGTCCCTGCTTAGAAATTCACAGGAATGACAAATAGGTTTTGTAACAGAAGCTACTGCTGTACCATTTATATTCCCTTAGACCAAGATCTGGCTACAGAATTTGTGAATCCCTGTGCAAAACAAAAACGTGGGGTCCCTTGTTCAAGAATTTCAAGAGGACAGCAGCAGACCAGTAAACCAACTCCATAGGTATATGTCCATGAAGCTAGCCCTGCCTCAGGCATTCACCTCTGTGTGAAGGCTACTAACTGCTCTTTCAGTAAGCTTTTTTCTGGCTGATTTGGATGCTTAATTTGCACCAAGGGAAAGCTTAATATCCCTGAAAGCAGCACTCAACCAACGGCAAAATGGCAGTTGGTAGATAAATGCTCCAGCTTCTTCCCCCCTTGGGTGGTATAACTGAGAACTATTCTAGTGTTGAGTTTTCCAGTGGGATTGAGATGCAAGTGTCCACAGTGTAATTGGGAGATTCCTTAAGATTACCTCTAAAATAAACTACTTATACTCACATTCTTATCTCACAGTCTGCTTCTTGGTAAACCCAAACCATGACATCTTTCATCTTTCAAGCCAACTCTAACTTGGAATACAGTAAAATGAAAAAAATCTAAAGCTGCATCTCATTCAACAGGAATGAATGTAATATAGTAACGCTGGCCCTCACCATGGCAAGGAAAGTGGTGGCTCTTTAAATCTGAATGGTGAAAGACCTTGTGTTTGGACTTTGAGACAAAAAGCTGTTAATGAAGGCTGTTAAGCAGCAGTTACAGGGTCTTATTTTAGAGCTACTTCTTTCCGTAATGTACAAGTGGATCAAAGTGTGGCAAGGCTGAAGGTAGGAAAACCAATTAGGAAATGAGAAACTCGCAACTGGTAAATAGGACAGGATATCTACCTGGATGACTACCCACATCATTGACCAAAATGGAGAAAGCACACTAAGTTGTCAAGAATAAATCAATCTGTGTCACATAAGTGGCCACAAGTACTGGGATCACCTACCCATTGAGCCCCTGAATTTAACTAGCAAGGAGTGGGAAATGAAGAAGGCCAAGGGGCCGATGATGAGCACTGGGAACTGATGGCTCTTTTTGATACTAAGACCAAATTAGGAACACGAAGCACTAACAATGCTGCCGCATCCACCACTGATTTTCACCACGGAGTGCTTAGCAAAATCAAAACAAGAACTTGTATCCTAAAGATGATATCACATGGGCCTACTGAACACTAATCTTACGACTTTTTAGGAATTTAGAGATGATCACTCCATGAGACACTGAAATGGTGTCTAGCTTGGCAAGGTAGAAGTCTGTTTCTCTGACATGTGATGGCCTTGTTGTAGGTAGTCTTGGACTAAAATGCTGTCAGCAACATAGACTTCCTCAGTGTTCCTGCTCTGGAACTCCCAAGGCAGTGGTTCCCAAAGTCTGCTGCACACTGGAATCACTTGATTTTTTTAAACAATGATGTCTGGCTTCCACCCTGAGACATTCTCATTTGATTGGTACACATGGTGTGACCTGGGAACCGGGATTTTTAAAAGTTCCCCAGCTAATTCTAATGTGCAGCAAAGTTTGGAGGTGACTACCCTAAGGAACTGGGCCCACCACAGGGTCTGACAGGGCTTACCGCCATACCTGTACTGCACTCCAAACAGTGGGACAAAGCAAGGGGCATGAACCAGAAGCTGCACACACCATCTCTGCTCACCCTTACTGGCCAGTCACATGGCCATACCTGGTTGCATAAGATGCTGAAAAATGTAACTTGTATTCAGCCAGCCATGTGCCCAGCTAAAATTTTTTATTCAGGAAGAAGAGGAAGACAGGTACTGGAAGATAACCAGCAATCTCTCCCACCCCCACGCTTGTCTTTTTCAAACAGAAGCAGCCCAATCTGGCAAAAGTACCGATCCTTAGATCTGGAGACAAAACTCAACAACGGGCTTCTCTGACTTTTGTCAGACATCTTGCACATCACATGTAGATAGAGCCAGAGACTGTAACGCATCATTGTCAGCGGGAAGAAGATACAAGCTTGGAGATATGCATCAGAATGACTACCCATGCAAATTCTTGAATTTTCACCTGAGGGAGGTGTTGGAGGAATAAATTGTTCTACGGGACAAAATCAGGTGCAATATCAAAATTCCATGTACCCACTCTAGTTGACTGAATACAGTGAAGCATTTCCAGTACAACAATATAGGAAAACTTCAAATAAAGGGGTATTCTCTAAATTCCACTAAATACATCATCTTTGGCCTGAAACTATCTTGTTAAGCTACTTGTTGAGACTCTTCACTCTAGATATGCTTGGTGCTGCCTTTGCATTCAAGTCCTGTTTTCCAGACGAAATACAGACATAATCCAATTGTAATTTCATCACCATGCATCTTGGATGCTGCAGTTAGCCTAAATGAAATAAAATATACTAATCATGAGTGACAGTGATTTTTTTAATCGTAAAACGTATTATCAAGCTATTTATAAGTAAATTTCACATTACAAATAAGGCATTAACTAAACCACTGCTTTACAGAAAATCACTTAATGACACTCTAGTATTATATACTGTTTACAGATTAAAAACTTAAGTTTAAAAAGGTAATTTGTTTGAAGTCACATAGCTAGTAAACTACTAGTTATAACTTAATTAAGAGTACATTGAATTAAGTTATAACTAGTAAAGGACTAAACTTCTAGACTTGAACTTCTGATGGTCTGACTTCAAAAATATCTTATTTTTAAAATCATAGCACGGAGCACCTTGTATATCATGATATAGCTATATTACTTTGCAGGGTTTTTATGTCTAAGTTATTTTCTCCTCCTGTTCCACTTCCACCCTCCCATTCACTCTCTTCTCTCCTAGTAGACAAAGTCCTTACCTGTCTGCCAGTCCCCAACCCCATGCATGCAATTACCTCATGGAAGGACGGAAGGGGGGCAGGGAAGAGGGGACCTCCTAGCCCACCACCTTCCAACACACCTCTGCAGAGCCCAGGCCCTTTCAGGCACCCCAGTCACAGCCACACCAAGCTTCTAGCTACTGCTCAGCACACACTTACCACCTGGTTTCCCTGTGCTTCTCATTTGTAATTTTGGATTTTAGTCTAGTTCAGACATTCCTTCAATTCACATTAAGCATCCATTTCCTCTCTGATATTCTTGTCTCTGGTCCCTTTTTTGTCTTATCCATTTGGACATCTATTCCTAAGCAAAACATTCTAAATTCTATTTTCATTATCTTACTCCTTAGCCCAGATCACCAGAAGCTCCCTACTATCAACACAAATTGGAAAATCTCTGGTGTGATTATGAGGAGACCATTCAGTATTTTCTTTGACACTATTAAACAACATTGAGTTTGCCTAATGTCAGTACTAAAGGCCAGGTTGTAAAATAGTAAAACCTGCAGTGGTCTCTAAGGCAACTAGCTGTTTATTATAGTAGTTGGGGAAAGGAAGATATAAAAAATCTTCTAAGGAACTTTATTATAGATCTGTTTACTTAGGTAAAGCATATACAGGAAGATGCGGGAATCATAATAAATGCTTATGAAGCAAAACTAAATGCACCTGTACTGCTACATCCAGATTCACATACAAACGACAAAGAGCTTATATCCAGACTGCATGTGTCTGTTTTTGCACTGCTATAAAGAAATACCTGAGACTGGGTAGTTCAGTTTATAAAGAAAAGAGGTTTAATTGGCTCACGGTTCTGCAGCCCGTACAGGAAGCACAGTGGCTTCTGCTTCTGAGGAGGCCTCAGGAAATTTACAATCATGGCCGAAGGTGAACAGAAAGCAGGCACATCTTAAATGACAGGAGTAGGAGCAAGAGAGAGAGTGGGGAGGTGCTATACATTTAAACAACCAGATCTCACAAGAACTCACTACCATAAGAACAGCATCCAGGGGGAAATCCACCCCCAGGACTCAATCACCTCCCACCAGGCCCCACTTCCAACATTGGGGATTTTCATTCGACATGAGATTTGGGAAGGGACACAAATCCATATCACAGACTGTATAAAGAACCCCTCCAGTCCAGGCGTAGTGGCTCATGCCTGTAATCCCAGGGCTCTGGGAGGCCAAGGTGGGAAGAGTGCTTGAGGCCAGGAGTTTGAGACCGGCCTGGGCAACACAGTAAGACTCTGTCTCTACAACAGAAAAAAAAAAAAAAAAAAAAGGAATTCCTCCAGGTACGGGGGATGCTGAATATAGAGTCAAGGGTGATTATTCCCCAGCTTTGAGATTTAATGTCTGCCCTCTTAGGCTTTGGACTTGCTTGGGGCTTATTAACCCTTTCTTTTGGCCTACTTTTCCCTTTTCAAATGGGAATGTCTATCCTATGCCCGTCCTGCCGTTGTACCTTAGAAGTAGATAACTTGTTTTGATTTCACAGATGGAATTTTGGACTTCTGAGTTGATGCTGAAACAAGTTAGGACCTTGGGGATATGGGGATTAAGTATAGTTGTATGTGAGAAGAACATGGGTTTGGGGGACCACAGGCAGAATGCAATGGTTTGAATGTTTGTCCCCTCCAAAACTCATGTTGAAACTTAACCTTCAATGTGGCAGTATTGACAGGTGGGGCCTTTAAGAGATGTTCATGGATTAATGGGTTATCATGGGAGTTAGACTAGTGGCTTTATAAGAGGAAAAGAGGCTTCAGCTAGCATGCTCTGCTCCTTTGCCATGTGATGCCCCATACCACCTCAGGATTCTGCAGAGTTCCCATGAGTAAGGAGGCTCTGACCAGATGCATCCCCTTGACCTTGGACTTCCCAGCCTCTGGAACTGTCAGAAATGAATGTTATTTTTTTTCTAAAAAATAAACAAAAAACTCCTTCATAAGAAAAAGATTGATGACTCAATGGAAAAATGTGAGCAGAACAGATGTTTCAGAATAGAGAATACCAAATGGCCTATAAACATAGGACAATATATACTATCTGATTTGTAATCATGGAAAATACTCAGTAAAAATGGCCAAAATTCAAAAGTCTGAAAATACCAAGTACTGAGAGAATGTGAAGCAATAGGGACTCTGCACTGCTTGGTGGAGCTGCTGTGAGCTGATACTAGGGAGAATGAATGGATCTGGGAACAGAGATTAACATGTAAATAGTTCTCTTTGACACTGAAAGGGTCTGTTCAGGTGCGAGTACACTCTGGGTCTAACAAGGGAGGGCAAGAAAAAACAACAGTTCTCTTTGGTGGGTGTAGATCTTAGGCAGATAAAGAAACTTCAACTTATTTGAGAGAGGAGGTAGGGGATGGGGAGGTCACAGAGAACTCTGGGTTTCTTCAGTTTACTATGCCACAGCACCATATTTTCGGGTATGAGTTCTGAGCCCCACAATGGCCATAAGCACTTAACCACAGACCTAGTGACGTATGTATAAAATATACACTAGATTCCAAAGACTTAGTATACAAAAGAACATAAAATATCTTATTTGTAATTGTTTAAAACTGATTACATGTTAAAATGATAATATTTTAAATATAATGGGTTAGGTTGGTAAAATAAAATATATTATTAAAGTTAATTTTAACTGTTTCTCTTTACCTTTTTTAATGCAGCTATAATTAGAAAACCACAAATCATATAAGCGGCTTGCATTATATTTCCTTTTTTGAGACAGAGTCTTGATGTCACCCAGTTTGGAGTACAGTCGCGCGATCTGGGCTTACTGCAACCTCTGCCTCCCGGGTTCAAGCGATTCTCCTGCCTCAGCCTCCCAAGTAGCTGGAATGAATTACAGGCATGAGCCACCAGGCCTGGCTAATTTTTTTGTATTTTTAGTAGAGATGAGGTTTTGCCATGTTGGCTAGGCTGGTCTCAAACCCCTGACCTCAAGTGATTAACCTGCCTTGGCCTCCCAAAGTACTGGCATTACAGACGTGAGCCACCGCACCTGGCTCGCTTCCATTATATTTCTATTGGACAGCACTGCTCTGGAGAAAAATTAAGATTCTCCTTTTACAGGATATTTTTAAAAAATATTTAAATGTAAGGAATAAAAAATATTGTAAGAAACCGAAGAAAGCAAATTAGAATCTGGAGGTCAGGATGGATTTCTTAATGAGGACAGGTAGGGGTGTGTGTGTGTGTGTGCGTTTGCATGCATGGACACACGGATAGGGCAAGCACACATACATGTGTGCATATGTATGAGACTGATAAACAATCCAATAGGAAAAATGGGCAAAGGATAGAATTGAAAATGCACAGAAAATCTGAATGGCAAACAGTAACATAATCAAAATTACTAAAGGAAGAGAAAATTAAAAGTAACTAAGACTTCTCTTTATTGGCTGGGAAAAAAATAAAAACATAAATAATATGTATCTTTGCTGGGCAAGTGGGAAGGGAGCAGGATCATACATTGTTGTAAGGAAATGTAAAGGTTAACAGCCTACTGAGAAAGCAATATGGCAACATCCATCAAATTAGAAACATGCCATATCCTTCGACCCAGAAACCTTTCTCACAAAAATCTACCAGCACATGACATGTGTTCAGAAAGTTATTATTGTAATACTGTGTAGCAGAAAAAAAGAGGAAACTAAGTATCAATAGGAAATGAAGTAAATGCCTATCTACTGACAAAAGGTTAAAAACATTACCTGCAAAACAAGACCTGTTATGGAATTATTAAGGATTATAAATAAAAATATCAGCAAATTTTTAAAAATATGAAAATATCAGGAATGGCACCACTGTAGGAAAACAGACTACAGTAGTTCCCTCTTATTCTTGGGAGATATGTTCCAAGATCCCCGGTGGATGTCTGAAACCACTGATAGTACTGAACCCGATTGCTGTTAATAGGAAGTTTTTTTTGGTGATGTTTCCCACCCACAATTTTAATGACTTTTCTATCTTAACCAAGTGCTTAACATGCACTGTGGCTGCAACTTTTCCATTTTGAAGTGTGACAGTAAAACTAGCAAAAATTTCTTTTTCCTCCTTTATAATTTCAGGGATAGAAGATTTGTTCTGACCATGGATCTTAGCAAACTCAGCATTTAAAAAATTTCCTTAAGTCAAGAACTTTTACCTTTTCACTTAAAAGAAGCACTTTATGGCTTCTCTTTTGTATATCCAAGTTGCCATCATTAGTACTCCTGCACTTTGGGGCCACTGTCATGTAAAATAAGGGTTCCATGAATATAAGCACTGTGATACTTAGGCAGTAAAATTGATAAGAAGGCTATTAAGTGACTAATAGGCAGGCTGCATATACACTGTGGATACTGGGCAAAGGGATGATGCAAATCCTGGGGAGGGATGGAGTGGTATGGCATGAGATTTCATCATGTTCATCAGAATGGTGCAGCGCCCAATTTAAAACAGGAATTGTTTAGGTGCCAATTTAAAACTTAGGAATTATTTCTGATATTTTCCACTTAAAATATTCAGACTGTGGTTGCCAAGAGTAATGAAACCTTGAGAAATGAAACCGAGGATAAGGGGAGGACTACTGTATTTCATGATATGCTGGTGTGGATAAAAATAGGTGCAACCTTACTGAAGTTGACCATGAGGTTGATCACCTGTTGACCACTGAATAGGCCCCACAGACAAAAGCTCCTGATCTGAGGAATTTCGAAGGGAACAAAGACCACCTGGTGACCACCAAACGGGCCAGACAGAGGCGAAACTCCTTTTCTGGGAATTCAGAAGTAATTAAACTTTCCTAGTATCTAAAGTCTGGTTCCAGGCCTCTTTCAACTTTTACAAGTAACTAAAATTTATATACATCTCTGAAATGCCATGCCGAAACTCTTTTTACTATCCTAAGCTCCTGCCTTAAGGTCCATAAATACCTCTAAAGAAAAATCCATGGCAGCACACTTAGTCCTCTTGCTGAGGCGCCCCACTGCACTCTTCTGCAGTGTTCTGTTACCGCCTAAGGGGTTCACCTTGCCCATGCCTAGACAGAGTCAATTCATCGAGACAGGGGAATTGTGATAGAGAAAGAGTACTTCACGCAGAACCAGCTGTGTGGGAGATCAGTCTCCCCGAGCACGGGGGAGCAGAGTTTTAAAAGATAACTTCGTGGGTGGGGGGAAGCCAGTGAGCCAGAAGTGCTGATTGGTCAGGGATGAAACTGTAGGGAATCAAAACCGTCTTCCTGCACTGAGTCAGTTCCTGGGTGGGGGCCACATAATCAGATGAGCCACTTTGGGCAGCCAAAGTGAGTGGATCACCGGAGGTCGGGAATTGGAAACCAGCCTGGCCAACATTGTGAAACCCTGTCTCTACTAAAAAACAAAAAAAAAAAAACAAACAGAAAAAGCCAGGCGTGATGGCAGGTGCCTGTAATCCCAGCTACTCGAGAGGCTGAGACAGGAGAATCACTTGAATCCGGGAGGCGGAGGTTGCAGTGAGCCGAGATCGTGCCATTTGCACTCCAGCCTGGGCGACAAGAGCAAGACTCCGTCTCCAAAAAAAAAAAAAAAAAAAAAAAAGAGCCAGTTTATTGATGTGGGTAGTGCCAGCTGACCCATCAAGTACGGGGTCTGCAAAATACCTCAAGCACTGATCACAGGAGCAGTTTAGGGAGGGTCAGAATCTTGCAGCCTCCAGCTGCATGACTACTAAACCAAAAATTCTAATCCTGTGGCTAATGTTAGTCTAGTCCTCAGACAAGAAGGAAGTCTGCTTTGGGAAAGGGCTGTTACCCTCTTTGTTTATAAACTAAGTTTCTCCCAAAGTTAGTTCAGCCTACGCCCAGGAATGAACAAGAACAGCTTGGAGCTTAGAAGCAAGATGGAGTCGGTTACGTTAGATTTCTTTCACTGTCTCAGTCATCATTTTGCAAAGGCTGTTTCAGTTCTTCCTTTCTAATAAACTTTCCTTTTTTCAAACCTATACTGTTTGTAGGTATGGTAAATTCATTTTACCAACCTGCGAGTTGACCACTTCCCGGTGCCAGGGCTCTGACACCTTGCCAGGCACTTACGGAAAGATAATTGTAAAAATCTAATAGAATTTTAAATTTCCATGCCTTCGAACCCAGCAGCCAAACTTCCAGAAATTTATCCTACTAATATAATGGCACGACGATCTAAAGAGATATGTACAAGGATGTTCTCGACAGCCTTTATTTAATAAGATGTGGAAAGAACCTTAAATGTCTACTCAAAATTGTTGAATAAATCACATGTCTACAAAATGAATAATGCAGACTTTAAAAAGAGTGAGGTAGCTCTATGTCACCAAACTGGAACAATAAAAGCCACTATAAAGTATAAAAAGCAAGCTGAAGACTGTCTCTATGTTTGAAATTTTTCATAATAAAAAATGAAAAAAATGGAGGGGGATTAGATATATTGCCTTTTCATGAGTAAGAATCTCACAAGTCTTGGACAATTAAACCCCGCCTTCATCCCTCCCATCTCATCATATCTGACCTCAACCAGTTTCCTACCTACACTGCTTATATGCCCATTTGCTCTATATGACTCAGTCATTTCAAGATTGCTTCTGTTTTCCCTTATTGATATAAAAATATTAAAAATGTATATTTAAAATTTGTTTAATTACATCCCATTATTACAGTTCATTTTTGCATATTCCTGTGTTGAAAATCCTTTGGTATAAATCAACATCAAAACTCGGTGTTATTCCACTTTTCTTGAACTGTAATCCTTTTTAAACAAGGAATATACCTTTTCTTGTTTAGAGAATATACGTACATTCATAAATCTTGGCAACTTTCAAAGGCCATAACAAATTTGTGTTAAGAATTCAGATCCCCTTTATTATTGTGGTAAACAGACAGATGAAATTAAGAGATTATAGCTTGTTTTCACTCTCTCCCAATTACTATCGCTTGAAAAATACCGGATATTTCATTATTATCCTGTCCGGAGTCGGCAAACTACGGTCTACTATCTGTCTTCGTATACGTCAAAAGCTAAGAATGGTTTTTACATTTTTAAATGACTGGGGAGGGAGGGCCAGAATCCAAGGGGAGTATTTAATGACACTTGAAAATGTTATTAAATTCAAATTTTAGCATCCATAATAAAGTTTCATTGGAACACAGCCATGCTCATTTAGCTTTTGTTTGTTTTTGGAGACAGAGTCTCGCTCTGTCGCCCAGGCTGGAGTGCAGTGGCGAGATCTCGGCTCACTGCAACCTCTGCCTCCTGCTTTCAAGCCATTCTCCTGCCTCCGCCTTCCAGGTAGCTGGGATTACAGGTGCGCGCCACACGCGCCACACGCCCGGCTAATTTTTGTCTCTACTAAAAAGTAGAGACAGGGTTTCGCTATGTTGGCCAGGCTGGTCTCAAACTCCTGACCTCAGGTGATCCACCCGCCTCGGCCTCCCAAAGTGATAGGATTACAGGCGTGAGCCACCGCGCCCAGCCTTCATTTAGTACTGTCTAATGATGTTTTCATACTGCAAGGAGAAAGCTGAGTATGGACCACAAGGCCAAAAAGATGTCCTCTCTGGCTCTCTACAGCAAAGATTTGCCAAGCCCTGTTATATGTCATACTACTTGCGCTTCATAATTTTATAGTTTTACCTAGACAGTCTCCCTTTTTTCCTTCCATATTCAGCATAAAATCCCCTTAATATCAGTCTCTAGGCAAGCACATTCTTCACAGTCCTTAGAACTGGACCTCCTCTTGTTAATTTCCTTAGTCTAATCACATTCCTCCTGGTTATCTACAAACAGAAAGCCAGAAAGGAGGGCTATCAACATCTTAAGCGCCACAAATTAACAAATCAAAACCAAATCTCTCTCTCCCTCCGAAGCCACGGCTAAGGAGGCTCACTGCCCAGTTAGTGGCTTTCAAACTACCCTTACAAGTGAGACATCTTGTGAATTAGAACAAGTGCTGCTGCTAAAATCCCTAACGGCTACATAGCAATGTGAAAAAAGGTATCAAATGTAATTTTCTCAAATTTAATCTTCTTCAATTCTTGGCACAAAAAAAGGAACAGTAAAGGTAGACAACTGTAATTAGCATGTGTGATCCCAAATCTTTATACCTTAGATACTGGATTATATTTTCAGCAAGTAAATAGTTTCTGGCTCCCAAGATGAGAGGTTAAATAATGCAGGGTGTTTGTAAACAGCAGTACAATTTACACCGGAAATTAGGGCCCTTTCTCACCGAGGAGAGTACAGCAAAATCTGCTCATCTCTTTCAATGAATATTCTCCATGACTAGTGCTGGCGGCGGGGAGGCGGAGCAAGCTATCTTTTCTACCAGCCGTGTCACACCCCTCCTAGCACTAACCCCTCCTCCTCAGCCTTTTCACACCTCTACCCACTACTAGCCCCTCCCCAGCCCCATCACCTCTTCCCGGGCCCCTCACACCTCTCCCAGCATACTCTTCCCCAGCCTCATCACCTCACCCACTTCCTCCAAAATCACTGACCTGCTAAGCTTCCAGCAGCAGGCGGGCAAAGCAGGGAGGCTGTAATGCAAAAGTCCGCAGTCCCTACACAAACACTATCTGCTCCTGCGGAGAAACTCAAGTCACAGCCCCAGAAGTGGAAAGAACAGGCCTTGGCTCTCACCCAGTTAACAAGCGTTTATCCAGCGCACGTGTTGCGGTCGGACCCCATGCGAAGGAGCTAAGGACACAAAGGTGAGCAGCAGAGACGCGGTTCCAGCTCTCCCCCGGCTCCCACTCCAGCGGGATAGGTAGATAATTTCGGTAAATTTCGCCAAGCAGGGGCAGGACAAAGAGTATTTGAAGTCTACCGCGGGGAGAACTTACCTAATCCTTGAATGTTAAAAGGCTAAAAACTCCACTAGTCGGAAGTGACGTGCCAGCTTAGCCCCGCAGGTCCGCCACGTAATTGGCCGCCGCCACAGCTAGCCACCCTCTCCCCAGACTGGCCCGAAGAGAGGAAAAGTGTGGAAGTCCACAAGCCGCCCCCGCCCCGCCCTCTTCGTCGACTTTCAGCTGCACCGGGAGGCGGCGGCGCCTGGCCAGAGCCGGGGCCTGGAGCCTGGACTAGACAGCCTCGCCGGCCGGGGCGCCAGTCCAGCGCCCTGCGGGCAATGGGCTTCAGCGCTCGAGCACGCGCATGCGCGGGCCTGTATCTCCAGAGGATTCCTCGGGTCACCTGGACGCCAGCATCTCAGCCACCTGCCCCTCTGGGTCCCTTCTTGCCCTTGATTCCCCCTGCTGCTTCTCATCGCCAGCCCTCCTCCTCCTTCTTCCGCAGGCACCACTAGACCCGGCCGCGGCCGCCCGCCGACACCCCAGCTTCCACTGACACGAGCCTCGGCGCGGCTTCCGCTTCCGGCGAGTATTGTGTGTCGCGCCGCGGGGCGGGGGCGAGGGGAGGAGGAAGGAGGGAGGCAGCGCTCCGGCGGCTCCGCGCCCCGCACTCCCGGACCCGAAGCCGGGAAGGTAGGTGCTGTCCCGCCGCCGCGCCCGAGCCTGGGGCCTGCGCTCGCCGGCCGGCTCCGCAAGCCGCGTCCCAGCGCCCCGCGACTGCGTCACCGGCCCCCCGCACGTAACCACAGCTGCCTCCGCCCGCCTCGGGCCCGGGCGGACGTTTTGCCGCCCCGGCGACGTCAGCGCGTCCGGCGTTGCTTGGCTACCCCGCCGTTCCCCCGTCCCGCTGCTGCTCACCTCCCCGGGTGAAACTCTGACGCAGTCACCGCGGGTCTCGGCAGCGTCATAGCGGCGGGCATCCCATCTGCACGTCACACCTCTTTCTCACCTGGACACGCATCCCTTCCTACCCTGCCAGCCACGACGTTTCCTCTTTCCCCTCTCCAATGCCCCAGCCCCAGATCTGGCGGAAGAAGATGGAGAACGGGGGTGGGACAGAGTTGTGGACAACCTCTCAGGAGAGGGTCGCAAGGTGGGACCCTGAACAGTGGTAGAAACAAAATGAGATTGTCCCTGAAGTTTGCCCTTCAGCTGAGACACAAGGAGTAGAGGAAGAGGAAGGACTAACGCAGAGGCACTCAAGGTCTCACTATGACTGTAGTTGAGAGTCCTCTCCCTTCTTCCCTAACCCTTTCCCCATTTCTCTCACCACTTCTTTGCCAGTCTAGATCCGTCCTGGTGCCTTACTGTGCATACAGTTCTACTCGTCTCAGGTGAGGAGGCCACTTAATTTGTAAAAGACTGAGGAAGGGGTAGGATCACCACAAGTCAAAGTTGGATTCCCACAGATAGAAATCATCTGACTGAACTTCTCTCCTATTGCTGACAGAAGAAATTCAAATCCAAAGAAGTTATCAGTTCCTACTCCAAATCAAACACATTTGTGTGTGCCAACAATATATACAGGAACAATTGTTGTTAACCTACCTCATTACATGGCCACTTATCTCTCAGCACATAGATCTACCAAATTTCCTTCCTTCCAGTAGGTCCCTGGAGAAGGATGGGGGTCGGGAGGAGAAAAGGTTATGGGGATAGTTAAATCAACTTACCCATGGCTAAAAGTATGGATGTTTTAAGGATGGAGTAGGGGGCCAGCCTTGTGTTTTATAAATCTCTCCTATGCATTTCCAATTCTTCTGAGGCTGCGCTTGAGGGAGATCTCATTGCCTCTTTTGTGTCTCTTAATTCGCAACCACTCCAGGACCTATAAGTTGGAGACACACTATGCCCAGGGTGTTAGTTATCAATAGCTATATTGAAAGATTCCAGTCACTACAAATAGACTCGTTGCTCTCTTTTCAAGAAGTTGTTGGCCTGAGCTCAGCAATATTTAATATGGTTGCCATAATTTATCAGTTTTCAGCAGTTCTGAGTGTCCAGATGAACACAAGAGAAATGGAATGTTGCGTGAAATGTCATTCCAAGAAGAGAGCAGATTTCCTTTAGGCTAGTCTGATGGATAAAAGGAAGAATAATTTCAGATTTTCCTGAAAAGAGGAGGTTGCCTTTGCCTCATTCATTCCATTTGTTAGCCTTTAGAGCAGTGGTATCTAACCCTTTCAATATGAGGACTCTCTTTGCTTATCTGTGGTGGCTGATAAAAATTATGCATGGACCTTCTGTGGTGGTGATAGAACAAAAGTTATGCATGGACTTTTTTTTTTTTAAGCTTATCAGCTGTCATTAGTGTCAATGTATTTTATGTCTGGCCCAAGACACTTCTTCCAGTGGGCCCAGGGAAGCCAAAAGGTTGGATATTGTGATTTAGAAGAATGAGAGAACAGTGTCAGAGAATCAAGCTTAGACTCCAGTGGATTAATCATAAAGCTCTTATAACATTAAACTTTAAAATATGGTTAATTTAAGAAATGTTAATATTTTTATGACATTTTTTACTTCTCAGATTCCTTTCTTGTCTGTTAGAAACGTATGTCAAACGAGGATACAGTGTCTGGAACTATTGGTTCTAAGATATAAGTGGAATGAGCCTGGATCAGGAGAAGTATGCTGAGCTAGAGTTGAAGGAAGCTTCTCTTTCTAACAAGAGAAAGCAGAGGTAAGAGACAAGATAGATCAATTGGGGGTTGTGTGTCAGTTTACTAACAAGAAAAAAAAGGTTGATGGCTGGGAGTCACAAGTTTTGAAAATGGAGAAACAAAGAGGTTGAATTGATTGGAAGAGAAGATGGAGAATAACAAGAAGGGGCAAATCTGGAGTTAGGACTTAACATAGGGATAAATGTCGGGTCAGGGATGCAAAAAAAAAAAAAAGAAAAAACCTCCAATTAATATTTTTATTTTCTCTGTCCTCTTCCCCACTCCCAAGTTAAATTATGGCAGAGACAAGTCTGTTAGAGGCTGGGGCCTCTGCAGCCTCTACAGCTGCGGCTTTGGAGAACTTACAGGTGGAGGCGAGCTGCTCTGTGTGCCTGGAGTATCTGAAGGAACCTGTCATCATTGAGTGTGGGCACAACTTCTGCAAAGCTTGCATCACCCGCTGGTGGGAGGACCTAGAGAGGGACTTCCCTTGTCCTGTCTGTCGAAAGACATCCCGCTACCGCAGTCTCCGACCTAATCGGCAACTAGGCAGTATGGTGGAAATTGCCAAGCAGCTCCAGGCCGTCAAGCGGAAGATCCGGGATGAGAGCCTCTGCCCCCAACACCATGAGGCCCTCAGCCTTTTCTGTTATGAGGACCAGGAGGCTGTATGCTTGATATGTGCAATTTCCCACACCCACCGGGCTCACACCGTTGTGCCACTGGACGATGCTACACAGGAGTACAAGGTGGGGAAGCAGACACACGATGTCAGTGTGGGTAAAAAGGGAGAAGCGGCAGAGGATGAGATACTCCCTAGGTAGAGATCGTAAGCTCCTACTACTCACTTTGTATTCTCAGAGCTGCATATGCAGGGGCACACAGTATGTGTGATCAGTTGTCCTCTAGCCTGAAAAAGAGCAATGGTGAGAAGTGCCCTAAAATTTCTCTCTGACTTTTGCAATACATGTGAGTCTTATGGGTGAATATTGGTATGTGTGGTCATATTTTTCATAAATGAATGAAACCACATGGAAAAGATTAAACTTAGGAAGAACTGAAAAGTAGTCTGGTTTCTTCATTCTGCCTGCCTGCTCAGAATGCTCCTTGTTTTCACACTGGTTATTGGGCATAGGTAATATCGCTTGAGACTGATACCTACCGGACTAAGCTGAACCATTCAATTGTTTGCAGCTTCTCTAGGTAATGGGTAACATGGCATATCATTTAACTTACTGCTGAGACAAAGGAAAATGTTTGAATAAAGGGAACAGAGATATGAATGTGTTAGCATTTTATCATATACTTTGCTTAGTTATGTTACTCTTGAAAACAAGATTTCAGGTAACTTACAGTATAATAACCATGTTTTTATTGTAGGTGGACAGAGGTGGATGGGAGGACAGGTTTAAAGAGAGATATTAGGGTACAGAAGGTTGCTTGGATGGTAATAGGCAGTTGCCTCAGTAAGAAAATGGAAAGAGTTGAGAAAGGACACAGAGTTGATGACAGCTATCTCAGATTCAGTAAAAGGACAGTTGGGTGAGCAGAGAAGGTGATGTGGACAGGCTAGTGGCAGGAGGAGGGACTGTAGAAAGTTGACATCCCAAATGACAGGCAAGGAAGGAAGTCAGATCAAGAGGCAGTAAGATGGCTAGGAAGCAAATAAATGGTTTAAAACAAATGGTTTAATCTCTGAATGGTAGGTATACCAGTCAACCCCAAATGTCACCTCTCCCACTTCCTCCCTACCCCTCAGGAAAAACTGCAGAAGTGTCTGGAGCCCCTGGAACAGAAGCTGCAGGAGATCACTCGCTGCAAGTCCTCTGAGGAGAAGAAGCCTGGTGAGCTCAAGGTAAAGGCAGGCAATCCCATGTAGGCTGCTCTGAAGGGTATTTGCCTATGAGGGAATTAACTGTACACTATTTAATCCACCAGTTCCGGTTCATTAGAAAAATGCAGTTCTCGCCGGACATGGTGGCTCACACCTGTAATCCCAGCAATTCTGGAGGCCAAGGTGGGCAGATTGCTTGAGCTCAGGAGTTTGAGACCACCCTGGGCAACATGGTGAAACCCTGTCTTTACTAAAAACAAAAAATTAGCCGGGCATGGTGGCACATGCCTGTAGTCCCAGCGACTTGGGCGGCTGAGGCAGGAGAATTGCTTGAACCTGGGAGGCGGAGGTTGCAGTGAGCCAAGATCACACCATTGTACTCCAGCCTGGGCAACAGAGCAAGGCTCTGTCTCAAACAAACAAAAAAAACAAAAAAAAAAAAAAGAAAGAACAATGTAGTTCTCTCAAAAATGATGGCATTTTATTAGGCTTGATTGTCATTAAACATTGTACTTAAATTACTTGTCATGAATTAAGTATTAAGAGGGATTTAAGAGATGAAGAACAGACAGAATATCTTACATCTGGTGAGCTGAGAGAGTTCGTGCCTCTTGGTCTCCTTTTTTTGTTAAAGCAGCAAAGGAGGCTTTCTGCTGAGAAGGCAGGGATGGGAGTTTCTTAGAGGACTTGAAGAGAGGAGAATATGGAAGATTCACTGGGGAGAAAGGGAAAAGGAGCTGACCAAGAGTCTCAGAAGAACTATCTAATGACATTAGGACCACATTCTTAAAACTCAAGTAAGCTTACATATGCTAGAATGTTCTCCCCCTCCCCATCCTCCACCATAGGATCTTATTCATCTCTCAGGCGGGATGAAAGCCACTTCCTATGCAGCCTTTCCTGACCCTTCAGAAATTAACATTCTTAATTTTCATACAATTTTGCACCTCTTTTATAGCATTGCCTTATTTGTAGCATGGTATTTTGGTGTCTGTCTGTCTTCCATTGAACAGTGAACAATTATCATTTGTAGCAAAAATAACTAGAATTGAGTCCTATGCATTAATTCATTAGGTATCCGTAACATTCCAGATTTATAGGGTTGTTAGGGTCTTAGAGTTCAGGCCAAATTGGGATAAGTGAGACATAGAAAAGCTACGAGAAAGAGACAGAAGGAAATCCTGAGGCCATCTTTAGTAAGATGTAGGGGTAAACCTAGATATTCTTTAAGGTAGGTATTATTACCTTCAGCTTACACAGAAGGAAATGGACCTTGGGTAAGTGACTAGTCCAAGATCATAAAGCCAGTAAGTGGCAAAACCAGGAATACTAGTTCTTCGTGAATCAGTAAATATTTGTTAAGCTCCTGGTTTAGGCCAAACCCGGTATTTGACACTGGGGAACAATGATGAGCAAAAACACAGTTCCTGCCCTCCTTGAGCTTAAAGTTAAGTGGAGAAAATAAGTAATGGCACAAAATGCACAGCTGCAAGTTCATAAGAAGACAACATAGAAATTTGGCCTCATTAAAGGTTTCCCGAAGAAGTAATGAGTTTTTAAGAGTTGACATGTAGAGATCACCAGAAGCTAAATCCAAGTTTTGATTCATAGAAACATGAATTTTTAAATGAATGATAACATTTCATCAGAAAGCAAGTATTATTACCTTAGTGCCTTATACATTTTAGCAAAGTAAGCATTTGAAATTTTAAAATTTGAACCAATTTTGGTTAGAAATGTGAACTTTTAAAGTTTTTTGTTCTTTTAGAGGCCTTCCAAGAAACCTAAAAATATGAAAATGGTGCTTATTGCTAGTCATTAACTTTCTTCTTCATGTTGATCACCTTCTTGAAGGTAAAGGATGGAGAGAGAAATATACCTTTTTAAAACCTTCTAAATGCTTGAACAGAACTGTCCTGTTTTTTAAACTGTAAATTGTCATTTCAGTGGTCTCCAAAACTACCACCAACATTCCTCTTGTGACCATTTGAATTCTCCCTCCTTCTCCCTCATCAGACTCAATGCCCCTTTAAAAAATAATTTGTAATTATGCTGAACTGAAAATTACAGGTAATATAACCTATGTGCATAATGTTAAATTTTAAAGAGTCTATCATGTCCAAATATAATATAATGAAACATAATTGATGATAAAATGTGGTATGTAATATTTGGGCATGACTACCCTGAACGACTTTACAGTGTAGCTGGTTATATGCTTGCCCCTATATGTGTCATTATCAGCAACGCCATAAATACAAATTCAGACTGAGATGGATGTGTGCCAATATGATTGAAATACCATAAGTAGCTTAGCTCTTGGTGATATGATTTTTCATAGTAATAACTTTTGGTAAAGTTCTAAGTATAACAATATAATCTTGGGTTTTATTCAGCTATTGCTGAAAAATTCACGTATAGTAAAACCATGTAAGAATTACTCTGTGTTTATACTATATAAAATGGCATTCAAGCCCAGGCCTATGTTTTTGTTTTTGTGGTTTTTTTTTTTTTTTTTTTTTGAGACGGCGTCTCGCTCTGTCATCCAGGCTGGAGTGCAGTGGTGCCATCTCGGCTCACTGCAAGCTCTGCCTCCCGGATTCATGCCATTCTCCTGCCTCAGCCTCCCAAGTACCTGGGACTACAGGCGCCCACCACCACACCCAGCTGATTTTTTTTTTCTATTTTTAGTAGAGACAGGGTTTCACCGTGTTATCCAGGATGGTCTCGATCTCCTGACCTTGTGATCTGCCCACCTCGGCCTCCCAAAGTGCTGGGATTACAGGCGTGAGCCACCGTGCCTGGCCGCCCAGGCCTGTGTTTTTGAATATCCAGCAGAACATTAGAAAATGTTGCAGGTCAGTTCACTATGCCGGATTGTCTCACACATTGGAGGAGTGCTTGCGTCATTGTCAGGAACTTCCCCAACCATGGAAAACAAGAAGATGTGCCTATTTCCAAAATATCCTCAGAGTGTGTTAACAGCTTCATCAAGAACCACTGCCCTAAAATATAGAGTGAAAAAAAGAGAAAAGATTACCGGTTTATAAGAGGAAGGGCCTTTTTGCTTCCTATTTATCACAGTCATGAATGTTAAACTTACACCCATACCTAAACAAACACACATGCATGCACACACATGTGCAAACACACACACACAAAGGCTGTGTTTTATTGAGGGCAAATGTGAGAATATATTTTGTTCAGATGTACACTGAGAAGGCAGTGGTGGAAAGTGAAGCAGCAAGTGGCCCTAAACTAGAAGAGCTAGTCAGCCTCTGCCAGGAACTAGCTTGAATCCACAAATGCCACGCTTGTCAGGCCCATCCTGGCTTTGCATCCCCACTCTCTCTCCACCCTCAAGCCTGCCTTTCATTCCCTATCCACTTCCTTCTAGAGTCCCAGTCTCTGCTTCTCACTTTGCTTCATCATCAGTCACATGATGCTTGGGGAATTCTTTCTTTAGGGAGATCACTATTTGTTGTAGTGGAGATGCAGAAGAGAGGATGTGCTGATAATTCTCAGAAAGTGTTATGGCTGGTGTTTGAGTCCTATATTATCAAATTTCAGGAATGTTAGAGGCTTAAGTCTGTGTGCTGGCTTAAAGAAAGCATGTTTCAAATTTCAAGAAACTAAATTACTAACAAACTTCTGTAACCTGTTCCTGGGGTAGGAATTGCCAGTTCTCTGAAGTGACTTGAAACAATTTAACAAGTTCAGCCCTGAAATCTACATATGTATATTTTATAATAACCCATATAACTCTTACTGATTCTTACACTTTCCCAGTTCTCTGGTTTTTATCTGGTGCATGTGTTGCAATATGCAAAGGATGACAATCTTATTTTTAACTTTTTATTATTTGTACTTTCCTTTTTGTTTCGTTGTTTTTTGTTTGCTTGTTTTGAGACAGAATCTCACTCACCCAGGCTGGAGGGCAGTAGTGATCACAGCACACTAACTCAAACTCCAGTGTTCAGGCCATCCATCCTCTTGATTCTTTTTGAGTAGCTAGGACTGCAGATGTGCATTGCCATGCCCGACTAATTTTTTTTTCTTTTTAGTTGAAACAAGGTCTCACTATGTTTCCTAGGTTGGTCTTGGCCTCAAGTGATCCTCTCACCTGGGCCTCCTAAGCACTAAGTTTACAGGCATGAGCCACCATGCTGAGCCTATACTTTCCTTTTCTCGACAGATTGAATTAACTAGAACTTTACAGTTGATAATAACACAGATATCTCTGATATCTGTAATAGTTAATGTCATCATATTATTGAGTTCTTTATCTTAAATTAAAACAAATATATATATCCGCAGTGGTCTTCACTACCAAGTCATCAGTAGGGGGGTGATAGTGATGGAGCCATTCTTTACAGAAGGAAATTCCAATGGAATAAAAAATGAGTGTTCTGTTAAACCATTTTCTCTCATTTTCTTTCTTTCTTTTCTTTCTGTCTTTGTCTTTCTGTCTTTCTTTCCTGTCTGTCTGTCTTTCATCTCGATCTGTTGCCCAAGCTGGAGTGCAATGGTGCAACAATTTCAGCTTACTCCAACCTCTGCCTTCTTTGCTCAAGCCATCATGCCACCTCAGCCTCTCCAGTAGCTGGGACTACAGGCATGCACCACCAGACTCAGCTAATTTTTTGTATTTTTTGTAGAGTTGGGGTTTCACCATGTTACCTAGGCTGGTCTCAAACTTCTCATCCCAAGCAATCCACCTCCCTCGGCCTCCCAAAGTCCTGGGATTACAGTCATGTGTCACCACACCCAGCCTTTGTTAAACCATTTTCAATGAAACTGGAAGTCTGTGTTAATTCATACATATGGTGGGTGAGAGAAAGGCTTCCTTATACCACACTGACCCTGCTGATACAACATCTTCCCTCTCTTCTCAGAGACTAGTGGAAAGTCGCCGACAGCAGATCTTGAGGGAGTTTGAAGAGCTTCATAGGCGGCTGGATGAAGAGCAGCAGGTGTTGCTTTCACGACTGGAAGAAGAGGAACAGGACATTCTGCAGCGACTCCGAGAAAATGCTGCTCACCTTGGGGACAAGCGCCGGGACCTGGCCCACTTGGCTGCCGAGGTGGAGGGCAAGTGCTTACAGTCAGGCTTCGAGATGCTTAAGGTTCGACCTTTGCCCCTGCATAGCCCCTCAGGCTGAGTGCAGCGTAGCTTTGCGTAGCCTGGGATTTGTCAGCCTGGGATACTCATTCTTCTGCTCTCCTTCTCTAAATCCAGTTCTTTCTGCCAGGTGTACTCAAAGGGTCTTTGCTACGGAAAAGTGATTTCTCCCATCCCCTTCTAACCATTTTTGTGTTCTTATCTCTGGTCAGCAATTATGTGCTTAATCTGTTCCAAAGAAAAGATTCATTCTTTTGAAAGGAGGGAAGTCTAGCCTGAGTTAGTGAAAAACTATGCATTAAAAATTTTGTAAATGCAGTTACCATTACTTTTAAGTCCTGAAATTTGATTTATGTACTGCTGAAAAAGGACAGAAACATAGTTTAAAGGATACAGGCATACCTCAGAGATATTGTGGGTTCAGTTCCATACCACTTCAATAAAGCGAGTATCTTGATAAAGCAAGTCACATTAATTGTTGGGTTTCCTAGTGGAATCATATTTTTGCTGGTGGAGGGTCTTGTGTTAGTATTGACTGATCGAGGTGGTGGTTGCTGAAGATTGGGGTGACTGTGGTAATTTCTTAAAATAAGACAACGACGAAGTTTACTTTCAACTCTTCCTTTTATGAAAGATATCTCTGAGCATGTGATGCTGTTTAATAGCATTTTACTCACCAGTAGAACTTCTTTGAAAATCTTTGAAAACCCACATTTGCAGTTACTTACAACATGGGAGTCTTGAACCCCTAAAAGTCATCCATAAGGGTTGGAATAGACTTCTTCTAAATGCCTGTTAATATTGATATTTTGGCTTCCTTTCACAAATCACAAATGTTCTTAATGGCATCTAGAATGGTGAATCCTTACCAGAAAGCCTTCAATTTACTTTGCCTAGATCTATCAGAAAAATCACTATTTATAGCAGCTTTATGAAATACATTTATTAAGACTTGAAAGTCCAAATTACTTCTTGATCCATGGGCTGCCGATTGGATGTTGTGTTAGCGGACGTGAAAACAACATGAATCTCATTTTACATCTCTATCAGAACTTTTGGGTGATCAAGTGCATTGTCAGTGAGCAGTAATATTTTGAAAGGAATCTTTTTTTCTGAGCAGTAGGTCTCAACTTAAAATTTTCAGTAAAGGGTTGGGCACGGTGGCTTACACCTGTAATCCTATCACTTTGGGAGGCCAAGGCAGGTGGATCACCTGAGGTCAGGAGTTTGAGACCAGCCTGGCCAACATGGTGAAGCCCAATCTCTACTAAAAATACAAAAAAATTAGCTGGGCATGGTGGTGGGCGCCTGTAATCCCAGCTACTCGGGAGGCTGAGGGAGGAGAATCGCTTGAACCCGAGAGGCAGAGGTTGCAGTGAGCCAAGATCATGCAGTTGCACTCCTGCCTGGGTGACAAGAGTGAAACTCCATCCCCCCAAAAAAAACTTCAGTAAAGGCTAGGCACGTTGGCTCACATCTGTAATCCCAGCACTCTGAGAGATCAAGCCAGGAGGACTGCTTAAGGCCAGGAATTCAAGACCAGTCTGGGCAATATAGCAGGACCCCATCTCTACAAAAGGTAATTTTTTTTAATTAAAAACATTCAGTATACCATGCTGTATACAGGTGTACTGTCATGTAGGCTTTGTTATTCCATTTCTAGAGCACAAGGAAAGTAGATTTAGCATAATTCTTAAGAGCCCTAGGATTTTTGAAATGGTAAGTGAGCACTGGTTTCAACTTAAAGTCACCAGCTGCCCTTGCTTCTAATAAGAAAGTCATCCTGTCCTTTGAAGCTTTAAAGCCAGGCATTGACTTCTCTCGAACTGTGAAAGCCCTGGATAGCACCTTCTTCAATAGAAGGCTGTTTGTTGACATTGAAAATGTGTTGTTTAGTGTAGCCACCTTCATCAGTAATCTTGGCAAGATCTTCTGGATAACTTGCTGCAACTTCTGCATCAGCACTTGCTGCTTCTCCTTGCACATTTTTGTTACAGAGATGGCTTCTTTTCTTAAAACAACCTACCTAACTTTAAACTTTTCTTCTGCAGCTTCCTTACCTCTCTCAGCTTTCATAGAACTGAAGGAGTTAACAGCCTTGCTCTGGATTGGGCTTTGGCTTAAGGGAATCATGTGATCTTATATCCAGATCACTAAAATTTTCTCCATCTCAGCAATAAAGCTGTTTCACTTTCTTATCATTCATGTGTTCACTGGAGTAGCACTTTTAATTTTCTTCAATAACTTTTCCTTAGCATTCACAGCCTGGCTTGGTGTTTGGCACAAGAGGCCTAGCTTTCAGCCCATCTTGGCTTTCAATGTGCCTTTCTCACTAAGCTTAAACATTTTTAGGTTTTGATTTAAAGTGAGAGACATGTGATTCTTCTTTCACATGAACACTTAGAGGCCATTGCAGGATTATTAATTGATATAATTTTAATATCGTTGTGTCTCGGAATAGGGAGGCCAGAGGAGATGGAGAAAGATGAGGGAATAGCTGGTAGTGGATCAGTTAGAACACATAAAATATATTTATCGATTAAGTTGTTCGTCTTATATGGATGCAGTTCACAGTGCCCCCATAACGATTACAATAGTAACATCAAAGATCACTGATCACAGATCATACTAGATATAATAATGAAAAAGTGTGAAATATTGTGAGAATTACCAAAATGTGACACAGAGACATGAAGTGAACACATGCTGTTGGAAAACATGGTGCCAGTAGACTTGCTCAACACAGGTTGCCACAAACCATCTATCTGAAAAACATACAATGTCAACAAAACACAATAAAGCGAAGTGCAATAAAATGAGGTATGCCTGAAATTGTTTAAATAATATATTGCTTTTGATATGTATATATTAATAATACCTCTAAAGTGTTTGAAATATTTTGTTCTCTTACGTAAATGAATGGTGTTAGCAAAACTAGGGAACATATTTTTTATCTTAGAGATTAGATTACCAGCATTTGAAGCAGTGAGGCTTCATTGTACATTTATTTTTATGTTACGTATTGCTTGGTATTTGTTCCTATGGCCTTTCATGTATGTGTGTTCTGCCTTCCATATTAAACTGGGAAATCCTTGTGGGACAGAGATTTGTCTTCTTTGTCTTCTGGACCCCAAGTATTCACAAATCAGTATTAGCACACAGTTATTAATGTGTTTATTCTTGCTTTTTTTTTTTTCTGAGAGAGTCTTGCTCTGTCGCCCAGGCTGGAGTGCAGTGCATGATCTCGGCTCACTGCAACCTTTGCCTCCTGTGTTCAAGCGATTCTCCTGCCTCAGCCTCCTGAGTAGCTGGGGTTACAGGCGCACACCACCACACCTGGCTAATTTTTGTATTTTTAGTAAAGACAGGGTTTCACCATGTTGGCTAGGCTGGTCTTGAACTCCTGACCTCAAGTGATCCACCCGTCTTGGCCTCCCAAAGCGCTCAGATTACAGGCGTGAGCTACTGTGCCCAGCCAGTTATTGATGTTTATTAACTAATGCAAGACAGGGGATACCAAACCGTAACAGGAATGTGTGATTTGTTCCTATGCCACCAGTCTGGAACTCTCTGTACTTATCCTCAAGGAGAGTGAGATATGTGGTTGGTACTTGGGGGACAGAGTAAAGAATTGATACAATCCCTGTCCCTTATAGGGAGCTCCCAGCATCCTTGAGGAGCAAAGACAAGCATAAAAGAAATCATTGGGAAGTGATATAAATGACCAAGCTTCATGATGACCAGAAGTTGAAAGTAGGGATTAGGTTGGGAGAAGTGCATTCAGGTCCCGCTGGAGCTCTTCTTGCACTGTGTGACCCTCAGTTTATCCTATCCCTATTTTATAGCTGTGGAACTTTGGGGAGGAGGGGGAACCTTTTGCCTTCAGGACCACTGAATACCAGGACCAATATTGCTTTCTTTTCTCCTTCCTTCTAGGATGTCAAAAGTACCCTGGAAAAGTAAGTGATTGTTGTATCTCTCTGAGTGAGTTAGGTCTTGGCTTAGAGAGGAGGGGTACAGTCAGGAGTTTGGGTTGGGGGTGAGGTTGGGAAAGTCATGTAGTGTGTCTGGGCAGGGTATGGGAGAATGTTCATTGTGCCCATGAAGCCAGTTAGAGAACAAATTATTGGGAATAATAATCCCTTTTCCCCTTTGAACATCAGGACTTCTTGAGAAGGAGAATGATAAGGTAGAATCAGATTCTACTTGTGCCAGTGGGTGGAATTGTGTCCAAACAAGATGGCAGGAGGAAGGGGTTGGGAGAGCAGGGAGGGCAATCATCCATTTGCATGAAATACAGGAATATTCCTAGAAAGTTCGGAGGCTCACTCTCAACGATCTGTCCACGGGATCATAAGGCTCTCCTTGGATTAGTAAAAGAAATCAACAGGTGAGCTTTTCAGGGAGGAGGAAGAAAGTGGGAAGATGGAGAATTTTAATTTCTCCCTAAAAATGTTAACATCTGAATAGTCACTTGGCTGGAGCTTCTCCCTAACCCTGCCCTTTCTTCCCCTATCTCCCTATCCCTCCTAGATGTGAAAAGGTGAAGACCATGGAGGTGACTTCAGTATCCATAGAGCTGGAAAAGAACTTCAGCAATTTTCCCCGACAGTACTTTGCCCTAAGGAAAATCCTTAAACAGCTAATTGGTGAGTTGTTCCCAAAAGGAAACTAGAAGAAACCACTAGAGAGAAGAAAGTTTTTAGGTCCTACCTTATATGGGTTTCAGTTATCCTATGTCTCACTTTTCTTACTCCCACACACACCTACCCCTTTATCTGGCTTTTAGTCTCACCCTGAGTCACAGAACTTGGAGTGAGAGGAAGCCTTAAGCGTTATCTACTCTTAGGTCCATTCTTTTCTAAATAGAGACCCAGAAAGGTTAAATAATTTGCCAAAGTCATCGGGTAGAGTGGTTATATAATTTACCATGTAAACTTGCATAACCTTCAAAGGCCGGGTGCGGTGGCTCACATCTGTAATCCTAGCACTTTGGGAGGCCAAGGCTGGTGGATCACTTGAGGTCAGGAGTTCGACATCAGCCTGGCCAACACGGTGAAACCCCATCTCTACTAAAAATATAAAAATTAGCCAGATGTGGTGTTGGGCGCCTGTAATCCCAGCTCCTCTGGAGGCTGAGGCAGGAGAACTGCTTGAACCTGGGAAGCGGAGGTTGCAGTGAGCTGAGATCACACCACTGCACTCCAGCCTGAGGGACAGAGTGAGATTCCATCTCAAAAAAAAAAAAAAAGAAAGAAACTGAAAGGGAGTGTCATTATATTAATGTGAATATGCAGGGAAAATAGTCATAAACCAGGCCAGTTCCTGGAAAACACACATGGTCACCCTATCCCTAGACCATATGCTGTCTTGCTCGGCATCCTTCTTAACACTTTCCGTTTTTTTCTGCCCCTCAGACTACACCTTGTACTTCTCTACATAGTGAGATAAATGATAATGTCAGAGGGAGATGAAGAGAGGACCAGGCGGGAACCTAGATTACCAGCCACTGCAGACTCAAGAGATTATTATCTGTTTACTTTAGGGTCAGGGTGAGAAGTGAGCCATTGCTTTCTCCCCTTCCTTAGGTGACACCATGGATTGAGAAAGTTAACCAAACCAGGTTGTTCTGGGGACCTTTAAGGGACCAGGCTCTGTAAAGGCAGGCTGGAAGAGTGAGGCAGGGGCATTTAGCTATTCCCATCCTCATCTAGCTCCCCACTCTGGCTTCTCCCGCCAGCGGATGTGACCCTGGACCCTGAGACAGCTCATCCTAACCTAGTCCTGTCAGAGGATCGTAAGAGCGTCAAGTTCGTGGAGACAAGACTCCGGGATCTCCCTGACACACCAAGGCGTTTCACCTTCTACCCTTGCGTCCTGGCTACTGAGGGTTTCACCTCAGGTCGACACTACTGGGAGGTGGAGGTGGGCGACAAGACCCACTGGGCAGTGGGTGTATGCCGGGACTCCGTGAGCCGAAAGGGCGAGTTGACTCCACTCCCTGAGACTGGCTACTGGCGGGTGCGGCTATGGAATGGGGACAAATATGCAGCCACCACCACACCTTTTACCCCTTTGCACATCAAGGTGAAACCCAAGCGGGTAGGCATATTCCTAGACTATGAGGCCGGCACACTGTCTTTCTACAATGTCACAGACCGCTCTCATATCTACACCTTCACTGATACTTTTACTGAGAAACTTTGGCCCCTCTTCTACCCAGGCATCCGGGCTGGACGGAAGAATGCTGCACCACTTACCATCAGGCCCCCAACAGATTGGGAGTGACAGGTTGGGATGTGGGAATGACTGGGGTGAGGCAGGGTCAAGTGCTACGGGCCTCCTTCCCGTGTCCTGCTGGAACGTCTTCGTGTCCACCTGGGTCCAGTCCTGAATCATCTTGGAGAAACACCTTGGTTTCTAGGATGGTTTTGTGTGGAGGGGGAGGTAGGACTGGGCTGGATGAGAGAGCACAGCTGTGACTTCCTCCTAACTGTCAGGGTGGGGAGCTGGTTCCCAGAGGATTGTCTACCCTGAAGTCCATCAGGTTTTCTGTTGCACAAGGACGGGTCAGGAAGGAAGGAGAGGCTTTTCCAGAAACAAAAAATCTGTGAGGGTCTGACTTGCTCAAACCAGAGGAGGAAACAGAAACCCCTGCACATCTTTTTAGGGGGTTCTTTGACCCAGGATAGTCTTGCTTCTTGAGGTAGATCACAGGGGTCTGTGTACCTCTGAATTCATGAGAGATGAATGACAGATGCTCTCATGGGTCTAGATATTGAGGAGTTTTTCTGAGGGCAGAGATTGGACATCAACAAGGCTAGAAGGGTCAGGGAAGTGGGCTAAAGGAACAGATTCCTAGAGATTAATGAAGAGGAGGGAGGTTTCTTTGGTCTTCTATTCCAAGGGTAAGGTTGCGATTATGGGTAAGATTGGCCAGAGGTAGGAATGTGGGGAGAAGGAGAGGCTGAAAAGAAAGCAGAGGAGAACCCAGGTCCCTGCCTCAGCCTTCAGCAGAGTTGGCTTATTGCCTGCCTCTATACCAATAAGTCAGTCACCTTGCTCCTCTCCAGAGGCAAAGTGGAAGAGATCCTGCAAGACACATCTATCCTTTCACAGTGTTCCCAAGGGAACTTGGAAAGGAGAGTCAGGTATTAGAGGAAAGAGAAGGGTATTTGTATACAAAGCCCTGGCCTTAAAGAATGTTACTTAGTAGCTACTCCCAAATTGTCAGCCTTCTTACCTGGCCAAGGTGTCCAAGCCAGAAAGGAAAAAAGGTTATGGAGTCTTTCTCACCCTAAGGACAGGGTGGAAGAGGGTGGTATATAGGGAAGGGCCAGATAGGCAACTTCATTTGGCTTGTGTGCATCTGGCCTGGAACTGGTGTTAAGCCAGGCTTTTGCTTGTTTGTTGCCATCCCTCACCCTTTGCCATTTCCCTTTTCAGAGAATGTAAATGATTTTCATGTTAGGCCAAAATAAACAACTTATAGGGTACATATGTTGTCATAAAAGGTAAAAGTGATGCATGCCAAACCAAACTAAACCAATTTGGATTATCTGCTATTCGGGTAATCTTCACAGAAATGACTGAGAGAAGAATCTGCAGTTTACTGAGGGCATTTCAGTTCCTCCTACCACCTCAACAGGACTTTGTCCAGACTCTCCTCCTCTTACCTTTGTGCCTTGACTGTGGTTCTTTGTGGCAAGATACTTTGGTTGGTTAAAATAATATGGAACAAAGGATCCACTGAAGTGATCTCTGTGTTGTGTGGTAATTTGGTGACAGCCTTGTACTGATGTGTAAGAATCACTGGGTGTTAGACATGCATGTTCCTGGGTCTCACCCTTAGTGGTTAGTCAAGGTCTGGGGTGGGCCGGACATCTACATTTTATTTATGAGACAGAGTCTCGTTCTGTCGCCCAGGCTGGAGTACAGTGGTGATCTCAGCTCACTGCAACCTCCGCCTCCCAGGTTCAAGCAATTCTCCTGCCTCAGCCTCCAGAGTAGCTGGGATTACTATGGACTATAGCCATGCACCACCACACCCGGCTAATTTTAGTGGAGACAGGGTTTTGCCATGTTGGACAGGCTGGTCTCGAACTCCTGAACTCAAGTAATCTACCTGCCTCAGCCACTCAAAGTGCTAGGATTACAGGTGTGAGCCACCGTGCCCAGCCTACATCTACATTTTAAACACACCACTCTCATTTGAGTCCGAAAACCCTTGTGAAACTAGTTCCAGAGGAGGTTTCAGCCATGTCCTTCCTCCCAGCTGGAGCCCTGCTTGTCTGTCCCCGCCTGGCACTGGGTCTGAAATTGGAGAGAAGTCATCCTCTCCTGACTTATGCTGCCCTCCCCATCTCAGGGTTCATTGATCTTCTACCCCTCCAATTCATGTCCCTCTGCTTCTGACTTCAGTAACTGATAGTCACTATGAGTCACAGGACACCAGACAGAAGAACTGGAAGATAGAAGAGGTCAGAGGGAGGGGTGTGAGGTGAATGTCAGTGTGGGGAGTGGGGTGAAGTTTCAGGGGCAGGGGATGCTGTTGACAGATTTCTGTGCTGTACCTAAGCCTAGGAGTTAGAAACCATTCACTCAGAAAGTGAGGATCACCTACTGTGTGTCCAGCACTGCATAACAGGAAGTGTGTTTCTTTGGTAGGTGGAATAGTAGGAGTAAACTGTGCTTTCTGAGGACCGGGAGTCCTTTTCCCTCCCTCCAGCACCCTCATGATCCTTCCCACTTTCACCCCCACTGGCACCAGTGCTTTTTTTTAATGTATTACCTCTGTGCCTTCCGTCTGTAGATCTTACAGGCATCTGCCTCGGACCTCAGGAGAGTAGGGCAGAAGCTCTAGCTGGGTATAAATTGCACATAACCATCTCCCCAACGTAGCTACATAAAGAGACCAGCCTTCTGTCCTGAAAATGGCCGATTTAAGATCCTCACCTGCTCCACTAGGTCTCTAGGTGATATAATTGGTCATGAGCTTGAGGAAGACAAAAGCACTGAAAATTCATAAAGGGACCCTGGGCATGGATTGCTGGGGTTGTGTTTAGAAACCGATGAGTTTGTGAGGCCTCCGGGAGGCTCCCGAGGGCGCGGGGACTACGTTTCCCAGGAGGCTTCGCGCGGACGCCCGGGCGGGGCTGTGCGAGGGGTGGGGCTGCGGGAGGCCCTGGAGCGCGGCGGTGATGGCGGGGCCGGTGAAGGACCGCGAGGCCTTCCAGAGGCTCAACTTCCTGTACCAGGTGAGTCTGCGACAAGGGCCCCACGGGGACGGTGCTCGGCGTCCCAGAGTGACTGCTCCCCTCCCGCAGGCCGCCCATTGTGTCCTTGCCCAGGACCCCGAGAACCAGGCGCTGGCGAGGTTTTACTGCTACACTGAGAGGACCATTGCGAAGCGGCTCGTCTTGCGGCGGTGAGACAGCCACGGGGCGGGCGGCGGGCGGGACGCGGGAGGAACGCGAGAGGGAGCGCGGGCGCCAGACCACTATCCTCCTCCGCCCCCAGGGATCCCTCGGTGAAGAGGACTCTCTGTCGAGGCTGCTCTTCCCTCCTCGTCCCGGGCCTCACCTGCACCCACCGCCAGAGACGTGAGTGCTCCAACGGAGGTGGAAGACTGCGGAGCATTGGGGGCGCGGAGGGGGGCGGGGTGGGGGGCGGGCACTGGAGGCCAACAGCGCCTTTCTCACTGTAGATGGATGTTGGGTGTGGGATTCGCAGGAGTCTTCCTTCTTCGGGTTTGGATTAAGTTCCTAACGCCACTTGCACAAACTAGGGTTTGGGCTCGGCTGTTTTTTTTTTTTTTCTTCCAGTGTGGGCAATAAATAATAACTTTTAAGAGGCAACCCCACCCATGCACAATAATAGATGTTGTTCGGCTTTGTGGAGGACGATTCCCATCACCATTCATTTATTAAGCAAATACTTATTTTCTAAAATGTGTCAGGTACTGTGCTAGATTCATTATTCTCATTGAAATTACGGTCTGATGGGACAGACTAAGAAACAAAATGGTGTAGAAAAAGATTAACTGGGGGAGTAGAATGCTCACTTACTCATGCCAGTGGTGGCGAAGTTTATGATAAGCAAAGGGAGTGAGAGATGGAAATTCTAGGCATGTGTGCAGACTCTGAGACAAGAGAGCTTGTGGTGCTGTCAAAGAAATGAGAGTTCAGGAGGCTGGAGTTTGAGGTAGGAGGGCAAAACATGAGACTGGAGGGGGAAACAGGCCAGTTCTTGAAGTCTTGTTAGGGAGTTTGAACTTTATCTTAAAGAGTTCCAGGAAATCGATGGAGCTTATGCCGAGGCCTGACACCATCAAATGTGCATTCAAATTGGGGGTGTGGTGGGGGAGCGGGGATACCTACTGAAAAACACTGGAGGCAAAACTGGCAGCAAGAGACCGTTACTTCTAAACGTGGACAGTCTTTTTCCCATGTTCACCCTAGGCTGCAGGGGACAGCGCTGGACCGTACAGACCTGCCTAACATGCCAGCGCAGCCAACGCTTCCTCAATGATCCCGGGCATTTACTCTGGGGAGACAGGCCTGAGGCCCAGCTCGGGAGCCAAGCAGGTGAGAGGTGAGGGAGAAAATGGAGGACACCCCAGAGGATAGGGACAATGGAGAACGTAGAGTGAAGAGGACACATGGACAGGTTCTGGGTTGGTGTGAGAAGTACCACAGTCAGAAAACTAATTCTGTTTCTCTGATTCTGCTCATTTACTCAGATTCCAAACCACTACAACCCTTGCCAAACACAGCCCACTCCATTTCAGACCGCCTTCCTGAGGAGAAAATGCAGACTCAGGGTTCCAGTAACCAGTGATGGATTCACCCCATCTCCCAAATAAAGTTTACTTGTTTTACATTCCATGATTCTGTTCTGTGGGTATTTCAACTCTTAATTCCATTTTCTTCTGTTTCTGTCTGTGTTTCTTGGTCACCTTTGTAATCCCACCATGCAGGGAGATCGTGATTTCCATAGACCACTTGGCCTCACTCAGCAGCTTGCATTTCCAAGGCCATGGCCCCAGTTCCCTATCAATGTCCTGAGCCACCTTAGGGCATTCCATGTTTGGGCAGCCATAATTGCTGACTGAAGAGCTGGAGAGAATGATGCCACTGCTGCTGTTTTTAAACAAGGGGAGAAATATGGGGCAGCGGAGAGTGTTTGTATCCTCTAGGCCCACTCATAGTCAGAAAAGACTCAGGTCTTTTCCCAGTCTCAAAGTTGTCTTTAATAAAATTCTGATAAAGGAAATGGCGCAAACCTGAACTAACAAAGTCAAAGATGCTAACAAAGGACACCGACAGACATTTTGCAATTATGTCCCATAGGTAAACTCTCAGAGTTTTCTTAAGAATAAACAACTAAAATGTTTTCTTCGATATCCCTAGAAAGCCTACTGAAGTACAGAATTCTTAGACTGACCTTTTTGCTAAATGCCAGCTAATAAGGTTATACCAAAAGCATACAAACAAAATTTACTACTTCCAGAATGCAGTTTTCTTTTATTTCTCTTATAAACCCTGTGTTTGCTTATCGATAGCTGTATAAAAAAATCACTTCATCATGTTGGAGCTTAAAACATAATGATTTATTATTTCCTCTGGTTCTGTGAACTAGGAATTCTGAAAGACTTTGGCTGGGTGGTTCTCCTGTTACATATGAAATCAGCTTAAATAGCTGCATTTAGCTGCTATCTCGTAGGTGGTCTGGAAGACCCAAGAAATTTCACTCACGTGTTTAGCACCTCATTGCTTCTCCAAGTAGCCTTGCTCCCTCGCTAGCTTTGATGTTCCCACAGCATGGCTGACTCAGGGTAGTTGTATTTCTTACATCCCCTCTGGCTTCTACAAAAGCATCCCAATATGTAAGTGTTTGGCTGGATGCTGTGGCTCACACCTGTGATCCCAGCACTTTGTGAGGCCGAGGCAGGTGGATCACTTGAGTTCAGGAGTTTGAGACCAGCCCGGACAACATGGTGGAACCCTGTCTGTACTTAAAATACAAAAAAATTAGCAGGGCGTGGTAGCAGGCACCTGTAATTCCAGCTACTCGGGAGGCTGAGGCAGGAGAATCACCTGAACCCAGGAGGCAGAGTTGCAGTGGGCCAAGATCGCGCCACTGCATTCCAGCCTGTGTGACAGAGTGAGACTGTCTCAAAAAAAAAAAGTGTTTATCGAGCCTCTGTTGGGGTCACACTTGCTAATGTTCCCTTGGCCAAAGCAAGGCACAGTGCCAATGCCAGATTCAATGTGGAAGGGGCTACACTGGAGTTTGAACGCTGGGAGGTTCATTAGTTCCCTGGGGATCACCAGTGTAACAATCTACCACAGGGGTCCCCAACCCCCAGGCCCTGTGGACTGGTACTGGGCTGTGTCCTGTTAGGAACCAGGCTGCCTAGTAGGAGGTGAGCAGTGGTGGAAGGGAGGGATGGGCCAGCATTACTGCCTGAGTAATCAGTGGCAGCATTAGATTCACATAGGAGCATGAACCCTACTGTGAACTGCGCATGCAAGGGATCTGGGTTGCATGCTCCTTATCATAATCTAATTGCTGATGATCTGGGGTGAAATAGTTTCATCCCAGAACCATACCCTTCCTGCTCCATGGAAAAATTGCCTTTCACAAAACCAGTCCCTGGTTAACCTGTCCCTAGTGCCAAAAAGGTTGGGGATCACTCATCTACCACATTCTTGTTTTGCCTTTGTCCCTGACTTGGTCTCTCCACTGCCTCCTTCACATGTCAGTAAATTATTTGCGTAGAAAATACTAAACAGTGTACATGTAAGTAAATGTTTCTGAGTCATCCTTTGACATTTTATTTCTGGAAATAGTGCCTACCTGGGTCAACTTTCAGTCCAACAAAAATGTGTAGCCTGAAAGTAACACCTCGTGCATACCTGGGTCCTTTGCATCCTCAGCTCACCTTCCATGGCTCCTCCAGTAAGTTTAATTTGGGATGACTGAGCTCGACTCTTGCACACTTAATCTGATCTTTGGCTAAGTTTGTCTTGAGTGTGTTATGATTGCATGTGACTGAACATGTCTACAGTGGGATAGCAGTGGGGAAACTGAGTTTCGATTTCATGGCTCAGTCACTAAGTGATTCCTCTCATGTGGGAGATCATGGGAATCAGGTCCCAGTCAGGATGAGCGGCAGACAAAACAGTATCTGGAATCTGGTTCACTTGTGAGTCTTTGTGGTTTCTTTATTTGTTGTGGGTTTCTATCAATATATAACTCTAAAGATCACAGCCCTCTTCCTCTTTCCACAGCCCTCTTCCTCTTTCCTTTTTCATGTTTAATTATAAATATATGATTACATATATAACATTTATATTCTATACATTGATACATGATTCTATGTATTAATACAGATACATCATAAAGATATATAATGTGATAGTGGCATATTATATGCAAAAATGGATTTCCTAGATGAAAGATGAAAATAAACTGAATCCCTGGAATGCAGTAGCTTTCTCAAGTGTTTCTAGAAGTTCAATAACTCAAAATTTATGCCCTTTTAGGACTCTAAATAAAATTAAAGGAGAGAGAAGAAACTTAGGTTATTCAAATCGAATCAAGAAATGAGGTCTTCCAGTAACCATAGAAACTATGCCTTAGTCACTCCCTGAACATTAAGTTCATTTAGCACTTTCAAAACTAGTGAAAACCAGTATCGTTATTGTCAGGAGGCAAAAGAGAGAAGGATTGAGAGACTGTTATTTTGAATTCAAGTAGCAAAAACGTTAGAAAAGACAGGTCTTGAACATTGAGGAATCTGAGTTATTGTCACCATAATAAATCAGTGTGTATCTCTAATTTAAAACAATTATATCACTATGAAGATAGTGCCTATGCTTAGTAACTGCTTAATAAATTTTCAAAACTATTTTGAAATATAGATTCACTGGAAGCTGCAAAGAGCATACTGAAATGTCCCCTACATCCTCACCCAGTGCCCCCCAGTGGTTCCTCTTTTTATTGTGGTAAAATATACTTAACTTAAAATGTATCATTTTAGCCATTTTAAAGTGTACAATTCAGTGGCATTAAGTACATTTGCAATATTATACAATCACCACCACTATTTAGTTCCAGATCTTTTTCATCATCCCAAACAGAAACCTGTTTCCATTAAACAGTCACTTCCAATTTTTCCCTATTCCAGCCCTTAGCAACCACTAATCTGTTTCTGCCTTTACGGATTTGTCTATTCTGTATATTTCATATAAATGGAATCATACAATTTGTAGCTTATTGTGTCTGATTTCTTTCACTTAGCATAATGTTTTCAGGGTTCATCCGTGCTGTAGCAAATGTCAGTATTTCATTCCTTTCTATGGCTGAATAGTAGCCGATTATATGGATATACCACATTTTGTTTATCCATTCAGCCATCAATGGACACTTCCGTTATTTCTGCTTTTTGGCTATTGTGAACAGTGCTGCTATGAACATTTGTGTACAAGGTTCTGTTTCAGTATCTGTTTTTAGTTTTTTTGTTGGAGGATATAGGTGCGGTTCGTTTGATAGTTTTATATTTTAACTTTTTGAGGAACTACCAAACTGCTCTTCATGGCTGCTGCACCATTTTGCACTCCCACCAGCAATGCACATGGTTCTAATTTCTCTCCATCCTAATCTACACTTACTTTCAGTTTGTTTTGTTGTTTATTATAGCCATCCTATAATAACATTCTAGTGGGTATAAAACCGCTAGAAGTCAATCCAAAACACTAGACAAAAACCACAAAACCTCTTTGTGGTTTTGATATACAGTTCTCTAATGAGTAATGATGTTGAGCATCTTATGTGTTTGTTGGCTATTTGTATATTTTCTTTGGAAAAAGGTCCTTTCAAGACCTTTGCCCATTTAAAAAAAATAGGTTGCCTTTATGTTTTGAGTTTTAGGAATTCTTTATATATTCTGAATACTAGACCCTTATCAGATATATGATTTGCAAACATTTTCTTTCATTCCGTGGATTGTCTTTTCACTCTCTTGATAGTATATTTTGATGTATAAAAGCTTTTAATTTTCATGATCTTGCAGCTACTTCCTCAAGAACCAAACTGTCTCTCTCAGACCTTATCTTCTGCCTCCATCCTGATTCTTTTTGGAGCTTGTTCTAACCCTGGCCCTGCCCACTGTGACCTTGACACTACTTAATTAGGACCCCCTCACCTCCTTTCAGACCTGGTGCCTCCAACTATATCCTGCCTCACTCTGCTTTGAAACAGGAAAGTGTTCCCCCTGGACTCTTAGAGTAGATGTGGGTATCTGAGTTTCTCTTCCTAAAATCCTTTCCTTCTTAGAGCGATCAATGAGCCCTGTTGAATGGCCTATGGAAGGGAAATGAATGTTCTAAATTTCCTCTGACCCTTTTCTTCGGACCCCCAAAGGCATTCCCCACCAGCACCCACTATGACCCCATCTCTGACTGTAATACCACCCTGAGGTGCTGGGCCCTGGGCTTCCACCCTGAAGAGATCACATTGATCTGGCAGCAGGATGGGGAGGACTATACCTAGGACATGGAGCTTGCAGAGACCATTTTATCTTTTTGACAACTTTTTTTTTTTTTTTTTTTTTTGAGACAGAGTCTCACTCTTGCCCAAGCTGGAGTGCAGTGGCGCGATCTTGGCTCACTGCAAGCTCCGCCTCCCAGGTTGATGCCATTCTCCTGCCTCAGCCTCCTGAATAGCTGGGACTACAGGCACCCGCCACCATGCCCGGCTAATTTTTTGTATTTTTAGTAGAGACGGGGTTTCACCGTGTTAACCAGGATGGGCTCGATCTCCTGACCTCGTGATCCACCCGCCTCGGCCTCCCAAAGTGCTGGGATTACAGGCGTGAGCCACCGCACCCGGCTGACAACGTTTTTTAAGCTCTCTGTACTGTATATACATCTAATTCAGTGTTTTGGACTGCCATAGATTATGCTTTTAAAACATTTTGTTTATCCCTTTTCTTATGGATAGTCAACTAGTTTGCTTCCAACTATATGTTACCATATATATCTCTGTAGTAGAATTCTAGACCATGGACCTATGAGAGTGGGCCTCTGGAGTACTTAGCCACAATTACAAATTGGATTCTAGGTTTGTGTGTATGGAAATTACCTGAGGAAAGTCAAATTTTCCTTCAGCTTCCACAGTCTATACTCCCTAGCAATATACCAAGTTCATCTTTCTTTACATGCTCAGTTGATTTTAACTGACTTCTTAATCTTTGTCACAATCTAATCAGTATCAACTCTTTCCCTTTCTTGTTGTAACTTGAGTTTCTCTTATTGCCAGTGATACTGTGTAGCTTCAAATAAGTCATCATCATTCATTTTTCTCTTTCTTTGAACTGCCTATTCAAATGTTTCCCCCTATTTTTCCACTAGATTTCATGGTGTTCTTTTCTTTTTGCTTTGAAGGGTGTTATGGGCTAAATGTTTGTGTTCCCCCAAAATTCATATGTTGAAGCCCTAACCCCCAGTGTGGTGGTATCTGGAGGTGGGACCCTGGGGAGGTAATTAAGTTTAGATGAGGTCAGGAGGGGGGGGCCTCCGTGATGGGATTAGTGCTCTTTTAAGAAGAGGGAGATTGGAGCTCTCTTTCCCTACCTTGTGAGGACACCGAAAGAAGGCAGTCATCTGTATGCCAGGAAGAGGATCCTCACTGGAACTGAATCTGCTGTCACCTCCAAAACTGTGAGAGATAAATGTCTGTTGTATAAGCCACCCAGTCTGTGGTATTTGTTATAGCAGCCATGGCTGACTAAGACCTAAGGTTTTGGTTGTTTTGTTTGTTTGTTTGTTTGTTTTCTTGTAATGGAAAAGAATTCTTTTAGAGTTTTACCTGGTACATTTGTGCCTTTAATACATTTTGAGTTGATTTCTACAGATTGTGTGAAGTAATCTGCTGGTTCTCTAAGGCTTCAGTGAATGCCTCCTCTCCAAGCTGCACTTGAGTCCTCCCATCTGCCTGGGCCTGGAGCTTCTTATGAAGCCTCAGCTGCAAGCAGTGGTCAGTGGCAATTTCTTTCAGGAGAGAGCCTGCCTTCAGCCAGTCTCCTGACAAACAGCATGCTGGAAGCATCAGCCCTTCCCACTGCCTTTGCTTTCTGTTGATGACCCATTCTTCATGGAGAGTGGTGTTTCTCTTGTCCTTAACTCAACTATAACTTTTCTCTTTTTACATTTTTCTTATTGCCATGTAATTTGGGGCAGAGAGTCTTTGCCTAAGCATGAACTTATTGTGCCATCCTGACCAAAGCCTGTCATTTAGGGATGTGTCCTGCTTTGTGGTGGGTCATTCTGAAATTACCCGTTTCAGCCCAGTGGAATTTAACCAGAACTGTGGGATTGAAACTGTCTCTTGAAGAGGAACTGTGGGGAAAATGAACAAACCAACATTCAGGCTCAGTTGGAGTATGCTTTTAGGCTTTCCCAGGTTATGGAGTATAAAGCTAATTGTTGATTCATTCCTTCTTGGCTTTACAGTTGTAGAAAGAGATCTGGCCTAAAATCCCTATAACTGGGACAGGCTGAGTCCAGGCTCTGACATTGGCCAGCTGTGCGACTGGGCAATATTTTGTTTCACTCTCTAGCCTCATTTTCAATAGGTAATACATGCAAGTAGCAGGAAATTCAGAAAGTATGCAAATAGATAGGGGAATTAATTTTCCAGCTACCCATTTTATCTTCCAGAGGAGAATACGGTAAAAATATTCTGGATATTTTTGTAAATATATATAAACAAGTTGGTATTGATTTAAATTTTTCTTTCATACAAATGGTAGAATACTATTCTATGGGTCATATACTGCTTTTTATTTAGCAAAAAAACTTAGTGCTCTTACCATTTTAGTATCTAACATCAGCTTCATTATTTTTCATCACTGCATAATATTCTATTGTGTGGGTATACCATAATTTATTTAGTCTGCTCCCTGTTGAGTATTTACCTTCTTTCAAATGTTCTGCCCATAAACAATATGTAAAGCTTAGGTATGGCTATACATCCAGCATGGATGAGTCTTCAAAACATACTATTCAGTGGCTGGGTGTGGTGCCTCACGCCTGTAATCCCAACACTTTGGGAAGCTGAGGCTGGTGGATCACCTGAGGTCAGGAGTTCGAGACCCACCTGACTAACATGGAGAAACCCCATCTCTACTAAAAATACAAAATTAGCCTGGCTTGGTGGCACATGCCTGTAATCCTAGCTACTCAGGAGGCTGAGGCAGGAGAATCGCTTGAACCCGGGAGGCAGAGGTTGCAGTGAGCCGAGATCACGCCATTGCTCTCCAGCCTGGGCAACAAGAGCGAACTGTCTCAAAACAAAAAAAAAAAAGAAAAAAATCAAACCAAAAAAAACATACTATTCAGCAAAACTCCAGATACAAAAGAACACATATTGTATGATTCCATTTATGTACTGTTCAAAAACAATAAAATATGAATATACATACAGACATATAATTTATTATTTAGTGATTTCTTCTTAGGTGGGAAAACTTTGAAAATAAAGCAAGAAAACATCGCCTGAAAATTCAGGGTAGTAGCCAATTGGGAGGGGATGTGATTGCTGGAGTAGAGGCACCTGGGCTGCCAGCAACGTTTAATTTCTCAAGTAAGATAGTAGGTACATTGCATGTATGCTTCATTTAGCTGTACTTTTTTGCATTTATGTCATGTTATTGTTCACGATAAAAACGACTTTAAAGTGAAGTGAAAAGAGTACTATGCTTAAGCTTTTTGCTCACATTTTATTTTACACCTGGGTCTTTATCCACATGATAAATTTCTAAAGGTTAAGTTGCCAGATCAAATACTTTTGCAGTTAAATTTTGATGGAAAATACCAGTTGCCTTTCACAGAAATTACATCAATTTACTCCCCATACAAAACAAGACACAAAATAGTGTCTGATTACCTTACCTTCACCAGCACAATAAGGCATCATCAAATCTTTGGGTTTTGATCACCTGATAAATAACGGTTTCTGTGTATGTGTGTGTGTGTGTGTTTCTGTTATAGGGCCCTAATAATGATTTATGTAAATGTGTACAGAAGTAACTCTTTCAAGTGGTCAGGCTCCAGTGGGTGGGAAACACCTTTATAAAAAAATTGAGAAATTTTGTAGTCTTATTCCAGCCTAATGTAAAAAAAAAAAAATCAAGAACTGCACAAATGTGATTTATGGGTATTGTATCCCAAACGGTCCCATCTCTACTTAACAAATGGATTGACCCATCCTGATATGTCTATTTTTTCATTTCCTAAAACAAATGAGGCTTAACTTCTCTGACCCAAATTGTCCTTGCTGTGCTTCAAGGGGGACCTAGGCAAGGATGTGGGTCAGGGGCAGATGGACTGAAAACGTGTGCAGTGAGTGAGCCAATCATGTTTTAGGAAGATTAAAGCTCCTGAGACAGAGGACTCCTAGGCAGAGATGGCAGCGAGCTCCCCAGCTCAGGCTTTTAGCACCGCCAACTCTCTGGTAAAAGCAGCTGCACCCACCTCTTCCCTTCACTCTCACCTCCTATGTTCTTGGGCATCAAACGTAATTTTGCTTCAGAGCTCAAGGGCAGTGCAGCCTAAGGAAAACTTGTAAGAATTCCTCAGTCTTGAAGTCCTTTGCCTGAAACCAAGGAGAGATCAAGGCCTAGGGAGAAGAAGGGGAACATTCTCTTTGGAATGCTGGGTATTTCTAAGCAGGAGTAGGGGGCCCTGCCCTGGAGGGAAGGTTTGCCTTGAACTGCTCTGCCTGCACCCTGCCCCAAACTCTGCACTCTCCAGGTCCTAATCCAAACAAGTACAACAGGAGGCTGAGTTTGCAGTGGAGAGTGAAATAGCATGATAGTTACAAAATTGTCAGGACTTGTATGTGGTTGGATGCTATTGTTTTTATCTTCTTTCATTCACTGTTTTCTGCAGTATCACTTTTGCCCAAATATATTTAAAGAAAAGAATTGTATCTCTACTTTCAATTTAAAACTAGTATTTTTCTAATACATTAAAATAACAAAGGAACCAATTATATATTAATATAAACAAAAAACTAAATTAAAAACTAACTTGGGCCATGTGTGTCTATAATCCTAGCACTTTGGGGGGCTGAGGCAAAAGAATCGCTTGAGGCCAGGAGTTTAGAACCAATCTGGGCAACATATTGAGGCGCTATCTCTATAAAAATTAAAAAAAAAATCAGCCGGGCCTAGTGACATGCATAGTCCCAGCTACTTGGGAGGCTGAGGCAGGAGGATCGCTTGAGCCCAGGAGTTCCAGGTTACAGTGAGCTATGATCTCGCCACTGCACTCCAGCCTGGGCAACAGAGTGAAATCCCGTCTTTAAAAATAAGAAAAACTAATCTGTCATTCTGCCAAATAAAGATGCCTCTGGGAAATCCAACTCTGAGTGATGTCTCAGCTATCTTCTACACATCAGTTCTCAAGTGAACCCCCTTCCCTCAGGACATGTGGCAATGTCTGGATATATTTTGATGTTGTCACAATCAGGAAGGTGTTGGTGTTACAGGCATCTAGTGGGTAGAGGCTAGGAATGTTGCTAAACATCCTACAATTTACAGGACAACCTCCACAATAAAGAGTTATGTGGCCTGAAACATCAAGTACTCACTGTAACGCTGAGGTTGAGAATCCCTGCTCTACACAGATCCTCTGAGCCTGATGCTCCAGGCAGGCTTCCTCCCCTGTAATACCCACAACACCTGCATAAATTGCTGTGTTAGCTCTTATCACACTGCAAGGTCATTGCATTTATTGTCTCCTCTTTACAACTGTGGGTTCCTGGAAAGCAGGGGCTCTGTCTGATAGCTATGTTTTGTAACTATGTGTTTTATGCCTTATATTTTTCTCAGCACTTGAACATTGCCTGGCACATAATATTTGCTCCACAAATAACTGCCAGAGGCATGAGTTTAGTTTTGAGACACCTAGGAAACAGCAGAAATTAGCAATGATTAGTGAGATAAAGAGAAGGTTATTAATAAAGCCCTCCCTTTATTACATCGGTCCTTCCTAAAACCCCAGTGTGGATGGTAACATGATTACATCCATTTTATACATAAGTTAATTAATGCTTAGATAATTTACATGACGTGTCTAAGATCTCATGACTGGACAGCGGACTAGTTGAGACTCTCGCACAACTTATCTGACTTTAAAACTTCAATTCTCCTATTATTATGCAAAGACTGCCCCTTAAATATACTCCTACTAAAAGACTATGAGTGGCCGGGTGCGGTGGTTTGTGCCTGTAATCCCAGCACTTTGGAAGGCCAAGGAGGCCGGATCACTTGAGGTCAGGAGTTCGAGACTAGCCTGGCCAACATGATGAAACCCCGTCTCTACTAAAAACACAAAAATCAGCCGGGCGTGGTGGCGCATACCTGTAGTCCCAGTTACCTGAGAGGCTGAGGTGGGAGAATCGCTTGAACCCGGGAGGCAGAGATTGCAGTGAGCCGAGATGGCGCCACTGCACCACAGCCTGGGCGACAGAGCGAGACCCTTTCTCAAGAAAAAAGAGAAAAAGAAAGACCATGACAGACGCCTCTGCCTTCAAGGTGGCCAACTGGGCACAAAATCTTTCCTCCTTGACTCTTAAGATATTGTTAAAACGTTATTAGGGGAACTGAAATCCAAATTGTAAAGAAGGATGAGTCCAGTGGTGAAAATTTTCCACAAATATTAGAAATAGAAAAAAACCCTTACTGACCTATGAAAGAAGGCAGAAGTCCCAGCGCATAAGAAACGCTAGAGGGGGCTGTAGCCCAGAGAAAACCAATCAACCTACCAAATAGAGCCCCAGAAAGAAACCTCCTCCTCGCCCCTCCGCCTTCCTCTGTGTTCCTGCCGCTCCTCCATTCCTTCTTTGGAAGACGCAGCTCCTGCATTCCTTCTTTGGAAGACTCCCCCCTTCACCGAGGTTACCTACCAAATCCGCCATAGGGTGTGGTCCAGGGTCGAGTTATCACAGACCTGTCTCCCCAAGGTCCCCGCGTCGCGTTATCTAGGCAGAAGCGCTGACCCCGCATCCCTCCCGTCGGGACCCCACGCGCTGCCCCAGTGAAATGAAATCCTGGTGCTTGTGGCGTGCGCTGCGCGGTTCCACTCCGCTGTGCCTTCCTTTCCGCCCGCCCCCGACGGCTGGACGCCCCTCTGTCGATTGGAGCGGTCCTTAGTGCTACGTGTCCTGGGATCCCCAAAGTTGACCGCCCCCACAGGGTGTGCCAAAGCTCATCAAGCGCCATTCCAGTCTCAACCTTTATCTTTTACAATTTAAAATTTATTTATTATCCATGTAAGGAGAATAACTGGTACACTCAGCGCAGTTCTGCATATATATAGGCCATAAAAGGAAATGAAGCTTGCGTGACACTTTCCGTGAAAGCAATAGTACCGAACTACAAATCAAACTGCATCTTAGCCGATCTCCTGAAGAAGAGGAAAAGCCTTGCCAAATGCGTCTTCCCAGCAGGATGCAAACCTCCTTCAGCAAACACTGAGTAAATCTGGGAGTGCTGAGACATAGTACAATGCGAGTTTTCAGTGTAATTGAAAAAATTGAAAAAATTGAAAAAAAAATAACTAAATTAAGATTTTCGACTGTTTTCAAGGACAGTACTGAGGCAGCACGTTTGCAGAGTGATATTTTTCAAAAATGCTGTAAGAAACTATAAAATCAGCTGGAGATATTCTGTTGAAATGTGTTTTTCTACAAAGCAGAGTCAAAAAAACACACGCTATGTAGTACACAAATAAAGTGGAAGCTGTCGATACACGTATAAATATAAAGGATTTTTGCTTACACAAAAAATATTCCAATGTCCCAATATGCAACATTGCTGAACAAATATGGAGCTAAACAAGTGGCTTCTAATGAATTATTCTAATAAATTTTACTCCGATAAATTACATACTTAAAATATTATATTTAAAAACAAACTGGAGAGCTGTAGAAGAAACCCTATTTATCCTCATGTGAAGTTTGAGATTTGTTTGTAATTTTTTTTAAATTAATGCAGGAGAGAAGTGCGTCGTTGAAACAACCACCTCGAGTAAAACAGCATTTCTTCTCACCACACAACAAAACAAAAACCCCACTTGCTGCATTTCAGTTTAGAATTTATTGTGTTCACTTTAAGCAGGGAATGTATCAAAACTCAAAATTTAGCAGACGTTTTAATGATTTAAGAACTATTATAGAAAATACTTTTTTTCCAGGAATAAGTTGCTATATCTTAATTACTAAGTAACCCCAATTCCTATTGCTTTTAGAACTTCCCAGTTTGCTTCAGAGTTCAACGGCCCAGTGTGCAAAACTGACTCGTGAATTTTGTAGGTGATGTGGATTCACCCTGTCTAGCAGGAGTCTGCAGCACTGGCTGAAAAAACTGTTTCTGTGGTGCCTGATGAGAGACTTATGCTTTTGGCAATTGCATACTTAGATACGTCACCCTGTAGAGCCTTCACTGCTTCCCAATCCACCCCTCACTCCCACCTAATCTCTGACCAGGAGTAAACCCTAAGATGAGCTTAGAGGCTCCTGTGGCTAAGGGCAGTGAAATCCACTAAAGTGTGTCAGGGCTGAGAGAATATCGGAATTCTGCAACTGTGCCCCAAATTCAGGATTCTCTACTTTCAGTTCATCGTGGCTTTTGTGGAGCAGGGCTACACATTGTGGGTAATCTGTGGGGTTTCAGTTACCTATTGCAAGACATTGTTTACTCTTCTCACTCCATGTCCTTTATATGGTGCAGTAAAACTCTAGTGGGGGCTGCTGGTGCTGGGTGTTGGCGGGGGCCTCCTACCCAGCAGCTGCTGCTGCTGAGCTCTGGAAGTTTGCTATGGGCCATGGATTGGGTAATGTGTGTCTAGGTTCTATGTAGGAAGGCTGACCACTTCCACCTGGAGCCATAGCTCAGGAAGGAGGCAGATGAAGCAGATGAATAATCACCAGCATGTCTGGAAAGAGTGAGACACTCTGGAGACTCAAGGGACAGTGTTGGCGATTTATTGGAGGTTTGCAGTGTCACAATAGGAGGGTGTTTCAATAGGAGGAAAACATGGTCCAATTGAAGAAAGGGCCAGAAGGAAGAAAAGAGGAAGATGGGCTCCAGTGCTAGAAAAGAGAGACCAAATACAGTCGAAAAAGCAGAGAAATGTATTTTTCCTCAAGTTCTTCTGCTGTCACTTTCACTGCAGATCTCAGCTTTGCTCTTCCAGAGTCCCTCCTTTGGCACTGCACTGCAGCCCTCTAGCCGACCGAGGGCGGCTCCTGTTCTCTCTGCAGACTGCACATCCCTGTCCTCGCTCAGCGCTCCCCATCTGCTGTCGCTCCTTCCAAGTGCACGAATACTTAGAGCTTAATCCCCGCAAACCTAGTTTGCGTGACAGTGCCCCAAGCCGGGAGACCCACAGCTCCTTTCCCTCTGGACCTCTAACTGACCTGCAGCAGCGGGCTTAGTACTCAGCTCAGCACGCTTCTGGTCTCTGGTTCAGCCTTCTCTCCCACCTAGGCCTATGGAGCTACTCCATCTCAGGCTTCTGCTCTTGTCTGGGGTGCGAATCGTAGTGTGTGGCCACTTCCCCAGCTCAGATCATCATTGCCTGTCCCTGGGATTTCTGCCAAAATTTCCCAACACATTTCTTTGCCTTCAGTCTTGTTCTCCTCCAAAGACTGCCTGCAACCAGAGAGGTCTTTGTAAAGGAAAATGTCATCTGTCTCTCTCCTACTTCAAAACTTTCATGGTCCACATAATCATCTCGATTGACACAGAAAAGCATTTAACAGAATTCAACACCCTTTCTGATAAAAACATTCAACAACCTAGGAATAGAAGGAAACTACCTCAACACAATAAAGGCGATATATGAGCAGCCCATCACTAACATCATATTCAAGGAGAAAGAATGAGGAAGGCTTTTTCTCTACCATCAGAAACAAGACAAATATACCTATTCACCACATCTGTTCAACTTAGTATTGGAAGTTCTAGCCAGAGTAACTAGGCAAGAAAAATAAAGTAAAACACCCAAAATGGAAAGGAAGAAGTAGAATTATCTTTGTTAGAAGACAGCATGATCATATATGCAGAAAACCCTAAGGATTACACACACACACACACACACACACACACACACACAGAGGAAGAGAGAGAGAGAGCACTAATAAACAAATTCAGCAAAGTTGCAGGATACAAAATCAATATGTAGCAGTCAGTTGTATTTCTATACCATGCCTTGCAACATGGTGTTTCTTCTAGTCCTGAAGAGGCAAGTTGACCCAGTCCAGGTAGAGCACCGACTTAGAAAGAGAAAGAAGGAAACAGCTGAAAAAATCTGAGAAGGCATATCAACTTGTGAGCCAAATATAAATCATAATGTGTGTTAGATTAACGAAATGTACTTTCTCATAGTAATACAGTATTTCTAAGTTCTGCTCAGATACTGTTACTGTGTATGTTTCTAGAAAACACAGCCCCAAATGTGCATAGTCTTGAATACAAAAGAATCAAAAGCCATCAATATGTGGTATAAATCCTTAAAGCATTTTAATTGCTAAAAATACATGCCAAAGTCACAGTAAACAACATTGCTCTGCAAACTATAAGATATAAATAATTTGCCTCTCTATAATAATTTTACTCACAAATTACTACCTGAGTAATCTCGTTAATCGTCCCTAATCTCATCCTAATCCCCAGAAACTGTGAGTGTTGCCTTATTTGGGAAAAAGGACTTTGTAAATGTGATTAAGAATCTTGAGAGAGATTATCTTGGATTTGCTGGGTGGGCCCAATATAATCACAGTGGTCCTTATCAGAGGAGGCAGGAAGTGTCAGAGTCAGAGGAGAAGGGAATGTGATGATGCCAGGAGAGACTGAAGTGATTCATTTTGAAGGTGGAGGAAGGGCTTACAAGCCAAGTAACATAAACAGCCTTAGAAGCTGGACAGGATTGGGGAATGGGTTCTCCCCTAGAGCCTACAGAAGGAACCAGCCCATCTGACATCTTGATTTTAGTCCACTGAAAGTAATTTTGAGTGAACTGAAGTCCACTCAAAATTATTTTAATTTGCTGATTTCAAGAGCGGTAAGTGAATACATATGTTTTATATTAAGTCACCAAATTTGTGGTAATTTGTTATAACAGCCATAGGAAACTAATGTACTACTTTGGTAGTCTGGAAGACAACCCTTCCAAGGATATCCATGTCAAATCCTTGGAACATGTAACTATTACTTTATATGACAAAAGAGTGAATATTACTTTGTATGGCAAAAGATATGATTAATTTAAGAATGTTGAGAGGATGAGCTAGCCTGGAGTATCTGGGTGAGCCCTAAATGCAATGACATGTATTTTTATAAAAGACAAGGAGAGGGAATTTTTAAAAACTTTTATTTTAGGTTTGAGGGTACACGTTGAAGGTTTGTTACATAGGTGAACCTGTGTCACAGGGGTTTGTTGTACAAATTATTTCATCACCCAAGTATTAAGCCCAGTACCCATAGGGAATTTGAGGTTCACAGACACACAGAGTAGAAGGTGATGTGAAGACAGAGGCAGAGATTGGAGTGATGCAGCCACAAGCCAAGGAATGCCTGCAGCCACCAGAATATGACAGATGCAAGGAACTGATTCTCCCCTAGATCCTCTGGAAGGGGCATAGCCCTACTGAGATCTTGATTTGGGGCTCCTGGCCTCCAAGGTTGTGAGAAGATAGATTTCTGTTGTTTTAAACCATCAAGTTTATGGCAATTTGTTGCAGCAACCACAGGAAACTAATACAACTATCACAATCTAATGTTTAAAAAGCAATTAATTGGATGGTTGTAAGGCAAAATTATGTATCTCAAATTTAAAAGTTGATACCTGTTTGCAAGAAACTCATTAAATGCCAAAGAAGTACTTGATTCAAACAAGTTCCTTGAATTCAAAATCAATTATTTGTATCTAAAAGTATAAATTGCGTTCTATCTGCATCACCATATGTTAACAAGACAATGCAAAGCTCAAAATGTAATTTTGTATTATTTTAAGTATTTGTGAAACATTATACAAATTAAATAACTTTGTTTTAAAAAAACAGAAACATCGCTGTGCTACAGTATTCCAAAACTTCCAAAGATCCTACTACCCACTTATGTTGTTATTAGACATTATAAATTTGCTTTTTGATTCAAAAATTTCACAGTAGTAAACAGAGCTATTTGTTCCTGAAAACTGACTTTTAGGGTTTGTACCGGTGAGAACTTTCTCCTTCAGGAGCCTGCAGTATGTGTGGGCAAAATCAGATTCTATGATGCCTGGTATGGAACTTCTGTTTCCTTCAGGGTGACAGAGGGTCATATTGTTCTCTGCAGAGCTCCAATGCATCCCCATCTTCAATCCCGCCAGGCCAAAAGCAATCCCTAAGATAAGTCTGGGTCTTTGTGGCTGATGTTTGTAAACTGTGTTGAACCTGTAATGAGGCCTTCATTTCCCTTTAGGCTTTGGTTAAAAGTGTGTCACAATTGTGGATCAATGATTAAGTTAAACTTCTCATGAAGTGGCAGATTATATGCTGTGCCTGGTGGTGAGGTTTCAGGTTTCAGGTTCCTGCTGCTAAAGCTCTGCATCCCTTCCACTGCAGGCCCTTACTTGGGGCAACAGTACTTGTCCTGTGAGGACCTGTCAGTGTCACCCCCAGTGCTGGTGGTGCTCAATGGTTGTTATGGAAACCAGGGATTAGGTAATGTTCTCTAGTTTCTACATAGGAAAACTGATCACATTCAACTGAGGAAACATTGCTCACTAAGGAAACGGATGGATCCCCACCAAACTTTCTTGAACGGCACTCAACATTGGTCCCTCAATGTCAGACTACATGTTCAACAGAGTAAAATATGCCCCTGGGATTCTCTCAAGATTGCTCAAGGCTTTGCTTTGGTATGTCATCATTTTATGCATCATTGTTGGAAGCGAGAAAAGTTTTAACAATTGTCATGTTATATCCAGAGGATAAAGCTGAATCTAATATCTAGATTTCTATGTATCAACTGGCAATGTTTGGGAACCGGCAATACTTAAGAACCTTATAAAGTCAGGGCTTTGAAGTGTACTTTAAAATAGATTTCCCATCCTCTGAAGTACACAAACATCTTTCCAAAGGCACCTAACCCACAAGGATTCCTCTTGATAGAACCAGATGTGAAGTTGCTACAAAGAAATGATGGTGTATGAGAAACCATGACTTCCCAGGGTCTGCGTTTGCTGAAGTCACTGATTATGAAGTCATTTTCTCTGTGGGTTTGGGTGTTAGGAAGAATCCACTGTGACTCCATTGTGGATCCATCCTCACTCAAGATTCAGAAAATCAGCAGCACATTTGGTCAACACGGCATCTTTCCCTTGCACTGCTGGATGGAGCTAGTCCAGGCGACATGAACTTCTTTCTCTCACTCTCTCTCTCTTTTTTTTTTTTTTTTTATACAAAGTCTTGCTCTGTTGCCAGGCTGGAGTGCAGTGGCATGATCTTGGCTCACTGCAACCTCTGCCTCCCAGGTTCAAGTGATTCTTCTGCCTCAGCCTCCTGAGTAGCCCATCTAATTTTGTATTTTTAGTGGAGACGGGGTTTCACCATGCTGGCCAGGATGGTCTCGATCTCCTGACCTCCTGATCCACCCTCCTCACCCTCCCAAAGTGCTGGCCTTTTCCCTTTTGTAGTCTTCACAGTGTCTTTTGATCTTGGGCTCCACAGAGTGGCATCTACAGGGCATAGTTGTCAGTGACTCAGGGAGACCAGGAGGTGGCAGGCAAGTGAGGGGAACCCAGAAGTAGCCAGTACCTGTTCAATGCCAGAAAAACCTGGCCAGGACATGCCCTTCAGTATTGAGGGACACAGTGGCAGCTGTGGTGAGAACTGTGGAAACCAGCATAAAGCTGAATTATAAATCAGTATATGTGGTCCAGTACAGACTGCTTCCAGGCTCTCTGTGGTCACAATCACAATTAGAATTGGATTATAATTAAATCCAAGTCTCTCTGAGCATTATATTGTCACAGTCTATCACTGTCTCTAGAGGAGATTAAATAAATATTTTTGGATCTATCATTGATGCATTATCAATGATTTTGTAAAGTAAATTATGAAAACCTAAAAAAATGTCTCCTGGCTATTTATCCTTCACTTGCCAGTCACTATGATTGTCTCTTCCCATTTTCCTGTTCTTCTCAGGGTGTTTCTGGGACCTTCAGTAGAAATTCTCAACTCCAGGTTTTCAGCTGTTTCTGCACAGAGGACATAGTCCTGTCCCAAACTCTCTAGTGTCACACACACACACACACACACACACCCCGTCCTGAGACCCCTTCCTTTCTCTCAAGTTTCTGGGATCACATCACATGTCCCAGTGGTTGTACCTCCAGGATTTTGAAGTGTCTCATCTCCTCCTGCTTTCCTAAGGAGAAAGGATGGAGGAAAGGAGCCTGGTCTCTTCAGGATTTTTTTCATATTTAGGCCCTTCTAGCCTGGGAATGAAAGGACACCACACATTAGTGAGCAATTATGGAGGCACCAAGAGACGTCATCCAGCAACTGTGCATGGGAGGGAGGTTCAACAGGAGGACCAAAGAGCCAGATCATAGAAAGGATCACGAGAAAGGAGTGGGGGAGCTAGCAGGTTCCCAGTGGCAAATCAATTACAGAGTAGACCAAATGCCTGCAAGTGTGCAGAGGTTCTGAGCCAGGGGTTATTGTCTTGTGCATCTTCTAGCTACTTTGGATTTACCTTCCCCTACATGACTCCCACAACCTTTAGCTGCTGCACATCTTGTTGAGTGACAACCTGCAATTCTACTCTACTCTGGGCTCCACACTGTGTTGCCCACCCCGTCCTAGTGCCAGAAACATGGAAAATCCCAGCCCAGGGGCTCCCTTGTTCACTCCCATTCTGCCCCTTCACTGGGGTGTGCAGGTGTTAGACCTCTCCTCTGCTCCACAAGTGGGAGCTTCAGGCTTTCCCGACCCTGCCCCCGAGCCTTTGTAGCTGCACCATCTCTAGTGCCTGTCCTCCTGGATCCCAGCGTAGTCTCCACAGCCCTAGATCTTGTCACTCTTTCTGTTGTTCAGAGTTCTTCAAAATCTCCCAACTCATTTTATTGCCTCCAGTCTTGCTCTGACCCAAGCAAGACTTGGGTCAGTGCCCTACAATTGCAGGAATCCTGCTGAAACAAAAATCCACTTTTGTTTCTTTCTTACTTAAAATATTTTAATGACTCACTATTAACCTCAGGATAACACCCAAATTCTTAACCAATTTTCCCAACCCTGTGTGAACAGGACCTTGCACACTTTTCCAATTTTCTCTCTCTCTCCTCTTGCACTAGCCAGTGATTCTGCTTACAGTTTCACAAACATGCTGCAAAGCCTTTCATTTTTTGGTCGGACTAGGTGTTCCCTTTGCTTGGGTCTGCCTAATTCCTGCTTTTTTTTTTTTTTTTTTATACTTGGATTCCTGTTGGAAGTTTAGCCTGCTTTCCTGAAACTGGCTTTGCTCTTTCTCCTTTCTTTTCTCACAGATCCTTTCCTTCCTTCTCAAAGCACTTTTTGTAGTAGCTTCTATTCATCTGGCTCATGTATTTCTTTCTCACTACACTGTAACTTCAGAACATAAATGCCTATGTTTATGCTCCTCACTGTTCTATTTTCAAGGAGGAGCACAGAAGCTGGCATATTCTGGGCCTTCAAGCTGTATTTGTTGGATAGATGAAAAATAGGGATTCTTACAGTAACAATGCACACTGAGAGTGTCTCTCCATAGTGAGAGTTCAAGAGACAACACATACAAATTTAAAAAAAATTTACTTTTAAAATGTGTAACATTAGGTATGACACTAAAAAAGGTGTCCATCTCCCCTACTGGACACCAGGATCAATGAAGACAGCTACACTGGCTTACTTACTTTTCCCTCAAACAGTCTACGTTTGATCCCTGTTTGTTGAAATAGTGATTCACATAAAATGGATGAGAAAATGGAGACACAGAGAAGTGAAGGACTCTGTCTAGAATCACACAGCTGTCAAACTCTCGGGCTTAAGCCATTTCCATGCCTCTGCCTTCCAAAATGCTAGGATTACAAATGTAAGTCACCACACCAGCCAGCATCATATAACTAATTTGTTATTGCTTAAAAAGGAAAAAATGGAAAGTGAGCTGATGGAGAATGAAATATGGACAGAGGAAGATGATGGGAAGCTTTGAAGGGCTGCCCTTGACTCTGTGTGTGTGTGCGTGTGTGTGTGCGTGTGTGTGTGTGTGTGTGCATGTGCGTGCCCCTTATTCTCTCTTAAGCTACGTCTAACCTCATAGGGATCACTGGGGTCCCTGTCAGCCACAGCCACACACATCCACAGAAACCTTGACCTATTGACAGATGTAAGAGGGTGGCCTTTGAGAGTTCTGAATCCCTACCTCATAGGATTCTGGATATCTGGACACTTTCTTCTTACGCTGTTTCTGCATCGACCTTAGGGACTGTGTTTGGGGTGTTTCCTGCACTCATCTTGTGATAGAGTTCTATTTGCTCCTCAGATGGCCTCTTTTCCCTTGGAGTGGAACCGTGGCTATCAGGGTCTTGGGCCGAGCATCCATGAGTGACTGTGTGAGTTGCTAGAAGCAATCTTATACTTTCATAGCCACCCCACACTTCACAGTGATACTCATCTCTAAGAAATTATTCAAATTAAGAGAGAAAGCTACACATATAAACAATTTATGGACTTGATTGATTAACATGGAAAAGCATTAACTTTCCAGTTTTCTGCCTCTCACTGGAATTTTATCCCTACACTTTGAACTCATTTCAAACTTCTGGCTTAACTAGGAATTGCTATAGTCAGGCTATTCTAGACAGCTCCTGTGAGCCACTAGGATTCAGAGAATACAACACATCTTTTCCAATTTAAATATGTAGTTCTAGAAAAAAACTATTTTAAGGTCAGGCTTGGTGGCTCATGTCTGTAATCCCAGCACTTTGGGAGGCCGAGGCGGGCAGATCACTTGAGGTCAGGAGTTCGAGACCAGCCTGGCCAACATGGTGAAACCCAGTCTCTACTAAAAATACAAAAAATAAAAATAAAATTACCCAGGTGTGGTGACACATGCCTGTAATCTCAGCTACTTGGGAGGCTGAGGCATAAGAATTGCTTGAACCTGGGAGGTGGAGTTTACAGTGAGCCCAGATCATGTCACTGCACTCCAGCCTGGTGACACAGCAAGACTCCATCTAAAATAATAATAATAAATAAACAAATAAAAAGAAAAAGAAAAAACTATTCTAAAATTCATATGGAACCAAAAATAGCTAAGGCCATCCTAAGCAAAAAGAACAAAGCTGGAGGCATTATGCTATCTGACTTCAAACTATACTGCAGTGCTACAATAACCAAAACAGCATGGTATTGGTACATAAACAGACACATAGACCAATGGAACAGAAAGAGAACTCAGAAATGAGGCTGCACACCTACAGCTATTTTATGTTTGACAAACTTGACAAAAACAAGCAATGGGGAAAGAATTCCTTATTCAATAAATGGTGCTAGGATAACTGGCTAGTCATATGCAAAGATTGAAACGGGGCCCCCTTCCTTACACCATATACAAAAATTAACTCAAGATAGATTAAAGACTTAAATGTAAAACCCAAAACTATAAAAACTCTAGAAGACAACATAGGCAATACCATTCAGGACATAGGAATGGGAAGAGATTTCATGATGAGGACACCAAAAGCAATGACAACAAAAGCAAAAATTGACAAATGGGATCTAGTTAATCTAAAGAGCTTCTGCACAGCAAAGAAAACTAGCAACAGAGTAAATAGACAACCTACCCAATGGGAGAAAAGTTTTGCAAACTATGCATCTGACAGAGATCTAATATCCAGCATCTATAAGGAACTTAAAGAAATTTACAAGAAACAACCCCATTAACAAGTGGGCAAAGGAAATGAACAGACACTTCTCAAAAGAAGAAATACATACAACCAACAATCATATGAAAAAAGCTCATCATTGATTATTAGAAATGCAAATCAAAACCACAATGAAATACCATCTCACACCAGTCATAATGGTTATTATTAAAAAGTCAAAAAATAACAGGTGCTGGCCAGGTTGCTGAGAAAAAGGAACGCTTATACACTGTTGGTGGGAGTGTAAATTAGTTTAACCATTGTGGAATACAGTGTGGCAATTCCTCAAAGACCTAAAAACAGAAATACCATTCAGCCCAGCAATCCCATTACTGGGTATATACCCAAAGGAATAGAAATCATTCTGTTATAAAGACATATACATGTGTATGTTCATTGCAGCACTATTCACAACAGCAAAGACGTGGAATCAACCTAAATGCCTACCAATGGTAGACTAGATAAAGAAAATGTGGTACATATACATCATGGAATATTATGCAGCCATAAAAAAGAACAACATCATGTCCTTTGCAGGAACATGAATGGAGCTGGAGGTCATTATCCTTAGAAAACTAAGGCAGGAATGGAAAACCAAATACCACATATTCTCACTTATAAGTGGAAGTTAGATTATAACACATGGACACAAAGAGGGGAACAACAGAGACTGGGGCCTATTGGAGGCTGGGAGGAGGGCAAGGATTAGGAAAAATAACTAATGGGTACTAGGCTTAATACTTGAGTAATGAAATAATGTATACAATAAATCCCCATGATACAAGTTTACCTATATAACAAACCTGCACACGGACCCCTGAACTTAAAATAAAAGTTAAAAAAACATAAAGGTCTAGCTGGATCAGTGGGCTTCTAGGATCCTTCTTCAGTAATACTGAGGTAAATAGCACAAACCATGAGTTTACTCTTTTCATAATCCATGACACATCACACTTAATATTTGCTGAGTTTAAACAAGTCTCTTAAACACATCACTAGTTTACATCAGCTGTGGAATCTTTGCTTTGTCAATCAGGGGTCAACAAGCCCATCTACACTTGCCATCATTAACTAATGTGCAGGATTGTGTCTTATCAAATCAGCAGCCACCTTCTCTGCCGAGAAGCAAGGAGTATGTCTCCCAGAATCCCCTTCCCTGTATAGTTCCGATTCACATTTTCCAATCAGAGAAACTTGCATGAGATATGGTGCCCAGAAGAGATGGAGAGACAGGCCTCTACCCATCAGTCGTGGCTGCAGGCAGAAGAGTAGGCAGATGTCAGGTTCTCAGTGGCTTCTGTGCTAGGCCAAAGACCCATCTGCTTTGCCTGTGCAGACCGAGATGAATGGTGGGAGCTTTCTCAGAGGTTCTGGAGAATGACTGCAATCTCCCAGCAGGGTTCTAGGAACCTCCCACCTGTGCTTCAGGCTAAGTTCTTCAGCACATGCTTCCCTGACCTCCCAGCTGCAGCCTCCAAGAGCTACAATGGTGACTGGTATTAGTATTCTGTTTCTGCTGTAACAAATTACTGCTATGAAGTGGCTTAAAACAACTCAAATTTATTATCTTACAGTTCTGGAGGTCAGAAGTCTGATATGGGTCTCTCTGGCCTAAAATAAGGGGTCATCAGGGCTGCATTCCTATGGCGGCTCTGAGGGAAAATCTGTTTCCTCACCTTCTCCACTTCTTAAGGCTGCCTGCATTCTTTGGCTCGTGGTTCCTTCCTCCATCTTCTAAAGTCAGCAGTCCCATCACTTTGACCTCTGATTCTGTTGTCACATCTCCCTCTCCAATTCTCACTCTGCTGCTACCTTTTTCACTTATAACGACCATTGTGATTGTATTGGACCTGCCTGAATAATACAGGATAATCTTCCCATCTCATGAGCCTCAACTTAATCACATCTGAAAACTTCCTTTTGTCATATTAGGTGACATTTTCACAAGTTCCAGGGGTTAGGACATAGGCATCTTGGGAGACCTTTATTTTGCCTACAACATGACTTCACCAATATTTGCTCTCCTAGATTTTCCAACATTAGTATAGGCTCTAATTCCTATATTGAACACGTTATTCCTAAAATGTTATACTAGAGTGTGGTGGTTTTCCTGGAAAAAGCTACACTAATACACTTCCTTACCTCAGAAGAGCTCAAAAGTTACCTTTCTATTATCTTTTTTTTTTTTTTTTTTTTTTTGAGGGGAGTGTCGCTCTGTTGCCCAGGCTGGAGTGCAGCGGCGCGATCTCGGCTCACTGCAAGCTCCACCTCCTGGGTTCACTCCATTCTCCTGCCTCAGCCTCCCAAGTAGCTGGGACTACAGGCGCCCGCCACCATGCCTGGCTAATTTTTTTTTTTTTTTTTTGTATTTTTAGTAGAGATGGGGTTTCACCGTGTTAGCCAGGATGGTCTCCATCTCCTGACCTCGTGAACCGCCTGCCTCGGCTTCCCAAAGTGCTGGGATTACAGGCGTGAGCCACCGCGCCCGGCCTACCTTTCTATTATCTTAAAGTCTCCAAATGGTACCACCATCTCAAGGTGCAATAGCTGTAATTTAAGCAACGACTTTGCGGGGGTGATGGAGGGAGACAAAAAGAAATGACTGGAAAGCACTTCTGATTCCATGCCCTGTCCCTGGTGTCTGGCCGTCTTGGACTCTAGGCTGCAGTTTCTCTCCTACATAAACCCAGTCATTTCTGAGTCTCCAAGAGTGTTTTATAGGATTCATGTCCACTTCTTGGCTCTGTCATCTTCTCTCTACCTTGTCTTATAGCTCCGCGCTTACATTTTCTTCTCACCTACTGCTGTAGTCCTGCCTTGATTCTTCAGCCATTGTCCTCTTTTTACCTTGTGTATGCTTAAGCCAATTCTCCAAGAAGAAATTCCAGATGGCTCTTTATTGCTGTTTGTTTGTTACTATTTTTTATTTGGCTGAAGAGTTTTCAAGATTCTTAACTTTCTATTTTTAAAATTTTAGTGTACAAATAATACATGCTCAGAGTTGGAAATGAAATCATCACAATATGTATAAATATATTTTAAAATATCTTCTATCTCTAAATCTATGCCCACTTTACTAAGGTAATTTATGTTATCAATCTACTCTCTATGTGTCTACTTTCTCCATTTTCATACAAACATAGGCACCTATATTAAGTGTTGAGTGTTTTTACTTTGTAGCTTTTTTTTAGCAAAAGTCCTCAAATTTTATTTGTAGTTTAATCATTTTACAACAACTTGAGATATAATTTACATATCATAAAATTCACACATTCATTATATACAAGTCAGTGGTTTTTAGTATATTCACATAGTTGTGCCAACATTATCATTATCAATTCCAGAACATTTTCATCACCCCACAAAAAACCCCATACCCATTGGCAGCCACTCCTCATTTCCTCTCAACTCCCCTAGCCCTAGGCAGCCACTAACCTGTGTTCCATATCTACAGATTTGCCTATTCTGGAAATTTCACGTAAGGGAAATTATACGATATGTGGCCTTTCGTGTCTGGCTTCTTTCACTTACCGTAACATTTTCATGGTTCGTCTGGGTTGTAGCATGTGGCAGTACTTCACGTCTTTTTTATTACTGAATAATATTTCATTGTATGGATATATCACAATTTGCCTATTCATTTATTAGTTGATGGACATTTGGGTTCTTTCTATTTTGTGCTATTATTAATAATGCAGCCGTAAGCATTTGCGTATAGGTGTTTGTGTGGACAGATGTTTTTGTTTCTCTTGGGTATGCTGTATACCTAGGAGGGGATAGCTGGGTCATATGCTAACTTAGTGTTTGACATTTTGAGGAAGTGCTGGCCTGTTTTCTAAAGGGGCTTCACCTCTTTATATTCCCACCAGCAGTATATGAAGCTTCCAGTTTCTCTGCATCCTCATCGGTGTTCATTATTATCTTTTTATTGTAGCCATTCTAGTGGGTGGTTACAACTAAGGGAAAAAATCAAACTTTAAAGAATTAACTTAGTTTTATTTGGAAATCTTACTGAGGACTATAGACGGAGGCCTACAACCCAAGAACAGCCCTTTAGAGAGGCTCTATCAGACTGTACCAGCTCAGTATTTCAGCCCACTGCTTATATTATAGGTGTTCTGTATTGCAACATCACATCACACTTGGTAAGAAGTTACATTAAAGCAGAATCACATCAAAGTTTGGAAGCAGGAATACGTCCAGTGTAGATTACAGAAGCATGATCACTATGCCCGTCAGACATTATCTTATGTGCAGGGAAAAGCAAGGGCATTCATCTTTTAAGGAATATAGTGGCTTAGGCAAGAGACGTTGGGGGCTGTGTGCTTTATCCTGTTTTGTCCTCAAAGCATCTTTCCAGAGAGTTGCACATCCTCACGATGAACTAGGAGGATGTGCAACTCTCACAGGGACTTTGTGAAATTATGCTGGCAAGTAAAAGTCAGCTTCTGACATTTACTACTTTGTCTCACAGTGTGAAATACTATCGCATTGTAGGGCCGATTTGCATTTTCCTGATGGTTAATGATGTTGAACATGTTTCCACGTGCTTATTGGCCTTTTGTATATTTTCACTGGAGAACTGTAAATCCAAATCCTTTATTTTTAAATTTGATTATTTGCCTTTTTACTATTGAGTTATAACCGGTTTTATATATTATAGACAAAATTTTCTCTTTTACCATATGTATGATTTGCAAAAATTTTCTCCCATTCTGTGGGGTTTTTTTTTTCACTTTCTTGATGGCATCTGTAAACATACAAAAGTTTTTAAATGCGATGACGTCCAGTTTATCTTTTTCTTCTTTTTTTGCTTATGCTTTTGGTGTCACATTTAAGATTAGGTGCCTTTACTTAATCCAAAGCCATGAAGATTTATGCCTATGTTTTATTTTCTTTCTTTCTTTCTTTTTTCTTCTTCCTCTCTTCCTCCCTTCCTTCCTCCCTCCCTTCCTTCCTTCTTTCCTTCCTTCCTTCCTTACTTTCTTTCCTTTTTTTTCCTTGAGACACAGTCTCACTCTGTCACCCAGGCTGGAGTGCAGTGGTGCAATCACGGTTCATTGCAGCCTCAACTTCCTCAGGCTCAAGTGATTCTCCCACCTCAGCCTCCTGAGTAGGTGAAACTACAGGTGCATGCCACCACACCCGGCTAAATTTTGTATTTTTTGTAGAGACAGGGTTTTGCCATGCTGCCCAGTTTGGTCTACCAACTCCTGGGCTCAAGCAGTCTGCCCACTTTGGCCTCCCAAAATGCTGGGATTACAGACATGAGCCATCGTGCCTGGCCTGTTTCCTTCTAAGAGTTTTCTAATGTTAACTCTTTCACTTAGGTCTTTGATACATTTTGAGCTACTTTTTATATATAGTTTCAAGATTTTCATTTTTCATTTTTCATTCATTGATACTGTATAGAAACACAATTGATTTTTATATTTTGATTTTGTATCCTGCCAATGTGATAAAATTCTTTAGTTGTAATGCTTTTTTAAAGTAAATTCTTTTGGATTTCTATGTATAAGATCATATCATCTGTAACGAAGGTAGTTTTACTTCTTTCTTTTCAATTCAGATGAGCTTTATTTTATTTTCTTGTTCATTGTAGCAAAAAATTCAACTATTCTATTTATAATGCCCTGTTACTTGATGTTTTTTATTTATATTGTGAACATCTCACCAATTTCATAGAGAAAGCTTGAGCTCATCATTTTAAACCCTAATTCCATAGTATTTTGCATGCAACTGCTTCTCTAGTGTAAATATTCAGATGGTTTCCTTTAGTTGTCACTACACTGAATGTCCACTGCACAGACATCTTTACACACATATCCTTACAGCCATCCCAGAGTTTTCTGATTTCCCACAGCACTACATGATAGTGGTTAATCTGATGATCTAACTGACTAGCTAGGCAGACTGACTGACTGACAATCCCATTGCTTCTGTATATAAAGTCAGTAACTACATTTGGAACTCAGCTTCTCTAGGCCCAGCCACGCTTACTTTCCTAGTCTTAGAGGTTCCCTCTCTGCCTCTAAATTTCTCTGTCCCTGAAACCACCCTTGTACTCCAGCCCAAGAGCGCTTGCAAACAGGTAGAAGGTATCATCTGGAGAAGGTAAGTAAGAGACTTATCTCCATTCCCTTCATATCTAATTACCAAATCTTCCATCTAGCTCAGTCAGGTTGAGTTGAAAACATCTTGACTTTAGTCATTTAGCCACTGAGCACATCATAGCTCTTTTCATACCTCAGTCTTATTCAAATATTTAATTTATCAAGCTCACTTATAAATGCCAAGCCTCTCATTTGGCCACCTCTGACCCTACAGCTCCAAAGCCCCTCCCATTTTGAGAACATGCTCTTGCCAGGCCAGTCTCCTCATTGCCCCCTGATTATCCATCACTCTGTCCGTTTCTGCGCCTTTGCTCATTCTGAACTTCTTGTCAATTCTCAAGTGTCAGCAGCCACCTCTAGTTGCAACAGAGTGGACTTTGCTTAATCTTATTGCCCTCTCAACCTCTCTAGGGCATTCTATAGGTAGAATCCTCCTTTTTGTGGTCCCTAAGTTGGCCTGGATATTACACTCTAAAGTCTAGAATGCAGTCATGCCAAATCCCACGGAGAACCTTTTATAAGTAACTATTTCTGGCCCTCTCCTAGGCCTACAGAATCAATCTCCGGAAGCAGAACACTTCACTCTTAAAAATTCTTGGGGGATTGTGAGCAGCTAGTCAATGGATCTGGGGTTGGTGTCCACCATACCACACTCCAAGTCCTCCTAGTTTCTGCTTTCCTCAGTCAGTTAATCTGCGAGCTACCTTGCTTCTCATCCTCTCTTCTGTGAGAGGTCAGGCACCATGTTCTGGCAGTTTTCCCAAACATTCCTCTACATTCTTAGCCCCACTGGTCTCCCCTCACTTATGGACCTTTTATCATTTTATCTAATGGATAAAGGTTTGTGTTTATGTTCTTGCTTATGCTTCCTTCCATCCCTTCCAAATTTTAACCTTCGTATATGCATTTATTTAACAAGTATTGACAGCTTACTAATTGGAGGAATTGCATTAGGTGCTATGATTCAATTTCCCCAAACATGTTTTTCATATTCTTATATGTATTTAAAAAACCACTGCATCGGGGTGACAGAATAAGGTTTTAAAATTCTAATATTAGACTGTCCACTACATTGTCTCAGTCTATCTTTCTGTTCAGTCAGTTAATTATTAGGATAAGAAGATACCATCAATCTGATTTTTCCCCCATATTTTTAAAGGAGAGGAGAGAGAACAATTTGGAAGGTCAAGAAGTTGGTATGCCCAGGAGCTCACAACTCTCACCTTTGGGGTTTTATGGAATATTTTTAGGCCTTATTTATTTATTAGTAAAAAAAAAAACAGAATAATGAGTTCTTCTCTGACAACTGTACAGGATTGTAAGGATCAAGTGTGTTTATGTGTATGAAGCACCATGAATATTATATATAATGTAATTGCAATAGAATATATATAGAAGTAGAAATCATATTTTGAAATGACAAGTGGCAGAAATATATATTGAAAAATATTAGTGGAGGATGTCACAAAGTTTGAGTTACTTGTTTTTCATTTCATTTTAAAATAAGCATATCTGAGTATGATGAGTTCTAAGGATTCCTTTCAGGGCAAAAATTGAGGCTACCCCATTGCAGTTGTCCAGTCTTTCCACAGGATGGCAAAGTATAGCCAGTATTTCTTTGAAATGTTTGCTTGCTTATGCCACTAAATTTTGAACTTAGCCTTCTAGAAATGAGTTTATAACTTATCTTTCTTGAAGGTAATCTCAGAGTACCTATGAAAAGACATCTATAAAATACTTTTGCAAAAATACCTAATACATCAAATGTGTGCTCACCACATCTCATCAAAGCAAAGTGTAAAACGTTCTCAGGGACCTGTAGAGCTAAAATGTCACCTTCTATGTTCAAGATATATGTTGAATTCTATGTCCGATTTCTTCTCATTATTGGACTTAATTCTGTAAAACATGAGGCTTGAACTTTTCATGAACTGATTGGTGCATCCTCTGCTTAATTGATTCTTCCCATTTGACTTGGAGGATGGTGTTGGCCAGAGGTCCTTTTTTGCGGAGGCCTTTAAAGATATTTATTCAGAAGAATGTACCACATGAGGCATTTGACTAATAAAAACACTGTTATTAACACTGACAATAAGCAAACACATATTTCTTTAGCTGTCTTGCAATTGGTACATTCTCCTCTTCCCATTGAGGAAGTATCTGCTCTACCCTTGCTTCAGATTAAACATTTTGAAACTCTCAGTTTTAACATTATTGAGCCTTACTATTATTGAAATAATTCTTTTCCCAAAACACCAGACTACACTCAAACTCCAGAAGATGCCCCTAACCAAGACTAATATTCTGACATCAAAGGAAATCTGTGGATAAGATATTGGGAACTTCTGAAAAATTTTAGTAGGGCTATGCCTAGAGAATTTTCATGATCTTAACAAATCTTGCTCATTCAGCAAGTCCTTAGAGAGCCTTCATGGGAACCTATGAAAAAGAAAGTCCTCAATGTATTACATGGAAAATAACGATAGCAACAACTATAATAATAATAGTGGCTGCATTTAAAGGGCACTTGCTGTATTCCAGGCATTGGCTTAAGTACCTACATAAGTTATTTTGTTCAGTATTTATCACAACCATATGAAAAAAATGTTCTTATCCACAATAAAGAAATGAAGTTTAGGCTGGGTGTTGTGGCTCACACCTGTAATCCCAGCACTTTGGGAGGCCGAGGAGGGCGGATCACCTGAGGTCAAGAGTTCGAGACAAGCCTGGCTAACATGGTGAAATCCTGTCTCTACTAAAAATACAAAATTAGCTGGGCTTGGTGGCGGGTGCCTGTAATTCCAGCTACTTGGGAGGCTGAGGCGGGAGAAACACTTGAACCCGGGAGGCAGAGGTTGTGGTGAGCTAAGATTGCACCATTGCACTCCAGTCTGGGCAAAGAGAGCAAAACTCTGTCTCAAAAGAAAGAAAGAAGGAAGGAAGGAGGGAGGGAGGGAAGGAAGGAAGGAAGGAAGGAAGGAAGGAAGGAAGGAAGGAAGGAAGGAAGGAAGGAAGTCAAGAAGTCTACAAAGTATAGGTAACTTGCTCAAGAAAATTAGGTTCAGAAAGTTTAAGTAACTTGCCCAGGGTAACACAATTATGAAGATTTGAGGCCAGAATTCAGTTCCAGGCAGTTTTGTTCTAGATCTATTGCTCTTCAGCCACTATAGTGTCATGCCAAGACTGGCCTAAAGTCGTGTCTTCTGCTCAAACAGGTCCTTCTATGGCAATGACCATGAAATACATGGCTAATAAAGTATTAGGGGCAGGAAGAGGGGGAAGAAGAATGCAGTATTTGAGACTATGGTTACTGACTATATTTAAAATCACAGTTTCATGACTATTAAGGTTCTTTTTAAACTTTTCTCCCTGATGTATCATGGTATCCAGGTGAAAGAGGATCTGGCTCCCTACATCCCAGGACGTGTAGAACTGTCCATGGTTCTGAAAGACAAACTAGCAGGTCCCACCACCTTTACAAATGGCAATCTTACTGTGGAAAACTGCACTAGTGAAAACTCTACATATGACTTTGTACATGCATCACTTACAAGGATTCAGCAATCCTTGGAAAGATGACATAGAAAGACCCACAGAATATTCCCTTTATATGCCCTATACTAAAATGTACAAAGCAAAATCAAATTAGACAACACTATGATTTAGAAGTTTATCTTGAAATTTTAGATCAGAATGTAAAGAAAAGAAATCCAGCATTATTGTATGGACAAGAGAGAATGGATATAGATTTTAACTAACTATATATTCCCTCAAAACTCATATGCTGTCCTTTTTAACCTCACCTTAATTTAAATTTAACCACACATTTACTTTCATTTTTGATTTTTATTTTGTATTTATGTTTTCTTTTATCTTGTATCTTCCAACCAGGATTTCGCCTTTTGCCTGAAGCATATTCTTTAGAACTCCCTTCAGTAAAAGCGTGTTTGTGTCAAATTGTCTTTGCTTGGAAAAAATCCATTGAGACTTGATTTTTATATTATCATGTATTTCATTTCTAAATGTTTTATATTTGTCTTTTCAATTTTTCCTGAACATTATTTGTAGTTTCTGATTAACTGGAAGTCTTTTAAAGCCTGTTTTTTAATCACAGGAAGCAGGGCTATTTTATGTCTTATTCTTATTATTCTGCTGTATGGTGTTTCTGCTTGATCTTTCATGGTGACTTGTATCTTGTAAATAGTTTTGTTGTTGTTTTCCTGGTAAGTGCTCATTTTGCTTATGGAATAATTTTAGGAAATTTTAAGTGTGGTTGATGACATCTTCCTCCAGAGAGGATTTGTGTTTGTTTTGCGTGTTATTTGCGTTTGTTTTTTGACAGGTTCCTTGGAGCCTGGCCCACTATAAACTGAATTCACAACTTGATGATTGCCAGACAATCCAGGTAGTGAGAACTTGGGCTGCAAATACATGTGTGGGGCCATTGTGTTTACTCCCAGTTCCACTCAGCACCAAGGCAGCTGTTCCTGCAGTCCTTTGAGCATGGGGCATTTCTCTTACACCGAGGAACTGAACTTAGGGGTCCCAGCAAAATGGAGGAGATCATCCTAGGAGATTTCCCACTTTGAGTGCTACTTGAGACTTGCCTCCTATTCCAAATTCCTTATGAGGCCATGGAAACTAAAGCTTAACTTGTCTACATTGAGCAAATGAGCTCAGGATAAAAGTAAATTCAGAGCTTCCTGATATTTATTAGACAGTTTTCACTGATGTGAAAGCCTCTCAGTGCTTTTATGATGTATTTTATCTTTTGATAACCCATTTTTTGTTAGCATGAGAGTAGGCGTAGATACCTAATATGCCACATTAGTGGTTCACACCTTATCCTTAAAGCTCCTTATCACAAACCTTCCCATCTTGTTCCTTTGAAGTCATTGAATACCTGAGCAAACTATTAGTCACTACCCATGCATTGATGAGGATCTAACAATAAGATATTTCTTTAGGCAAAATGAACTTCCAGATGGTCTGATTGAAAATCTTCCTGCTGGAGGTACTTTCCTTTCCACTCTTCTTTATGACAATTCCTGAAAAGGGCTGTAATGCTGCAAAGTACACTTTTGGGTATTCAAAGCATATTCAAATTTCTTCTTCTATAGTCAACAGTCCTTAGGGAACTCCTCAAGACCCCAAGGATGAGACAAGGGAGAGTGGATTTACCAGTGGTAATAAGAATACTAGGAATATAGTACATATTATGAGGCAACTTGGCTGGCCTTGCTAAGGACCAGCTCAGGTCTGATACTGTATGTATATACAGTATATATATCCACTTCCTCCTGAATGCTCACTGAGTGCTGGTGACCATAAGTGAATAAATAAAATCCAGGTCATGGTGGACATCTCAAGTCACTTGGTCATTTGCTGTATCATGATCATGGCATTCAGAATCTACCAGGGCTCAGTAGCAAGCCAGGAACTGTTATTTAGTAGAAGAATAAAGAATAAAGCTTTTCTTCGAAGCCCTGGAACTTGAGCAGTGAGCTCCTATGCCTGTTTCACACACACACACACACACACACACACACACGCACACACACACACACACGCACACACACACACACACACACACACATATCCAAGGAAGCATTTAGGCCAAATGGCAGATATGTTTGATGCCTGCCTGGATCAGAATGACATTTCCATTTCTTATGGAATGTTTTGAACTTGTACTAACTTACCGGATTTTGGTGCAGAGAAATCCCCTCACAAGATAAGAAATCACATTTTTTCTTTGTTGAAATTATTTATCTTCATTAACGTTTAATAACACCGGTGCAGTTATTTTTCAAAGAGCTTGTACTCCAATCTTGGAGGAATTCCTTGAGTTGAAAAGCCCAGGGCCTGAATAATGAGGGAGTCTCATTTCCAACAGCTTCCAATCAGCTGTAGGATTGAATGAAGACACATGTGATTGCATGATTTTAAGAGAGGGTAGGGGAGAGGGACAGTGCTTGTTTCACACTTAACTGAACTACTTCCTTGGCCTCCACTCAAATTTAACTGCAGCATTGGTGACTTGATTTACAGAGTCAGAAATTTCCTAGGTATGGAATGTGCTGTCTTAAATAGTAATGAGTCCAATCTATGTAGAGTGTCCTTCTTTATCATTGGGGGTCATATGAAGTCAGCGATTCTTTTAGAAATTTGGGGTTACAAACAGAAGGCCTCAACTTACTTCAATTTGAAAAACCTGAACAAGGAATCTCTGGTGTCTGGATCCTTATTTGTCTCACAAAATTGAATTGTGAGCTGTGACATTTTCTCCCAAAAGTCTCTTTTAGGACAGAACTTCTGGTAATGGCAACATGAACAGGTAGATCAGCAAGTCTTCCTCTAAATAGCAATATGAGAACTGGACAAAATCATAAAAATAAATATTTGAAGTCACTGGAAAACAAACAAAGGCGAGCAGAAATGTAATAGTGCTTTGATCTTGAGACTATCTATTGGGTAAAAGCTGCAAGTTGGTGGCCTTTCCTCCTTACCTATGAGTTTGCTCCAAACTCCCAGCAGGTAACTGCAGCCCTAATGGATCAATAGGGCAGTTTATAGAGTTAAAAGCCCAAATAAGCTAAAAATGTTTACATTTTTACATGTTTACATCAGTCAGGCAATTTTGAAAGAGATCTGCTGAAGAATTCAGATTCAAAATCTGAATACAAACTATGCTCACATCCCTGGTTGAACACTAAACTCCCCATGGGTGTGGGACACTCAGGGGAACCTGGGGAAAAATCAGAAAGAACCTAGAGTGAGGTCTACCCTTGAAAGAGTGAAATAATCCTGGCAATATCTGAAAGTCTGCAGTAACATAGACTGCTTGCATTTGTCAACCTGCATACAACACAGGCAGAAGAAAGCAAAAATCTTACTGGACTGAGGGGTGAAAAGGCAGGATGCAGGACAATTTAGAGGGGATTCCAGAAGCAAAACAAACACAGAGAAGCTGAATTGCAAAATCTTAGCAGAAATAGCCCCAGTACTTGTTAGTCCATGTTGTGTTGCTATAAATACCTGAGAGTGGGTAATTTATAAAGAAAAGAGGTTTATTTGGCTCATGGCTATATAGGTTGTACAAACATGGCACCAGCATCTCTTCAGCTTCTGGTGAGACCTCAGGAGCCTTTTACTCCTGGTGGAAGGGGAAGGGGGACCAGGCATGTCACATGGCAAAAGAGGAACAGGGTGGGAGGAGCCAGATTCTTCTAAACAACCAACTCTCTTTCAAAATAATAGAGCAGGGGCCGGATGTGGTGGCTCATGCCTGTAATCCCAGCACTTTGGGAGGCCGAGGCGGGTGGATCACGAGGTCAGGAGTTCGAGACCAGCCTGGCCAATATGGTGAAACCCCATCCTTACTAAAAATACAAAAATTAGCTTGGCATGGTGGCATGTGCCTGTAGTCCCAGCTACTCAGGAGGCTGAGGCAGAAGAATCACTTGAACCCAGGAGGTGGAGGTTGCAGTGAGCCAAGATCGCACCACTGCTCTCCAGGCTGGGCAACAGAGCGAGACTCTGTCTCAAAATAATAATAATAATAATAATAATAATAAAGCGAAGAGAACTTACTTATGACTGTGGGGAGGGCACCAAGCCATTCATGAGGGATCTACCCCCATGACCCAAACAGCTTCCACTAGGCCCCACCTGCAGCATTGGGGATTACATTTCAACATGAGGTTTGGCAGGGACAAATATTACAAAGATGCAGAGTAGACACCCAGAGCCCCCTGCTGAAAATGCAGCAACTGGATATCGGTAAACAGAGCAGAAACATCAGCTGTAGCCAACTGCAGGGGTAACAGATTTCACAGTTACCAGTGCAGGGAAAGTTAACCACGTTCACTGAGGGGCAGGGGTGGTGGTGGTGGGAGAATTGCCATCTTTAGAGAGATTGTTGTAGATTCCAGACTCTCTAAAACAAAACATATAATGTCCACTTTATCAAATAGGATCAGACATAGAAAGAAAAGAAAGAAATGTGTGACTATAATAAGGAGGAAATTAAAAATAAATGGGTTTCAATGGGTCCAGATATTGAAATTATCAGCAAACTCTTTAAGACAGTTTTGAAAAATATGTGGAAAGAAATGAAGGAAATATCATTTCTAAAGAGTGAATAGAAGTAATTGCAGCAGAGAAATGAAAACTATAGATGGTACTAAGTGGAAATTCTCAAACTGGATAGAAAAATAATGACAGTGCTCTGGATGAGGTCAACAGAAGTTTTGAGATGGCAGAATAAAGAATCAGTCAGTGTCCTTGAATATAAATCAACAGAAATTGTCTAATCTAAAAATAAAAAAGAGTGAAATAAGATTAAAGAAAAGTGAAGAAAACTTCACAAACCCTCAGAAAATATAAAGCAGGTAAACAGGTGACCAATTGGAGTCCCAAAAGAAGATAGACACAGGATCAGAAAAAAAATTCAAAAAAATCTATGGCTGAAAGATTCCCAAATTTGATGAAGAATTTTAGCTTATAGATGTAAGACACTCATCAAAGCTGAATACCCACATAGAAAATCATAGGTAGAGTGGCCATGGCCTTGGCTGGCCTGAGGGTGTGTCGCTAGCCCTGCTGCATGTGGTGTGGTGCAGGGTGCCAGTGCCTGGTGGGACCAGAGAGCTCCCAGCACAGCCTTTGGGCAGGTGGGACCGCCGATCATTTTAAAATAATTTTTTATTGATTTAACTTATATTTTGAGTTCAGGCATACATGTGCAGGTTTATTATATAGGTAAACTTGTATCATGGGGTTTGCTGTACAGATTATTTTGTTACCTAGGCATTAAGCCTAGTACCTATTAGTTACTTTTCCTGATCCTCTCCCTCCTCCCAGCCTCCACTCTCTGGTAGGCCCCAGTGTGTGCAGTTCCCTTCTATATGTCCATGTGTTCTCATCATTTAGCTCCCACTTATAAGTGAGAACATGTGGTATTCGGTTTTCTTTTCCCGCATTAATTTGCTAAGGATAATGGCCTCCAGCTCCATCCATGTTCCGCAAAGGACAAGAACTCATTCTTTTTTATGGCCACATAGTATTCCATGATGTATATGCACTACATTTTCTTAAAAGAGAGCAGGAGTGGCTATTCTTATACAAAACAAAAACAGACTTTAAAGCAACAACAGTAAAAAAAAAAAAAAAGACAAAGAAGGACATTATATAATGATAGAATGATAATTCCAACAAGAAGATATCACAGTCCTAAATTTATATGCACCTAACAGTGGAGCTCCCAGCTTTATAAAACAGTTACTACTAGACTTAAGAAATGAGATAGACAGCAAGACAATAATAGCAGGGGACATCAATACTCCACTGATAGCTCTAGACAGATCATCAAGACACAAAGTCAACAAAGAAACAATGATCTTAAACCATATCCTACAACAAATGGACTTAACAGATATTTACAGAACATTTCTTCCCAGTAACTGTAGAATATACATTCTTCTCATCAGCACATGGAACATTCTCCAAGATAGACCATATGATAGACCTCAACACAAGTCTAAACAAATTTAAGAAAACTGAAATCCTATAAAGTATCTTCACAGACCAGAGTGGAATAAAACTGGAAATCAACTCCAAAATGAAACTTAAAAACTGTATGAGTACATGGAAATTAAATAACCTATTCTTGGATGATTTTTCAGTTAACAATGAAATCAAGATGGAAATTTAAAAATTCTCTGAAATGAATGATAATAGTGTCACAAGTAATCAAAATCTCTGGGATATAGCCAAAGCAGTGAAAATAAGAAAGTTCATAGCAATAAGTGCTGACTTAAAAAAGCCTGAAAGAGCCCGGGCACAGTGGCTTATGCCTGTAATCCCAGCACTTTGAGAGGCTGAGGCAGGTGGATCAGTTAAGGTCAGGGGTTTGAGACCAGCCTGACCAACATGGTGAAACCTTGTCTCTACTAAAAATACAAAAATTAGCTAGGCGTGGTGGCACGCGCCTTTAATCCCAGCTACTCAGGAGGCTGAGGAAGGAGAATCACTTGAATCCAGGAGGTCGAGGTTGCAGTGAGCTGAGATTGCGCCACTGCACTCCAGCCTGGGCAACAGAGTGAGACTTCATCTGGGAAGGAAAAAAAAAATCTGAATAAGCACAAATTGAAAACCTAATGTCACACCTCAAGGAACTGGAGAAATAAAAACAAATGAAACCCAAAGCCAGCATAAAAAAGAAATAATAAAGATCAGAGCAGAAATAAATGAAACTGAAACAAAAATAATACAAGAGATAAATGAAAAAAAAGTTGGGTCTTTGAAAAGGTAAACAAAATCAATAGACCATTGGTGAGGTTAACCAAGAAAAGGAGAGAAGATCCAAATAAGCTCAATTAGAAAACAAACTGGAGATATTACAACTAATACCACAGAAACACAAAAGTTAATTCAAGGCTACTATGAACACCTTTACACACACCAGCTAGAAAATCTAAAAACTGATAAATTCCTGGAAACATACAACCCTCCTAGACTAAATCAGGAAGAAATAGAAATCATGAGCAGACCAATAACAAGCAGTGAGACTGAAACAGTAATAAAAAAAACTGTCAACAAAAAAAAGCCTAGGACCAGATGGGTTCCCAGACAAATTCCATTAGACATTCAAAAAATTGGTACCAATCCTACTGAAACTATTCCAAAAGATAGAGAAAAAGGGAATCCTCCCTAAATCATTCTATGAAGACAGTATCACCCTAATGCCAAAAGTAGGAAAGGACATAACAAAAAAGAAAAATACAGACCAATATCCCCAATGAACATACATGCAAAAATGTTCAACACAATACTAGCTAACCAAATCCAGTAGCCTATCAAAAAAATAATACACCATGTTGAAGTGGGTTTCATCCCAGGGATGCAGAGATGGTTTAACATATGCAAGTCAATAAATGTGATACACCACATAAACAGAATTAAAAACAACAATCATATGATTATCTCAATAGATGCAGAAAAAGCATTTGATAAAATCTAGCATTGCTTTATGATAAAAACCTTCAACAAAATAGGCATAGAAGGGACTTACCTCAAAGTCATGAAAGTCATATATGACAAACTCACAGCCAACATCATAGTGAATGGGGAAAAGTTGAAAGCATTCCTCCAAGGACTGAAACAAGGCAAGGATGCCCACGTGCACCACTTCTATTCAACACAGTATTGCAAGTTCTAGCCAGAGCAATCAAGCAAGAGAAAGAAATAATGGGCATCCAAATTAGAAAAGAGGAAGTCAAACTGTCCCTGTTCACTGATGATATGATCGTATACCTAGAAAATACTAAGACTCATCCAAAAGACCCATAGATCTGATAAACAAATTTAGTAAAGTCTCAGGTCACAAAATCAATGTACACAAATCAGGAGCATTGCTATACACCAACAACGACCAAGTGAGAATCAAATCAAGAACTCAATCCCTTTTACAACAGCTGCAAAAACAAACAACAACAACAACAACAAAAACCTCCAAAAAAACAACACCCCCCAAAACCTAGGAATATACTTAACCAAGGAGGTGAAAGATCTCTGCAAGGAAAACTAAAAAACACTGCTGAAAGAAATCATAGATGACACAAACACATGGAAACACATCCCATGCTCATAGATGAATAGAATCAATATTGTGAAAATGACCATACTGCCCAAAGCAATCTATAGATTCAGTGCAATTTTCATCAAAATACCATCATCATTCTTCACAGAACTGGAGCAAACAACCCCAAAATTCATGTGGAACCAAAAAAGAGCCCACGTATCCAAAGCAATACTAAGCAAAAATAACAAATCTGGAAGCGACCCATTAACAGACTTCAAGTTACACTACGAGGCTATCGTTACCAAAACAGCATCATACTGGTATAAAATAGGCACTTCAGCTGGGCACGGTGGCTCACGCCTGTAATCCCAGCACTTCGGGAGGTAGAGGCAGACAAATCACCTGAGGTCAAGAGTTCGAGACTAGCCTAGCCAACATGATAAAACACCATCTCTACTAAAAATACAAAAAAAATTATCTGGGCGTGGTGGTGGGCACCTGTAATCCCAGCTATTTAGGAGGCTGAGGCAGGAGAATCACTTGAACCTGGGAGGCAGAGGTTGCAATGAGCTGAGATCGTGCCATTGCAATCCAGTCTGGGCAACAAGAGTGAAACTCCATCTCAAAATAAGATAAAATAAAAAATAGGCGCTTAGACCAATGGAATGGAATAGACAATCCAGAAATAAAGCCAGATGCCAACAGCTAACTGATCTTTGACAAAGCATACAAAAACATAAATTGGGAAAAGCACATCCTATTCAATAGAGAGTGCTGGGAAAACTGGCAAGCCACATATAGAATGAAACTGTATCTCCATCTCTCACTTTATATAAATGTCAACTCAAAATGGATCAAAGACTTAAACCTAAAACCTAAAACCTAAAACCATAAAAATCTTAGAAGATAACATGATAACATTAAAAAACTCTTCTGGACATTGGCTTAGGCAAAAAATTCATGACTAAGACCCCGAAAACAAACACAACAAAAATAAAAATAAATAAATGAGACCTGGTTGAATGATAAAGCTTCTACACAGCAAAAGAAATAATCAGCAGAGTAAACAGACAACCCACACAGTAGGGGAAAATATTCACAGACTATACATCCAACAAAGGACTAATATCCAGAATCTACAAGGAACGCAAAGAAATCAGCAAGAAAAAAACAAATAATCCCATCAAAAACTGGGCAAAGGACATGAATTGACAGTTCTCAAAAGAAGATATACAAATAGCCAACAATCATGAAAAATTGCTCAAGGTAACTAATCATCAGGGAAATGCAAATTATAAGTACAAGATACCACCTTACTCCTGCAAAAATTGCCATAATTAAAAAATTTTTAAAAACCACAGTAGATGTTTGTGTGGATGTGGTGAAAAGGGAACACTTTTGCACTGCTGGTGGGAATGTAGATTAGTAAAACCACTTTGGAAAGCAGTATGGACATTATTTAAAGAACTGCAAGTAGATCTACCATTCAATCCAGCAATCCCACTGCTGGATATCTACCCAAAGGAAGTCATTATATGAAAACGACACATGCACGTGCATGTTTACAGCAGCACACTTCACGATTGCAATGACATGAAAACAAAGTAAGTGTCCATCGACCAACAAGTGGACAAAGAAAATGTGGTATATGTACACCATGGAGTATTACTTAGCCATAACAAGGAACAAAATAATGTGTTTTGCAACAACCTAGATGGAGATGGAGGCCATTATTCTAAGTGAGGTAACTCAGGAATGGAAAACCAAATACTGTATGTTCTCACTTATAAGTGGGAGCTAAGCTAGGAGGATGCAAAGACATATAGAGCGATATAATGGACTTTGGGGACTCAAGGGACAGGCTGAGAGGGGAGTGAGATAAAAGACTACATATTGGGTACAGTGTATATTGCTTGGGTGACAGGTGCACTAAAGTCTCAGAATTCACCACTAAAGAACTCATCCATTAAACCAAAACCCACCTGTACCCCAAAAAACTATTGAAATAAAATAAAACTTCATAGGGCAAACAACAACAAAAACAACAACAACAAAGAAAATAAATAAATCATACAAAAAATATTTAAGATCTCTGAAATCCAAGACACTAGAAATCAAGAGACACTGTGGAAAGAGTACATAGAAGACCTAAATAAATAGATCCCCTGTTCATGGGGAGCAAGATTTAACATTGTTAAAATGCAACACTCCCCAAATTAACCCAGAGATTTAAAAAAAAACTAACAAAATTCTAGGAGGCTTTTTGATAGAAATTTATGAGCTGATTTACAAATTTATATGAAAACATAAAAGGTCTAGAATAACTCATGCAATTTATTTTTTAAAAATTTTAGAGAAAGAGTCTTTCTATATTACCCCATGTTGGCTTCTAACTTCTGGGCTCAAGGGATCCATCCACCTCAGCCCCCCGGTAGCTGAGACTACAGTCATGCACTACCATGTGCAGCTAATTTTTCATTTTTTTTCAGGACAAGTTTTGCTATGTTGTCCGGGTTAGTCTTGAACTCCTGGGCTCAAGGTGTCCTCCCATCTCAGTCTCTTGAGTAGCTGAGACTACAGGCATGTTATCATAGTCAGTACAATTTAAGTAATTTCTAAAAAGATGAACAAAGTTATAGGAGTTATTTTGACTAAAAAAGCTGAGATAATTTATTATGTTAATAAATATTCTTGTACAATTACACCTATTAATTACTTTTAAAATTTCTGCTTCACATCTCTGCAACCTTGGGCTTAGTGGATTTCCCAGGAAAGAAATGCTTCCACCAAATAAGAACCTCAGCTGGCCATTTTATATTTCCATAAAATATAGTGGTATGAGGGTTCTAATTTCTGCTTATCTTTCCTAACATTTATTTTCATTTTAAAAAAATTATTATTATAGCCATATTATTGTGGTTTAATTTGCATTTCTTTAATGGCTAATGATGTTGAGTATCTTTTCCTGTGTATATTGGCGGTTTATGTATCTTCTTTGAAGAAATGACTTTTCAATTTCTTTGCCCATTTTGTAATGGGATTATTTGTCATTTTGTTATTGATGTTTAAAGGGTTCTTTGTGTATCCAAACACTTGACCCATATGAGATATGTAATAGGCAAATATTTTCTGCCATTGTATGGATTGCCTTTTCACTGTATTGATAGTGTTCTCTGATGCATAAAAGTTTTGGTTTGATGAAGTTCAATTTATCTATTCGACTCTATAACCATACCCAGGGCAGGATCAGGAAAACAAGGACAGGAGACGTGCAGGGGCTGGACCACCTTCCCTCTTGGGTGACTGGAGGTCTGTCCTCAGCAGTCTTTCCCTTCTGACCTATGACTTCTGGGAATCGGGTCCCCATCTCTAGAATCATCAAGGTGATGACTGGTCCTTTATTTTCACAAGTGCTTTACGTTACAGAAATTTCAGCAAGCAGGGACTATGACTGGGTAAGCATGAGTGTTTGTGTTTTGTGTGTGTGTGTCTGTGTGTGTGGTGGGGGGCGGGGTATGTGGGGTACATTTTATTATCAATGCAGAATGGAACATGACAATGCAGATCCCAGTCCTTACATACCAGAGCTCTTCTTCCGCTTCATCGCAAGTGTAGCCACCACAGCTCAAGTAACCACATCTCCAATGAAATTTGATAGTGCATACCAGAGTATCTTAGTTTTTAATCTCCCTAAAAGTATACCATGTCACTCATAGATTGAATATATCAAAGTTGTCTTCATATGGAAGCCATGAATTTGTCTATATGGGTCTCAGACATATCATTGAAATATAGCATGCCCAAGAAAGTTTAATTAATGTGTATTTGAACAACTACAGTGTATAGACATCAACCAAAATATGAATTATCAGTTCATAGTATCAAGTCTTCATAAATGCACATCACTGTTGCCAATCCATGTCTATATTTCACTGGAAATCTGGCATAATATTTTCTTTACTTTGGTGAATGTAAGAAGGCAAATAAGTCTTGAGTACTCATCCTAAGTTGTATTTATTGGATACCACATATATTAAGTACCCTACAGACCCAGTAGACACATTTCAAAAATTATAAAATAATTAAACCTTACAATCCCATCGCATTAGTAATCTTTACTTTTCCACAACTTGAAACAATTCTATGTCCTTCAACTCTCGGACCCCTTTCCTCATCGTCTCTTCCTAGGTCAAATATGTATGAAGTTTTCACAACTCTGGAGTGCAGATGTTCTAAGCATGACCAAAATGTGAAAAGTGATGAAGAATGATGATAATCATTTTGACTACTTACAAATTAAAAAAAATCTCTTTGGCATCCACAAACACAGAAATGTACAAACACTTTCCCATAATCAACCTCAAAGACATGTAAACAGTTGATGGACAAAATAGTAACAATGTGTTAATACCCTTCAGCCCAAGGCCACCTGGAGCACATCTGTGGGTGAAGAAGTTGGGTTTATTACTCACTGCAGTGGGAGGGAGAATGCACACCTTGGATAACTACCGAGTATCTTGGTAAGTGCCTTTTAGATAGAGCCTATTATAATATTTGGGCTTCAGCTGGTATTTCAAGTTTCCCTGGGATTTAATTAATTAGTAGTTATGACTGAATGATGACACAGAGAGGTCTATGCCACTGAAAAAAGAGTTTATTACCCACTGACATAGGAAGCACAGCACAACAGGCAGCACCAAGGCTGGTCAAGTGGCAACGGGAGGGGAAAGCATGGGCGAGAGCCTCTAATGTGGTTTTTAGGGGAATGAATGAGCAAGGCAGGGTAAGCAGTGTAGACATGTTCAGTATTGATGAGTCTGAATAATCTTGGTGACTCTGAGGCATAGGGATTGTCTCTAGTTGTCTGATACCTGTCTCTCAGATTATTAAGACAGGAGAATATTGACTGGGAGTATCGGGGCCATGTGACAGCCAGAAAAAAAGAACTCATTCTGAGTTTGGGCTCTGGTTTGGTTAGTTTGCATAAGAAAGGCGCATTTGCGGTCAATCCCTTTAGTATCTGTAGGAATAGACTAGTCTTGGGAGGGGAGTCCTCACAATCAGTGAGGACTCAGATGCCAGAGCATGAGAATAAGGAAAAAAAGAAAATACAGATAACACAGTTGAGAAATTCTATTTTATTTTATTGCTCTAGATTGAGTACTGTCAGTAAGCAGAGGCAATTCTACAATTCGGTATTTCAATAAATCTTACCTTTAGGGAGGGTGGACTAGAGTGCAGATAAAGCTCAATCCGTAGAGAAGCATCAGCCACTCATACTAGCCGGGAGAGGGTTTAGACAAAATTATGAAGTACTTTTGTTTCGCCTCACTTTCTCATGGGCTGAGAGTGATCCAGTGTGGTGTTGGTATTTTGTGATATAATTTATGTCCCAGAGGGACTAATATGGCCCAGTAGTGAAGACCAGACCAGCTCCTGGCAACATTGATGCCCAGCTGTGCCAGACAAGTTCCCAGATATTAGGGGCTGCTTTTTCTTGATTAAATTCAATATTTAAAAATATCAGCATTACGTTTGAGAAATGATTAAGAAATGTCATATAGTTATATTAGTAATAAATATGTGCAAAAAATAAGAATGTAGACTACAAAATGGGAACCAGAATTAAAATCCATCAGCTTGGCAAAGACAGAAGTAAATGATGGTAGTATTGATCAGAGTACAGGGAAAATGTACTGTTACGAAGACTGATGGCATTGAAAAGTGGTACAAAACTTCTAAAGGGCACTTTTGCAAAATGTCTCAATAATTTAAATGTTCTGACGTTTTTGAGACAGAGTCTTGCTCTGTCGCCCAGGCTGGAGTGCAGTGGCACAATCTTGACTTATTGAAGCCTCCACCTCCTGGGTTCAAGCGATTCTCCTGCCTCAGCCTCCCGCGTAGCTGGGACTACAGGTGCGTGCCACCACGCCCAGCTAATTTTTGTAATTTTAGTAGAAATGGGGTTTCACCATGATGGCCAGGCTCATCTCAAATCCTTGACCTCAAGTGATCCACCCGCCTTGGTCTCCCAAAGTGCTGGGATTACAGGGGTGAGGGATTGCGCCGGGCCTAAGTGTTCTGACATTTTGACATGAAAATTTCTCTTTTAGGAATTTATCCCAAGGAAATAATTACATATCTTTCTAAAAACGCATATATAGGCCGGGCGCGGTGGCTCATGCCTGTAATCCCAGCACTTTGGGAGGCCGAGGCAGGTGGATTACGAGGTCAGGAGTTCAAGATCAGCCTGGCCAACATGGTGAAACCCCGTCTCTACTAAAAACTACAAAAATTAGCCGAGCGTGGTGGCAGACACCTGTGGTTCCGGCTACTCGGGAGGCTGAGGCAGAAGAATTGCTTGAACCCGGGAGGTGGAGGTTGCAGTGAGCTGCGATCATGTCACTGCACTTCAGCCTGGGTGACAGGTCGAGACTCTGTCCCAAAACAAAAACAAAAAAACCACATATATAAGAATGTTCCTTGAATTGTGGTTTATAAAAGCAAAATAATGGAAATAACCCAAAGATTGTAATGAATATAGTGATGATAGTTATCAATAATGGAGCATTTAGTATGACTCAGAAAATAATGCCATGGCTTTACATAGAGAGTCAGATTTAATCCTCAATGCAAACCCATGGGGAACTCAATATGTGATCCTTTGTACAGACAGGGAAGGAGAGAGGTAAAGAAGGTGGTGGGGCTAGGGTTGAACCCTGGAGATTTTCTCTCAGAGGCCTTGTTGACTTGTCTTCCATTGATTCTCTCTTCATCTGCACCTTACACAAGTGAACTGTTTTGATGTCCCAGAATGTTCTATGGACAGGAGGCCACTGGCTCAGAGCTCAGGAAGACAAGAAGGGCAATGACTTAACTGCCAAATTCACGCAGAAGTCCGTTCATCCAGGGTGTATTTCCAGTGATCAGGAGATCTGCTAAGCACTTGAGGATATAATGAAGAGCAAGAGTAAAGTCTTGGAGATGGGGAGTTTTCAATATTGTAAGGAAGATAAATATTTAGCAAAAATTGCCCCAAGATTGTGAAATTGCTAATGAGCGTAAGGGAAAAGTTTGTGATATCATGAAAGCAGGTTACAAGGAGACCTAATGGGTCCCTACCACTATTACCAATTATGTGTGAAAGATGTAAGAAAACAACAGTTATGAGATTTGAACAAATTTATAAACAATTTCATGCAGAGAACTAGAAAGAGCTCTGGAATTTTAAAATATGATCATTGAAATAAAGAGTTTAAAAAATGAACTGAAATGAAAGTTGTGTGCTGCAAGGTAGTACAAAATAAAAACGTGATGCCAAGCATGATAGAACTTTAAGAATATTATACTATCAATTAAGGAATTCCAGCAGTCTCATAATATAAGTTCCAATAACCATAGAAAGTAATTAAAAGTAATTCAAGAAAATGTTTTGAAGGCTACTGACAAAAATGTATAGTGTGAATGGCTGCAACAAAGTTCTCAATACAGGAGATGGAAACAGACCCACACCAAGACTCATGACAACAAAATTTCAGAGAGTGAAAGACAGAGCAAGACCAATGGACAAAGGAATGGCAGGAGGTCTGGTCGTGTGTGTGCATTTCCTCCTTCCCGTCTGTCATTGTCCTTCCTCACCAGGCCTGCAGATCACCTGTGATGACTTGGCCTCTTGCCATCCCTAGCTGGGCAAACTCCATCATGGTGACACACGGGATGGCAGAAGTGCAAGGCCTCGTTTCTGCTGGATGAGCCTTCTGGAGACTGTCTCAGGGTTTTCTGAGAACTTCTTTAAAACCTGGTCTACGGGCATGCATTACCCCAGTTATTTTTTCCCTAAGTGAAAAATCAACCAGAGGAGATGATTTATTTTAATAGCCTTATTGCAGGAGAGGAAGGTGAAAAGTGTTTCTATTCATTGGCCCATTAGTTACAATGGGCAGAGGCCACTGAGCGAGCAGCGGGTGGTGGCAGTGATGACCACACGTTCTCACGGCAGCGCAACACTTTTGAGACAAGTTCCCACCTCTCCATTAAACATGTCTTCTCCACGTGCAGAAAATGTGGTCTCGTAGCTTCCCTTCTCAGTGCTGGATTGCTGGCATTTCATTTTCCTTATCAGAGACATGAATATCTTTGTTCTTCTTGGATTTCTAAGACTTCAGGTTTTCTTCAGGGAGAAGCTGCTTAGGGAGGCTCCTGCGTGGACCGAGTCCTTCCTGAGGGTTTGCTTGGTGCCCTAACTGTGGCTGACTGCCTCCCGCGGGGTCCCAACTTTATACCCAGAGGTAAGGACAGATGCTTCCAGCTCCATCTTATAACTTCCACATGAAATTTGAGGTCAGGAACTTCTCTTAACTCGTCTTAAAGGGCCTCATACTTACATTCTTGACTCGGAAAATAATTAAGTGTGCGTTTGAACATGTTTCCTCCGCAATTTACTCTCTGGAGGGGAATACATTGAAAACCCAGTTTATTTTCAGATACTGAGTGGGATTGAAAAGCTGAATTGTTTGTTTTCCTGCAGGGCACACAGAGGAACTGGCTATCCCACACCACTCTGACATTTCCAGAGAAGCACCGTCCTCTTCCAGTAGGACATGAGTAAGACCAGTGAGGAGCCAACATGCAGCCCCTGGGCATCTCTGGGGTTGAAGGAAAGATATATATGTCCTTCTGATGTGTGGAGCCCTGAGGGCAGTGTTCAAGACCCTGCATTTTCCGAAGTACTTGTTTACTGAGCAAGTGTTTCTGCTTGTTGCATTATGTCAGGGGATATGGAAGCCACTTTTCATCCAGCCAAACACAGATGCAAATGAGATGTTCTGGGAGAAAGCAGAAAAAGCCCTTTTCACAGAGTTCCTTATTTTACTATTCTATTACACTTGTCTGAGGTTACAATCACATCCTTTTTTAACAATCTCTCAATGAGAAAATCATCAAAAGGGTATGTAGTGAGTGACAGACACAGGATAAATGCTGTAAGTCAGTGTTTGATGAAAGATACTGGTGTTCCAGGATGTCAGAGTCTCCTGGGTGCCAGTAGGGAGGTGGTCAGGGACTTTATCCAAGAAGCAGAAAGAAGAGCTTCAGGGACATGAGGATGTCTCATAGCCAAGGACAGGACAGTAAAGGGCCCCGTGTGAGTGCATCACAGAGGTCTGTTACTGTTCAGACCCCAAAGCTCAGCACCCAGTGTGGCATGTGGCAAGACCTCAGCAAACACATCAGTTGGCTGGATGAAGGAGGGCAGGTGTGAGCCGACAAGGAAAATCTTGTGATTTTTGTTGGGAAATGAATGTAAAAGTGTTGATGTACCTCCCTTGTAAGGAGATAGAAAGGTAGAGAGCAGACAGATGCATGCATGGATGAATGCATGGATGGATGGATGGTTGGATGGACGGATGGATGTTCATTTTCTGTGTGTGTTTCTATCTCTGTTCTGCCTTTCTGTTTTGTCTCTGGCTCTGTCTGTATCTGCCATTGTCCCTTCACAACCATGCCTTCACTATTATCAGTAACATCTTTTACCTGGTCTTATAGGATCTTGCCTGTGTTGTATTAGTGGTCAAGGACAGAAAAAAGAAAGAAGTCTGTGGAAAACAAAATAAAGGAAACAGATGCTTCTGACATGCGGCAGTGGAAGGATGTGTGGACCTGAGGCCCCCAGGGAGACAGGGGCTGCGCCTCACTGCAAAGTCGATCCTGCTGAACACAGAGGGGAAACGCGCTCAGACAGCCCTGCCCGTGCTGATCAGAAGGGAGGGTTGCGCCTCCAGATCCTTCTCCCTGTGTTTCTTCAGGGCCCAGCCCTGAGAGTTCCAGGGTCCCATTTTCTTAGTTAGGACCTTAAGACCCTATCAGAGTCCAGCCCCAGGAAGCCTGCAGTCATAGCACTGGGCTAGACCAAGTTGCTGCTATGAAAAGGGATTTGAAAATTCCCAGAGGAGCCTTTCAGCCTCTTTCCATGGCTCTTTATGCCCTTTCAAAGGCACAGCCAGAGACATCAGAAATGAAATTGTATATAATTATATGGACTTTTCGACAATCATTGAAATTTCTGTAAGTGCCAGTTACATTTTGGCAACCCCATCAAAGCCAGGTGTGCCCAGGGCAGTCAGCTCAGGCCCTGGCCTCTCATTCAGGTTGGATTCTATAAGAACCGCATTCGCGGTGAGAATTCTAGAGCCAGATCTTGCTGCTCCACAATTGCCTCACGTTGCAAGACAAGCAAATCTAGCCTGAGTCTGTGGATTCCAGGGCTGCTTAGGAGGAACCTCCATTCCCGCGTGGATGACCTCAGGCTCCGCCCCTTCTGCCCCACTCAGCCCTCACCCAGTGCCTGAGAGCGCTCAATCAGAATGCGAGAGCAGCGCGGCGGCGCCCCCGTGTGGCCACAGGGACGAGGACAGAGGACCGGACCCCGCTCCCCTTTCTCACCAACCAGGACCTCCGAGGCTCTCCCTCTGCTCCCAGCACCTGGACAGGGCTCTGCACTCAAGGAGCCTCCGGGTCTCAAGTCAGGCTCTGAGTCCATTCAGCTTCCCAAAATCCATGTTGACAATGACATTTCCTCTCACCACTGAGTGACTGGACTTTTGCCTCAGAGCAGAGAGAGGCCTCCAGGGCAAAACAGTGGGATCAGATGTGGGGATGACACACCCCCAAATCCTTGCTGCCACAGGACCCAGTCCCTCAGCCTCCAGATGGGGCCTTGGCCTCCCGTCCCCTCCTTTGTTCCTGCTGCTAGAGGCTGCTCATCTCAGGAATCAGCCTGTTAGCCTCCAACCCTGGGGTCCAGGGACAGCAGCTCCTAGTGCCTCGGTCCAGGAAGAAGGGAACCTCCAGAGAGCAGAAGAGAGAAGAAATGGATCATAAGAGAAGGGGGCAAGGGGGGAGAAAGAGAGTGAAAGGAGCCAGGGAGGAGAGAAAAATGGAAAACATCCTGTTAGGAATGTGTGTGTTTGTGTTGATGTGTGTGCGTGCAGGTGTGTGTAGAGTGGGAGAGAGTTTCTAGGGTTCTGAGGAGAAGAGAGCTGCTATACAGGTGCTAAGGGGCCCAGCCCTGGGAATTTCAGGGTCCCGCTTTCTGAGCTAGGATCTTAAGGCCCTATCAGAGTCCACCCCCAGGAAGCCTGCAGTCATAGCACTGGGCTAGCTGGACGGCTGCCTCTTCTTTGCCTTTGACAGCAGGAGCTGCCATGCCAGGCCCAGGGGCCCTGGGGTCATGGGCAGAGAGCAGGTCCCTCTGCTGGCAGCCAAGGAGATGTTGTTCTTGGAGGGTCAAAGACTTACTTAGCTGGGAGTCTGAAGGTGGTCATGGGTTACAAAGGGGTTACAAAGAGCTCAGCGGTGAGCCTGGCCCAAGCTTCTGACCCCTTTCTTTGGATCTCAAGGGCTGACCATGGATTCTCAATGGATCTCAAGAATTCGCCCATTTACCTCTTGCCCCAGACCCTCCCCACTTCGATACCCTGGGACCCAGGCATCTGCCTCTTTCCTTCTCCTCCGGCCTCCCAAGCACCTCCAGGCCCTGCTCTCTGCCAACCTGAACTCCAGGACCCTGCAGCCCCACCCCAAAATTGCTTGATAATACAGTGATTCTATTTTCAGTGTTTTGAAAACTCTCTATACTGTTTTTTACAGTTGCTGCACTAGTTTTACACACTGTGTGTAAGAGTGCCCTTTTCTCCACATCCTCACAAACATCTATTTGTTTGTTTGTTTTTTTTTGTCTTTTTAGTTGTACCCATTCTATCTGGGGGTAAGATGATATCTCATTGTGGTTTTGACTTGCATTTCCCTGATGATAAGTGATGTTGAGCATTTTTCATGTACCTGCTGGCCATTTGTATGTCTTCTTTTGAGAAATGTCTATTCATGTCGTTTGTCCACTTTTTAATAGAATTTTTTGGTTTTTTTAGCTCTTGAGTTCCTTACATATTCTGGATATTAGTCCCTTGTCAGATAAATTGTTTGAAAATATTTTCTCCCATTCAACAGGTTGTCTGTCTACTCTTTTGATGGTTTTCTTTGCTGCGCAGAAGCGTTTTAGTTTATTATAGTCCCATTTGTCTATTTTGTTTGGGTTGTCTGTGCTTCTGAAGTCTTAGCCATAAAATCGTTACCCAGACCAATGTCCTAGAATGTTTCTCATATGTTTGCTTCCAGTTGTTTTATAGTTTTGGGTCTTACGTCTAAGTATTTAATCCATCTTGAGTTGATATTTATATAGGGTGAGATATAGGGATCTAATTCCATTCTTCTGCATGTGGATATCCAATTTCCCCAGCACCATTTATTGAAGAGGGTGTCCTTTCCCCAAATGTATGTTCTTGGCACCTTTGTCAAGAATCAGTTGGCTGTAAATATATGGATTTATTTCCAGATTCTCTATTATGCTGCATTGATTGACATGTGTTTGTAGAGACGAGGTCTCAGTATGTTTCCCAGGCTGGTCTAGAACCTCTGGGCTCAAGTGGTTCACCCTCCTTGGCCTCCCAAAGTGCTGGGATTACAGGAGTGAGCCACAGTACCTGGCCTTTGTGCTGTGTTTTGATTCACCGTTATCTCCTAAGCCCTTTCCCAGCATTGATATTTTACTAAACACCCTATGATTAAATTATATCTCTACACCTTGAGATAAACAAAAAATTATATAAGCGGTAAAGACAAATATGAAAAAATAAAACTACTACCAATGTTATTAGGAGGATAACCTTAAAACATTTGAGCAAGAAAATTTTTCTTTTTTTCTTTTTTCTTTTTTTTTAGCTGTACCTGCTGGAATGGAAAATATTTCTTAAATGAGACAAATATATGAAAGTGAAAATGCTTAAACTTCAAAGGACTTACATTACATATATAGTCATTCTTTCTTAATGATAAGATAGGTTCTGAGAAATGTGTCCTTAGGTGATTTGGTCTTACGTGAACATCATAAAGTGTCCATACACAAAGCTAGATGATATAGCCTACTGCACACCTACGCTATATCATAAAGCTTATTGCTCCTAGGCTACAAACTTGGATAGCACATTACTATACTGAGTACTGTAGGCAATTGTAACACAATGGTAGGTATTTGTGGATCTAAACATATGTAAACAGAAAAAGTACAGTAAAAATATGGTAAAAAGATTTTTACAATGGCACACCTATATAGGTTACTCATCATGAATGGAGCTTACAGGACTGGAAGTTGCTCTGGGTGAGTCAGCAAGTGAGTGGTGAGTGAACTGAAGGCCTAGGCCATTACTGTGCACTACTGTAGATTTTATAAATGCTGTACACTTAGGCTACAATAAATTGATTTTAAAAATAATTTTCTTTCTTTAATAATAAATTAACCTTAGCTTAATGTAACTTTTTTAACTTTATAAACTTTAATTTTTAAAACTTTTCAGCTTTTGTAATAGCACTTAGCTTAAAAGACCAACATGTTACAAAGCTGTACAAAAATATTGTTCCTTATATTTTCATTCTAGAAACTTATTTCTATTTAATTTTTTTTTTACTTTTAAATCTTTTCTGTTAAAAAAAAAGACATAAATTAGCCTAGGCTGACACAGGGTTAGGATCAACAATATCACTATCTTTAGCCTTTACATCTTGTCCCACTGGAAGATTTTCAGGTGTAATAATATGCATGGAGCTGCCATCTCCTATGATAACAATGCCTTCTTCTGGAATACCTCCTAAAGGACCTGGCCGAGGCTGTTTCAAGTTTTTTTAATAATTAGAAGGAGCACACTCTAAAATAACAATAAAAAGTATAGTAAATATGTAAACCAGTAACATAGTCATTTATTATCATTATCAAGGATTATGTATTGTACATAACTGTATGTGCTAGACTTTTATAGGATTGACAGTGCAGTAGGTTTGTTTACACCAGCATCACCACAAACATATCATTAATGCATTGTACTATGATGTACAGTGTCACCTACAATGTCACTACAGAGAAGAAACCCCCAAAATCTGCACTCCTAAGCTGCATATGCTTTAGGTGATACTCTAAGAAGCCCACCAGAGAACAGTTGCTTGGAGATTGCATGCTAAGTAGAAATGCCAAAGGCTTCAGAGTATGAGGAGATGTTGGAATTTTAGCCCAGCCAAACCTGGGTTGAGCCAACAGGGTGGTGAAGCACTATGAGTGAGGACCCTTGCCTTGGAGTAAGGACCGCACTGAACTAGACTCATGTTAACAAAGGCTAAAATCAAGCCTAAGCAGAATCAAAGTGGGTCTGATTTTTATGATAATTAATGAACCGTCAAGCAGTTAGCAGTCTTAGCAGGAAGATAGCAAAATCCAGAACCTCTGTAACACATCACCCAGAATATGTGGCATGCCAAGCAGCAGAAAAAATGCAACAAGTGGAGATAAAATAATCAACAGAAGCCGACTCAGATGATCTGGATACTGAAGCCAGCGAGCAAGGACATTCTTCAATATATTTATGATTAATATGTTAAGGATAATAGAGGAAATCATGGGCAAACTATTTCATAATCCCCAGAAAGATCAATCATACAAAGAGAGAAAACACGAATGAACACTGTGAGAAGGGACAACTTATAAAACCACAGATTTTATTAAAATGAAAATAAGAGAATATTAGACACAACTTCATGACAATACCTTTTAAAATTTAGGTGCAATGAAATGAGTTCTTGAAAAACACAGTTGAACAAAGCCAACAGAAAACTAAGTAGAAAATATAAATAGTCCTCTATCCATTAAGAAATTGAATTTTAATTAAATTCCTTCCCACCAGAAAAACTTCTTACCACATTTCCTCCCATCAATTCTTTCAAAAACTTAAAAAAGGAATGTCAGTCCTATATAGTCATCCCTTGGTATCCTTTTGGGCTGGGTTCTAGGACCCCTGTGGATACCAAAATCTGTGGATTCTCTGGTCCCATGTATAAAATGGCCTACTATATGCCTACTACCTATGCATATCATCCCATATACTTTAAATCATCTCTAGATTACTTACAATACCTAGTGCAATGTACATGATTGTAAACAGTAGTTATACTATATTGTTTAGGAAATAACGACAAGAAAATGTCTGTACATCTTCAGTACAGATGTAACCACTGTCAGTAGGCCTAACTACAGAGTACACAACAGCAGCAACATAACATTTCCAATCCTCAGGTAGTTGAATTCACAGATGTGGAACACACAGACATGGAGGACAGACTGTCTTATATTTTATATAATGAAGAGTGGCCAGGCGCGGTGGCTCATGCCTGTAATCCCAGCACTTTGGGAGGCCGAGATGGGCAGATCACCTGAGGTCAGGAGTTCAAGACCAGCCTGGCCAACATGGTGAAACCTCATCTCTACTAAAAATACAAAAAAATTAGCTGGGCGTGATGACAGGTGCCTGTAATCCCAGCTACTCAAGAGACTAAGGCAGGAGAATCGCTTGAACCTGATAATTGCTAGGCTTTGAGTAAAGTAGTTTGACCTTTATAATGTGACCCTCCCTAAACAAGATGGAACTCTGCAGCAGACATCCTGGGATTTGAACTGCAATATCAGTCAACTGACCCACAAAGAGCTGGTTGGTTTGTGTACAGCATTTGCAAGATGAGTGGACAACATCCTGTTTGGAAGTCTACCCCTTTGATCAAAGAAGTTAAAAACAGGACAGTTTTTTTTTTTTTTTTTTTGGTTGAATTGCATGATGTTTTCTGAGAAGTGATGAAAGAATTGAACAATGACAAAAGTCCCTATGTCTTAGTTTTTACTGACTTATGGGCATTGACTGATGGCCTGGCCATATAATTAAGAGAGCAATGGAAAACTGGCCTATGAAAAGAATACCCGTATAGGACACAGTCCTGTGGAAATCACTATGGTAATTTGAGGGGTGCATTAATGTAAGGCGTGTTGATGTCTGATATAAATTGGGTGTTGTCCCCACCCAAATCTCATGTTGAGATATAATCCCCAGTGTTGGAGGTGAGGCCTCAAGGGAGGTGATTGCATCATGGGGGTGGCTTCTCATGAATCGTTTAGTACCATTCCCTCAGAATAGTTCAATTAGTTCAATGCCCCTCAGAATAACCCTCCTCCAGGTTTGGAAGGTGATTGAAATCAACAAGCATTTATTTCTAAGTGATTTCCAGGTGTACCTGTATTTCCAGCTACAAGAAGAACTGAGGCAGAAGGATCTCTTGAGCCCAGGAGTCTTAGTTTTGCCTGAGCAACTTTTGAGTCCAGGGAAAAATATCAATACCACATCTCAAAAAAATCCACGTTTGCTTGTGGTGATCACCTGGGTCCGTGAAATAAGTAGACACTGAGGGCTGCAGCAATGCAGAGATAGGCTGAATCAAGATATATTCCTTTTACATCCTCCAACTCACAGGCACGAAATACCCATAAGGACTGTTCTGTTTAAGAAGAGACAGAGACAGCATATGGCTATGTAGCAAATTCTCTCATGGGAAGGTCTTGAAAATAGATAGCTGGCAAATTAGACTGATACCAGTACCCCTAGGAGGCAGCAAATGGGTCTTGGCAGGAATAGATACTGACCCTGGAGTAAGCATTGCTTAGCTGGTGGTAGATGTGTTATCAAACTGAACTGGGGCCCACTCACCTGGTGCAATAAAGGCAAACATCCACACTGAGATTTTGTAGTGGGAGAAAGGAAGGCGTTTATTTGCAAGGCACCAAGCAAGGAGAATCGGGCAGCTCACACTTAAGACCTAACCTCCCCAATGGCTTACAAGCAAGAGTTTTTAAGGCAGGAGTAAATTTCAGCAAAGCCGAGTTGCAGGCAACATCAAAAATCAATGCATAGAAATTACACACTGGTTTGGCCTAAAAAGGTGGGATATCCTGATGAGGGATCGTACAGGTCATAGGTGGATTGAAAGATTCTCTGATTTGTGATTGGATAAGGAGCCAAAGCTTTGTCTACACACTTAGGGGCAGTAGGGAGGAATGTTCAGGTCTGCTCTGTGGACCTGACTCTTTCCAGGCCCCTCAGGAAAAAATTTAGAACAAAGAGTCACAGTCAGCATTGAGTCCTCATTTTCCCCTTATCTGAGGTCTCCCTATCAGTGGCTCTGTTTGGTGAGAGTCTGGGTTCCTGAAAAACTACTCAAGGACATATGTTAAGATGTTCTCTTTAGTTTCTATAGAGAATCAAACATCTTGGGACTCTAACTTCCTTGGCTATTGTTTAAGCTATTTTTACCTGCTTGCTTATAAGGTCACTCACTTGCTTTTCAGGGCTGGCTAGGTGCCTGGAATTTCTCTTGAAGGAACTCAACATTTTCCTTTATTTCCATGTTAGGGAGGTCTAGCAGGCTTCTAAGATAAATCCGTACTTCATCTCAGATGCAAATGCTTAGAGCACTATAATAGAACCTGGACGGGAGATATTGCAACCATTTGCATCACTGAGTCACATTTCTTCACACCAGGAAACACATTTGCCCAAAATGTCCAACAATGTTCAGAAAAATATTTTGCTCAGAGGAATAGTTTCATAGAGAATAAAAATAGTCAAATGACACATTACTTGTATAAAGCAGGAGTGGGGAGACATAAGCATGAAGGGCGGGCTTACACACGTTCATGAGTGGGCTCACACCAGACATGAGTGTGGAAAAAGGAGTGTCCCCACTAGAGAGTATCCTCTTTTTTCCTGCTGGATCAGGGAAAGGTGCTAGTATGACCTGACATACGATTTTTCCCATGACAAGAGGACACTGGAATGATGACTAGACTTCACCTCAACTCGCCTTTCTCATACCTGATTCAGTGGTCTTAGGACAAGGGATGCATATAAAAGTGCCAAAACAGGAATTATTCCTAAGCAAGAAAGTGTAAATATATTTTAAAACCATTATGCAAGAATTCCTCAGGGCCTGGAGGAGTAGGTTGTGCCTTCACTGCATCTGGCAAAGTTGGGGCTAACACTGAATGCAGCTATATTGCCTGGGGTCAGATAGCCAACTAGTTCTCTACCTGCATAACCCTACCCTCTATGAACTGGAATGGACCAACGAGAGACACTTGCTAGAACAGTATTGCTCCCTTCAGTCTAGGCCAGCACAGTAGCAGAACTTAATGTTTCTTCCAAAACTGTTAATGTTTGGTATAAATGAAGTAGAAGGAGGAATAGTAGCTGAGGGTAAATGAATGAATAAATGGGTTGTGTAATGAGGAAAATCCAATGTTACATGAACTCCCAAAAAAAAGAGGTATAAGCAAGAGATGATATTGTCTCTTGACAATGATGGTGCACCCCGTCTCCATGGGGACAGAGGGTCGTGTGCTCAGAGTGCTTCCAGATGTCGCCTCCTGCACTTCATCTGCCTGCTCATTTTTATCCTTTACAACTGCTATTGTTTGAATGTTTCCCCAGAAAAGCGTCTGTTGGAAACTTAATCCCCAGTGCAACAATGTTAAGAGATGGGACCTTTGAGAGGTGATTGGACCATCAGAGCTCTGCCTTCATTAATGAACTGATCAAGGCTGCCCTCATTAATGCTGATCATAAAGGACCTGAGCCTGTGAGTTCGACCTCTTACTCCCTCTAGCTCTCACCCTCTCTTGCGCTTCTCCCTTCTGCCAGATACATTCCCTTGATTTTGGAATTCCCATCCTCGACAACCATGAGCCAATTAAATTTGTGTTCATTGTAAGTTATCCAGTCTCAGGTGTTCTGTTATAGTGGCATAATTTAAACCAGGGGTCCCTAACTCCCCTGCAGTGGACCGGTACAGGTTTGTGGCCTGTTGGGAACCAGACCGCACAGCAGGAGGTGAAGGGTGGGCGAGAAAGCATGAGCATGACCGCCTGAGCTCCGCCTCTGGTCAGATCAGTGGTGGCATTAGATTCTCATGGGAGCACGAACCCTATTGTAAACTGTGCATGCGAGGGATTTAGGCTGCACGCTCCTTTATAAGACTCCAGTGCCTGATCATCTGAGGTGGAACAGTTTCATCCCGAAACCCATCCCCGCCTACCTGTGCCGCCTGCCCTGGTCAGTGGAAAAGTTTTATTCCATGAAACCAGTACTTGGTGCCAAATATGTTGAGGTAAGCTATGATTACCGCTGATTTAAGCTATGACAATAATAAACTGCAATACTGAGTGTGAAAGAAAGATAAAATCTTGGGACCCCAAACTCACAGTGCCAAAGGGAAAAGTTAAGTTTGGGAACTGAGTCATGGAAAAACTGCCTTTCTTTTGTTCCTAAACAAATACCTGCAAAGATAGAGGACCACATATCTCCCCAAGTGGCCTCCCTCACAATCTGCTCACAATGTAATTCCTTGTGGGCCCCAACATCTTTACCCTAAAACAGAGTTTTGTTGACTTTTCCCCTGACAATGTAAAGTAACAGCTTATCTTCACAGGTACAGGACAAAGACAAGACTAGAAATCATCCCTTCACCCACCCGGAGACAAACACATATTTTACTACTCTATGTTTACTTTAGCTTATGTAAAATTCAGATTTACTGAGCACAAGATGAATGCATAGTTGACTGTTTTTCCCCTTCTGCCTGCTCTTTCCCCTGTAAGTACTGAAGTCCTCAAAACCCTTTTAGGAAAAAGCGTGGGCCACAGATGCTAGTGATTTTTGTCTCTTTTTCCAAGGTGCATCTTGGAATGGGAGACTGGAGGGACCCATGGATCCCAACCCTGGACCTGGTTCCCCCAGTACAATCCATGAGCCAGTTGAATCTGAATGCGAAGATGGAACGACGACTGACCAGAGTCATGCTGACATCAACCCCCATAACATGGGGACTGATCAAGAAAACCACACAGGAAGCTGAGAAACTGCTGGAGTGCCAGGGTGTCACCTTTTGCTGGAACTCAGAAGTACAATCGATGTTTAACGGACCAGTGCTTTCTGACTCAGCTCCTCTCTACCCTGAATACAAGAGACCCTAATAGTTAGGCAGGAATATCATCGCCCTTATTCTGCATGAAGAAGTTGCAGAAGACAGACCTTCATCCTTCTGCAACCCTTAGGATTAAGCGTCCTCTTGTAAAAAGGGAAGGGGGAGATATGTAAGAAGCATTCAAACCACAGCAACTCTATTTTGAATAAGGGCTAAGAAAAATGAAGCTGGATCACCAACCGGCAATTAAGAGCTGCACAGCCTGCAATTACCTTGCTCAATTAATTTTAAAACAAAAAGGAGTAGATGTTGGAGGCCGCACGAATGTTTCTTATGATTTGCCACAATTGAAGCCTGCCAGTAACAATATGAACCTGTGATCAATTAAGCAGCTGACCAATCATTACCTCCTCCTCCTTGCCCTTATTACCCAGTAAATATGAAGGGCTAAGAAGCTCGGGCGGCGGCCTTTGCTCACTAGAAGCAGGGAGCTCTTTTCTTCTCGTCTCTCTTCTTCTTCCCCATGCTAGCCTTTCCTTAAAATGATGTAGGGTATCTGGCAGATAAAATTTCTAAGCAGCAAAGCATTCAAAGAGTGACTTGGGTGCTCCTAAAAGCATTCCATTTTCAAAGGGAAACAGAGCATAAAAGTTCAGAAAATTTACAGCCTGACAATGCAGTAGAAAAGAAAAACCCATTTTTTGAGGAGAAACTCAAGCTGGCTGCAGAAATTTGCATAAGTAACAACAAGCCAAGTGTTGATCCCCAAGACAAGGGGGAAAATGTCTCCAGGGCATGCCATAGGTCTTCATGGCAGCCCCTCTCATCACAGACCCAGAAGCATAGGAGGAAAAAATGGTTTCATGGGCAGGGCCCAGGGTCCCCATGCTATGTACAGCCTAGGGACTTGGTGCCCTGCATCCCAGATGCTCCCACTGTTGCTAAAAGGGGCCAAGGTACAGCTTGGTCTATGGCTCCAGAGGGTGCAAGCTTTAAGCCTTGACAGCTTCCATGTGGTTTTGAGCCTGCAGGTGCACAGAAGTCAAGAATGGAGGTTTGGGAACCTCCACCTAGATTTCAGAAGATGTATGGAAATGCTAGGATGCCCAGGCAAAAGTTTGCTGCAGGGGCAGGGCCCTCATGGAGAACCTCTGCTAGGGCAATGTGGAAGGGAAACGTGGGGCTGGAGCCCCCACACAGAGTCCCTACTGGGGCACTGCCTAGTGGAGCTGTAAGAAGAGGGCCACCGTGTTCCAGACCCCAAAATGGTAGATCCACCAACAGTTTGCACTGTGCATCTGGAAAAGTCACAGACACTCAGCGCCAGACTGTGAAAGCAGCCAGGAGGGAACATATACCCTGCAAAGCCACAGGGGCAGAGCTGCCCAAGATATGGGGACCTACCTCTTGCATCAGCATGACCTGGATGTGAGACATGGAGTCAAAGGAGATCATCTTGGGGCTTTAGAATTTGACTGCCCCACTGGATTTAGGACTTGCATGGGCCCTGTAACTCCTTTGTTTTGGCCAATTTCTCCCATTTGGAATGGCTGTATTTACCCAATACCTGTACCCCCATTGTATCTCGTAAGTAACTAGCTTGGTTTTGATTTTACAGGTTAATAGGTGGGAGGGACTTGCCTTGTCTCAGATGAGACTTTGGACTGTGGATTTCTGGGTTAATGCTGAAATGAGGAAAGACTTTGGGGGATTGTTGGGAAGGCATGATTGGTTTTGAAATGTGAGGACATGAGATTTGGAGGGGCCAGGGGTGGAATGATATGGTTTGGCTCTGTGTCCCCACCCAAATCTCATCTTGAATTATACTCCCATAATTCTTACATGTTGTAGGAGGGACCCAGTGGGAGATAATATGAATCATGGAGGCAGTTTCCCCCATACTGTTCTTGTGGTATTGAATAAGGCTCACAAGACCTGACGATTTTATCAGGGGTTTCCGCTTTTGTATCTTACTCATTTTCTCTTGCCACTGCTACGTAAAAAAAAATTCACCTCCTGCCATGATTCTGAGACCATCGAGCCATGTGGAATTGTAAGTCCAATTAAACTTCTTTTTCTTCCCAGTCTTGAGTATGTGTTTATCAGCAGTGTGAAAACGGACTAATATAGCTGGCTTCGTAGACTGAATTGAAAAAAACTGCCTACTTTAATTTCTAAAAGGTATGTGTAAAATTGATGTAATTTCTAAATTATATGTTTGATACAATTCATCAGTGAAGCCTTCTGGACCTAGACTTTCCTATATTAGAAGGATTTTGATTACAAATTCAATTTCTACAATCAATATATGGCTGACCACATTTTCTATCTCTTCTCAGGTCAGTTTTCATAAGTTTTCCCTCTCAAGGAAATTGTTCATTTCATTTGCTTGTCAAACTTATTGACATGAGATTATCAATATTTCTTTTTGAGATCTAGAGTGTGTACTGATGTTCTCTCTTTTATTGCTGACCTTGTTAATGTGTATGTTTTTGTCTTGATCAGTCTGGCTAGAAATTTATAAGGTGTACGATTTTTCCCTATAGAACCAATATTTGGATTCATTAATTTTCTCTTTCTGCTTCAGTTTTTTATTTTATTATTATTTCCTTCCTTCTGCATGCATTGGTTTAATTTGTTCTTCTTTGCTTCTTACAGGAGAAACTAATTTACTAATTTGAGACCTACCTTCTTTCTTAATATAGGCATTTAAGGATATCAGTTTTTTCTTCAGTACTGCTTGTTGGGAACAAATGCTCAGTGTTGTAAAGAAAGATCAGCACTGAGACAAAGGATCTCTCAGCAAGGCAATTGACTTCTGCAGAAAGGGTGCTACTTATGATGGAACGATGGCAAGTGCACACCTGAACAAAGGAGAGCAGGGGTTTTTTATAATCTCTTAATGCAGCTTGTCCCTGTAACTGTGTCTTGTCTCCATTGGCTGGAGCTGGACTGCACAATCTAAGCTGAACCTGGCTGGCTAACTTGAAAAGTGCAGGAATGTGGTTATACCAACAGAGAGTGCAGTCTTGGCGGGAGGAGCTGTTGCAACAGGAGGGTTAATCTATAGAGTGGGTAGCAGATGTGGGATGTGGTCTCCATAGATAAGGACTGGCGGGAAATTTGTTTACCAGGGCAGGGGATACAGAGCGTAAGGAAGTCTGGCCTTGAAAGCAGGGAACAAAGAGCCAGGATGCTGAGCAAGTTAACCCTTAAAGAGGAACTCTTTTTATATCTAACACTACTTCAACTGCATCCCATACATTTGATATGTTGTGCTTCAGTATTCTTCAGAAAACAGAAGACTTTCTAATTTCTCCTGTGATTTCCTCTTTGAATAAGTTGTTATTCAGAATTTTGATGTTTAATTTCCAATCCTTGGTATTTTCATGATCGTCCGTCTTAGTCAATCTGGGCAGTTATAAAAGAATTCCATAGTCTATGTGGCTTGCATACAACAGAAATCTATTTCTCACAGTTCCGGAGGCTGGGAAGTCAAAGATCAAGGCCTGGGAAAAGTCAGTGTATGGTGAGGGCTGCTTCCTGATTCATGGATGTTGCCTTTTCTTGGTGTCCCCACGTGGTGGAAGGAGCAAGCAATCTGGGGTCCCTTTTATAAGGGCATTCATTTTATTAATGAGGGTTTTGCCTTCACTGCATGATCACTTTCTAATGGCACAACCTCCAAACACCATCACATTAGAGATTAGGTTTCAATTATGAGTTTAAGGATGACAAAAGCATTCAGTCCCACAAGATCATCTTATTGTTACAGATTTCTAATGTATTTCCATTATGGCCAGAAAATATATTCTGTATGATTTCAATGTCTTCAAATTTATTGTTTTATGGCCTGAAATATGGTTTCTCCTGGTAAATGTATCATTCATACTTCAGATAATTTGTGTTTTTCATTGATGTGCATATGCATATAAATAAATTAAGTCTGGGTGCTTGATAATGCTTTTCAATTTTCTATGTCTTTGCTAAATTTTTCTTAGTTTTTGTATTTATAGCTGAAAGAAAGCTTTAAAATGTCTAACCATGTTTGTAGAATTCTCTACTTCTCTCTGTAATTTTGTCAATTTTTCTTCATGAACTCTGAAGATTTGCTATTGGATCCATTTCTGGTTGCATGTCTTTCTGTTGATTTTACCCTTTTGTTATTATGAAGCGCCTCTTTTTCTCTCTGGTAATACATATTATTTGAAAATCTTTTACTGGTAGTAAAATAACCATTTCAATCCTCTGTGCTTAATGTTTGTATGGCATTGCTTTTTTCATCAATTTTTATTTATCTGTGCCTTCATATTGAAATTGCATGTTTTGCATGCAGATGTATGTTCATTGCAGCACTTGTCACAATAGAAAAGACATGGAATCAACCTAAATGCCCATCAATGGTGAACTGGATAAAGAAAATGTGGCACATATGCACCATGGAACATTATGCAGCCATAAAAAAGAACGAGATCATGTACTTTGCAGGAACATGGATGGAGCTAGAGGCCATTATCCTTTGCTAACTAATGCAGAAAAAGAAAACCAATTGCCACATGTTCTCACTTGTGAGTGGGAGCTAAATGATGAGAACATATGGACATATAGAAGGGAACAACACACACCGGGGCCTACTTGAAGGCAACGGGTGGAAGGAGGGAGAGGATCAAGAAAAATAATGAATGGGTGCTAGGCTTAATACCTGGGTGGGTACTAATAGGTACAGAAACTATATGACTGTGGGCAGCAAGCCACCCAGGTGCCGAGGCAAGAGACTGAAGGCACAAGCTCTTCCAGTATAATAAAGAAAATACTTAAAATAAAAATAGTTGTATTAGACATAAAATATAGATATGGTTATGTATAAATATTACTAATCATTAGTTTATGACATTACTCTTTATTCCAATATTATAATAATCTTTGTTCTACAATTATAACCTAGAAAAAACCAGGCCATACAGAGATAGGAGCTGAAGGGACACGGTGAGAAGTGAACAGAAGACAAGAGTGTGAGCCCTCTGTCATGCCTGGACAGGGCCACTAGAGGGCTCCTTGGTCTGGCGGTAACGCCAGTGCCTGAGAAGGCACCCATCACTCAGCAGATCGGGAAAGGGAGTCTCCCTTTGCCCGGGGGAGTTAGAGAAGCCTCTGCTCCACCACCTCTTGTGGAAGGCCCGACATCAGTCAAGCCCGCCCACAGCCATCTGGAGGCCTAAACGTCTCCCTGTGATGCTGTGCTTCAGTGGTCACGCTCCTGTTTGACTCTCATGTTCCACCCTCTACACCTGGCTCAGCCTTCTAAATAGCAGTAGCAAAAATTAGTGAAAGTACTAAAGTCTTTGAAATACATAGAAGAAATAATGACATAAACTGTCCCCTCTCTCTCTCCGCCTCGGCTACCGAACAGGGAAGGGCCCCCTGTCTGGTGGACACGTGACTCACGTGACCTTACCTATCATTGGAGATGGCTCACACTCCTTACCCTGCCCCCTTGTCTTGTATCCAATAAATAACAGCGCAGCCTGGCATTCGAGGCCACTATCAGTCTCCGTGCCTTGGTGGTAGTGGTCCCCTGGGCCCAACTCTCTTTTCTTCTCTTTGTCTTGTGTCTTTATTTCTACACTCTCTCATCTCCACACACAAAGAGAAAAACCCACAGGTCCTGTAGGGCTGGAGCCTACATATGACAAACTCTCATGATACAAATTTACCTATACAAAAACCTGCACATGTACCCTGAACTAAAAATAAAAGTTAAATTAAAAAAAATAAAGTTCATGTCTTGAAAAGAGCATATGGTTGGGTTATTTTTTTTAATCCAGTCACAGAATCTCTGCCCTTAATTGGAGTGCTGATTTATGTAGGTTTTTGTCATTATTGATATGATAGGTTTTAGGTTTGTCATGTTATTTGCTCAGTTTTTCTTTCTCTGTTTCTCTTTTCCTGACCAATGATTTCTCATCAGAAACCAGAGAAACAAAATAAACTAGAATAACATCTTTAAAGTTCTGGAAGAAATAAAAGGTCAACTAAGAATTCTATATCCAGTACAGATGTCCTTCAAGATAAATGCAAAATAAGGAGATATTTCAGGTAAAAGATAATTAAGAGAATTTGTCACCAGCAGATCTGTACGATAAAAATTGGTAAAGAAAGTGTCTCAGGCTAAAAGCAAATGATACCAGGTGGAAAATGAGATTATCAGAAAAGATGAAGAATGTGAGAAGTGGTAAATATTAAGTGCGAAAGGCTATCTTGCTCCCCCACCCCCATTTAATCTTACTTCATATACATAGAACTGTTTAAAGGTAAAATAAGATAGCTTTCTGATGGGGCTTATAACCTATGTAAATATATTACATATAATATCTATGGCATAAAAGATGGACGTTTTATAGAGGATAAATGGTTGCAAGATTTCTATATTTATGTGAACTAGTACATTATTAACTGAAAGTGGGCTGTGAAATGTTAAGAATGAGTTAAGTTCTGAAGGAAATCAAGACACAAAAAAATTCAATAGATCAACAAATTCAGGAGATGATTTTTGAAAAAGTTAATAGGATAGATAGGCTGATAGCTAGACTAATAAGGAAGAAAAGAGAGGCGATCCCAATAAGCATAATTAGAAATGACAAAACAGATGTTACCACTGACTCTGCAGAAGTAAAAATAACCATCAAAAGCTACTATGAACACCTGTATGCACACAAACTAGAAAACCTACAAGAGATCGATAAATTCTTGGAAACATACACCCTCCCAGGAAGAAATTGATTCCTTGAAAGGACCAATAATGAGCTCCAAAATTAAATCTGTAATAAATAGCCTACTAACCAAAAAAAGCCCTGAACCTGATGGATTCACAGCTGAATTCTACCAGATGGACGAAGAAGAGCTGGTACCATTCCTACTGAAACTATTCCAAAAAATTGTAAAGGAGGAACTCCTCCCCAACTCATTCTATGAGGCCAGCATCATCCTGATACCAAAACCTGGCAGAGACAAAACAAAAAAAGAAAACTTCAGGTCAATATGTTTGATGAACATTGATGTAATAATCCTCAACAAGGTACTTGCAAACCAAATCCAGCAGTCCATCAAAAAGCTAATCTCAATGATCAAGTAGGCTTCATATCCAGGATGCAAGATTGGTTCAACACGTGCAAATCAATAAATGTGATTCATCACATACATAGAACTAAAGACAGAAACCACATGATTATCTTAATAGATCCAGAAAAACCTTTTGATAAAATTCAACATTCCTTTATGTTAAAAACGCTCAATAAACTAGGTATTGCAGGAACATACCTCAAAATAATAAGAGCCATCTATGACAAACAAACAGCCAACATCATACCAAATGGGGGAAGCATTCCCCTTGAAACCCAGCACAAGACAAAGATGCCTTCTCTCACCACTCCTATTCAACAGAGTATTGGAAGTCCTGGCCACAGCAATAAGGCAAGAGAAAGAAATAAGGGGATAGGGGAAGTCAGACTACCCCTGTTTGCAGACCATTACCAGTGAATGTTCCCTTAAGGCTCACAGGCTCTTATATCAGCTTGTGGTGAGTGCTGCTAACTAGTCTTTAATGGATTAAAATGTATAATGTGTTTCACTTGTGTATTAGTATGTTTTCACACTGCTGGTAAAGACATACCTGAGACTGGGCAATTTACAAAAGAAAGAGGTTTAACGGACTTAATGGTTCCACATGGCTGGGGAGGCCTCACAATCACGGTGGAAGGCAAGGAGGAGCAAGTCACATCTTGTGTGGATGGCAGCAGGCAAGAAGAGAGAGCTCGTGCAGGAAAATTCCCATTTTTTTAAAACCATTAGATCTCATGAGACTCATTCGCTATCACAAGAACAGTGCAGGAAAGACCCATCCAAAAATTCAATCACCTCCCACTAGGTTCCTCCCATGACAGGTGGGAATTGTGGGAGTTACAACTGAAGATGTGATTTGGGTGGGGACACAGCCAAACCATATCAACTTGTAAATTACTACAAAACTGTCAACACTTAGCCACTTCTGCTTCCTCAGGAAGGTCGGGGCAGCAGATCTGTGTGTTAAATATCTATGTGAAGTTATTTCCAGGAAGAAGTTTCATCTGTGGTTTCTTCTTCCCCAGGTCCCACAGTCTTCATTACAACCTCACGGTGCTGTCCCAGGATGGATTTGTATAGTCAGGGTTTCTCGCTGAGGGACATCTGGATGGTCAGTCGTTCCTGCTCTATGACAGACAGAAAGGCAGGGCAGGGGCCCTGTGGACAGTTGGCAGAAGCAGTCCTGGGAGCTGAGACCTGGGACACAGAGACCGAGGACTTGACAGAGAATGGGCAGGACCTCAGGAGGACCCTGACTCATATCAAGGGCCAGAAAGGAGGTGAGAGTCGGCAGGGGCAAGAGTAATGGCAGAGGCCTTCTCCAGGAGAGTTGGAGGCAGAGAGCAGGGACCTGTCTCTTCCCACTGGATCTGGCTGAGGGTGGGCTGAGAAATAGGGGTCAGTGGGGCTCAGCAGGGAGGTGAGCCGGCACTCAGCCCACACAGGGAGGCATGGAGGAGGGCCAGGGAGGGGTCCCAGCTGGGCTGAGTTCCTCACTTGGGTGGGAAGGTGAGGGGTTCAGGAATGAACTGCTGGGTGGGGGCAGGCTTGCATTCCCTCCAGGAGATTAGGGTCTGTGAGATCCATGAAGACAGCAGCACCAGAGGCTCCCGGCATTTCTACTATGATGGGGAGCTCTTCCTCTCCCAAAACCTGGAGACTCAGGAATGGACAGTGCCCCAGTCCTCCAGAGCTCAGACCTTAGCTATGAATATCAGAAATTTCTGGGATGAAGATGCCACACAGGCCAAGACACTTTCACCCTGTGATGGCAGACCGTCTGCAGAAACTACAGTAACATCTCGAATCCTAGGAGGGCATCAGGAGAACAGGTACCGACCCTGGGCAGGGGCTTTCCTCTCCCCCATTTCACTAGAGTCACTCCCCTGCCAGCTCTGTCCTGGGAAACCCTCTCTGTGCTATGGATGCAGGCGTTTCCTGTTGGCGTATTGTGTCCTGACTTTCCTCTCTTGTTAGAGCCACTGGATAAAGACAGTGGGTTGGGGACTGAACCATCCAGTGTTGTAATCTGGGAAAGCAATGGCCCACTCCCAACAGAATCCTCACCCTGGGGTGGGTGTTAGGCAGGAGAGGAAGCCCTCAGGGCTAGGGCTGCCCCCTCTGCCTCCCAGCCTGCCCATCCCAGAGAGTTCCCTCCTGGCCTCATGACCCAGGAGTCCAATCCTGACATCCCTCCCCTTCAGCATCAATGTGGGGATCTCAGAGCCTGAGGCCATAGTCTGAGGCCCATCCTCCTGCCAGCCCAAAGGAATTGGGCCCCAGGGTAAGGACAGACTTGCAAAAGATCCGGGGTCCATGAGGGCTTCAGCCAGAGTGAGAACACTGGAGAGGAGCAGCCCTGTTCCCTGAGTCTCCCTTAGAGGGAGCGGGGCTTGGCCATGTGCCTCACTGGCTCTGCCCTTTCCTATCCAGTGCCTACCATGGTGAATGCCAGGCCTCAGAGAACAAAGTCACCCCCACATGCTGGGCTTCTGGCTTCTATCCCCAGAATATCTCTCTGGCCTGGTGTCAGGTTGGGGCATTTTCTGAGCCAGGATGCCCATCGGTCTGTGGGTGTCCTGCCCAATGGGAATGGGACCTACCAGACCTGGGTGGCCACTAAGATTCCCCAAGAAGAGGAGCAGAGGGCTACCTGCTATGTGGGACACAGCAGGAATCACAGCACTTACCCTGGTGTCCTCTGGTGAGCCTGGGGCGACCCTCAAGTGTTCTGACCTAGAAAGGGTCAGGCCAAGGTGGGCACAGCAGAGATAACTGGAACTCTGAGTGCCCAGTGTGCAACAAGGCCCTTTTTTTCAGGGAAAGCCCTGATGCTTCAGAGTCTATGGCAACCGTTCCGTATGTTGCGGCTGCTGCTGTTTTTGTTATCATTATTATTATTCTCTGTGTCCTTTGGTGCAAGAAGAAAATATCAGCTGCAGAGGACCCAGGTGAAAAAAGGGGGCAGTGGCTGGAGATGGGAGGGACCCTGTCTGGGCAGTAGGGTCCCCTCATAGCTCCTGCACAGACAGGCATGTAGGTGACAAGGCTTTGGAACAGGGTTTGGAAGTTGGGGTATTTGGGAGGGGAATAGGAGCTACAATTTCATCTAGACCCCTAAGTCCTGCCCAAGCCAGGGCCGGGCCAAAGCCCTCGAATGTCCATCTGTGGCCTCCTCTTGCTGCAGGTGAGGAGTGGGCAGCAAGGACGGCCGTGGCACCTGCTCTGTCCTCATCCCCATCCCTCTGTCTCTCAGGCTCACCAGCGTGCATCAGCGTGGGGTGAGCTGGGAATCATGTGCTGATTGCTGAGGGCCTGGATGATGATGGCTTCAGAGGGGGCAAATAGTAAAGACGGCTGTGATCTGGGGAGGGCTAGAAACTGGAGAGGAATATGAGGAGAGGTGGTGCCTCTAGTCCCTTCCTCTCTGCATCCCCCTCCCCTGTTTCTCCAGCCATCAGGAGGACACCAAGAAAAAGACCTATGAGGCCCAGACTGGGGGGCCTGCCTGTGCAGCCCCTTGGAGACCCCCTTGTAACAGGGAGGGTTCTGAGTGCACACAGCCATCTTTGTCCACTTTGTAGCTCCCCACGCGCCTCCTCCAGGAGCTGTCTCGGGGGTGTCGTGTCTCCTGGATCACTCGAGGCCATGCTCTTTCCAGGTTCCCACCACATGGCCCTGCACCCTGAGTTCCCTTGCAGATAATATGGATGAGAAGATACGCAGATGTCTCTGGGCCATTTGGGGAGTGGTGACCAGCCCCTTGTCAGGGCAGCTGTCATCCCTGTTTTCATCCTACTTCTAGGTGTTTCCTTGTCCAGGCCCTGAAGGACACAGTCCCTCAGGGACACAGTGCTCAGGGACCATGTTTTTTGGGCTTTGTTCTGTGCTCTGTGGCCTCACCTTGCCCTCCCTGAGCCTTTCTCAAGGTGGTCACTTTCCTGTAAATTTGGAGTAAAGGATGGTCAGGATGATTTCCCCCACAGTCAGTTGTTTGAGGGGAAAGTAAAAGAGAAAACAGGAAGTTTTGTGTTTCTGCAAAGACAGAGGCAGTGCAGGGGACCAGTGAGAGGCTGGGTGTCCAGGAAACTGGAGTCTTTCTGCCATTTCCCCACTTTTTTGCACCTGGTGGTGGGGGTGGGGGTTTTTCATCCTTGAACCTAATTGCACTGTCTGTTGGCCCCTCAGTCCTGGGCAGATGGGAAGGTTCATCCCCTGCCCTGCAGCAAGAGGGCCCCGTCCAGGAGGCACCCACAGCAGGGGCAGTGCAGGTTTGTGGTCGCTCCTGCTTTCACCTGCACTGTCTCCTATAGAGGGGTTGTCACTTCTGGGTCCCCGTGGGCAGGAAAGTTTGCCTTGTAGGTCACGGGGCATTGGCCAGGGAAAGGGTGTGAAAGTCATGTGCTAATTTCTCAAAAATTCTCCTTTAAATATTGATGTCCAATAAAGATGTTCACAATTTCCGCTGGATAATCTTAATAGGATTTCCTCTAATATTGATGTTGTAAAGCATGTACAATCAAATGAGAAGTCAAGCTTGGAGCTTCCTCTCCAGGAGGGTCCATGTTGGAGATGGTGGTTGTGGCAGTGGCAATCCTGGAGTGCAGAGGGTGGGTGGAGGCAGCCTCAGGCTGAGGGGTCTCCAGAAACCCCCTGCTCCACAGGGAGAAGAAGAAGATTCCCTGTGGGCTGTGAGGGCAGTGGCCTGGGTGGAAGCCCTGCTAGGAACAGGGCAGGAAGGTCTTGCAGCCTCAGCAAGCAGCAGCCCTGGGGTGGAGGTGCATTTCCAGGGGTGAGTGGACCAGGCAGGAGCAAGGATGGCCCAAGTGCAGGTCACGGACCCGGGTGGGTGCTGAGGGTCTGGAAAGGTTGGGTGTCCTCAAGCGTGGAGGGTCCCAGGATCCAGTCAGGTGCAGACCCGGTGGCAGCCACGTGTTTTTGTGCCGAGCCCCCAGGCTTCTTGATGGGCTCTGCAGTTAGGGGCTGGCTGCTCAGGGCTCGGAGGGTGGAACGCTGAGCTGCAGGTGGAGCGGGGAGCCCAGTGTGCAGGGTCTGCCCTGTTGTGCAAGTGCCTCTGTAGGTGAGGAGGGCCTGGGGACTGAGAGGGAGAAGGACCGCGTGCGTGACCCAGCCCAGGCCTGGTAGGACACGGAGCTAGGACCATCCTCTCTTTGGGGAGGTTTCCCACTGTGTCTAGGCTGGTGGGGCTTGGGAGGAGGGGAGGGCCCCGGGTTCCCTCCTGGATCTGATTCTTGTCCTTTAGTCATGAGGCCCTTTCATTCCCCACATGGTGGATGGTGGGCACAGGGCAGGTATCATTGTTGAGGGAATCACAGGAGGAGACTGGTGGAGGCTGGAGAAACTAGGATGGGAGGGAGGAAAAAGTGGGGGCGTCAGTTCTTCCCTCAGAGAAAGGGTGAATCTGATTTCGGAGTTTCTGAGGAGGGAGAAATCCTCAGGGAATGAAAAGCAGCACTCTGCACCCAGTGGAGCATTTACTGTTTCTCTCTTTTCTCCAGAGCACATGAGCCTACAAAGCCCAGATCAACACCTGGTTGGGACAGGAGACCACCAGGGCACCATACAGCTGGAATTTCAGTCTCTGGTGCCAGCTCCTGGGTCTGCTGGCTCCACTGGATTCAACTCCCTACCCAGGTCTCACCAGCACTTTCCCTCTTGATGCCTCAGTTTCCTCATATATTAAATGGGAAACTAACAGCACTTATTTCTTGTGGTCAGGGATTGACAACTGTTAGTTGCTATGAGGTGTTTGCAGCTGTGCCATAATATTCGGTATTATTATTTTTGTTGTTTTGTTATTATCTTATTAACTTTTATTATCTTTTAATGTATTGTATGTGCAGTAATTACATGCACCAAAGCACATATGTGCCTTTAAACACATTGTATGTGCATAAAAGCTTTATGAGTGTGTGTCCTGTTGACGGTTCCTCCTGGCAAGCCTGGGACCAGCCTTTTTGGCACCTTGAGGTCCCCTCACCCTTGGCACACTGTTATAAATTACCCCATGTCTACTATGTCTGCATAATTTTATACTGTGGATTTTTACTCTTTAAATAGACATTTCTGGCCTGTGCTTTATTTCATGCATCTGGGAAGAGTAGAATACAAGGTTCAGGGGAAAAGGAGAGGTCTGTCTCAATGCCTTGACACAGCATGAAGAAATCTCTCCCTCTTCCTACCTCTCCCTGCCAGTTCCCAGTGATTGACAGATTCACAGCAAAACAGAAAAGGAAAGGTTGGGGGTGGGGGTGCACATCTGGGGCCAAAATTCAGGGGCTGACTCTGGGGGAACATCTGCCCTGAAGAGTTGGATCCTTCATGTGATGATGTTGAGCTGAAGTGTAATATCAGAGATGGGGGCAGAGAGGGCTTTGAGTTTCCCTGGTATTGAAGAATAGGAGTCACACTGCTTCTGGGGTGAAGCGACTGCTGGGAACATGTGAACCAAATTGATGAAGAATAAGTGAATGGGGAATGTGGGTGAGTAAAGCAAGCATCAGCAGTCAGTTTCTGCCATCAGTTCAGGCTGATCGGGGTAGGGAGGTGGGGAGATGGATATTCCCCACCCTGTTGCTCAATCCTTCCTGACTGCTGGGTGCACCAAAATCTCAGAAATCACCACTAAAGAATTAATTCAGGTAACCAAACACCACCCACCCCTAAAAACCTTGA